>NC_000004.12:171421381-172046381 GCF_000001405.40 Homo sapiens | reverse complement strand
ACATGTATACCTATGTAACAAACCTGTACGTTGTGCACATGTACCCCAGAACTTAAAGTATAATAATAATAAACTAAAATTTGAATTACCATATGATTTAACAAGCTCACTTCTGGGTACGTGCCCAAAAGATTTAAAATCAATATATCAAAGAAATATCTGCAATCCCATGTTTATTGCAACATCATCCACAACAGCCAAGTTGTGGAATCAACTCAATTATGCAATCAATCAATTCAATTGATTGAAATCAACTCAATCAATTATGGAATCAAATGTCCATCAATGAATGAAATGATTATAAAAATGTGGTATATATACACTATGAAATAGTATTCTGCCTTAAAAAAGAAGAAAATTATGCTATTTGCAAGACATGGATGGTATTGCAGAACATTATACTAAATGAGATAAGCTGGCACAATAAGACAGACAGCACAAGTTCTCACTTACATCTAAACAATCTAAAACAATCAAACTCATAGAAGCAGAGAGTACAATAGTGATTACAGAGACAGAGGCGTGACCAGGGGAATGAGGACAAGATGGTCAAAGTGTACCATATCTCAGTTACATGGGAGGAATTTGTTTAGTTTTTCTTTTTTCTTTTTTTTTTTTAGTTCTATTGTACAGTGTGCAATAATTAAACTTTAATGTGAATTTCCAAATGACCTACACTTGGTTTATGAACTGCCTATAAATATGGAGATATTTTCTATTAAAGAAAACATGAAATATCAGTTCACATGCCTAAAAAGGAACAGTAGTTTTGCATCTCACATAATAGCCCTTTTTCTATAAATACCAAAGTATGTATGGAGTGTTTGGAAAGCATTTAATACTATGTTGAACATGAAATTATTTTTAAATCAGGCATTTGACCCTTTAAAAAAATCTCAAAATGTCAGAACCTGACTTATAATGTTTATGATATTGTTTTTAAATTAAATTAGCAAAAACTGAGAAGACTTTAGGGAAATTTTATATTGATTTTTAAATATATAAATTCTCAAACACTGCAATTAACAGGTTATATTTTTCCACGTAAATATGGACAAATTTTGTGGAGCTCCTTTTGCATTAGAATAGAATTCAGACCCACCTGCTCCACTGTACAAAGCCAAAGCTGGCCTTATATAAGCTTGTCTCTTAGGCGCACAGTGCTCTACTGTATTACAGTGAAGATGAAAGAAAGTATGGCAGATTAAACATTGTTTCAAGCATATTCTAATCAAACACTGAAAGTTTTTGTATGATATCAAAAAGAATATATTAAATGAAGGTAAAATGTCAGCTAATTAGTATATATCATGAACAATGAAAAGCCAAAATTATATAAGAATAAAATAGCCACATTTAAATTACAGTTGGTGATACACAGCACAGGCTGGCATACTTGACATGGGTTTTACATTTTTTTCATCCAATAACTATCTATGTGCACCCACTGAAATATATTGTATAGAAAAAGTAATTGAAATATAATTTTGTAGATCTTGATACTTTATAGAAAAGAAGAAGGCTTATGTAATTCTGTAGCTCAAATAGATATTTTAAGTCATGCAAACAAAGTTTTCTGGGTATGCCTTATTATTTGAAATTATCACAATTTCAAAGGCAAGTGTCTGAGGTTACAATTGTTTAAACTCTATTACAAAGGATTAATAACTCTAGAGAGTCTAATAAATCAATTACAATGAAAAAAGCAAAATTAAAATCATCTCTTTCCCAGTGTTATACAATTGTGACACTTCTCAGCATTTACAGGCATATATTAGAATACAATTTGTTGAATAGTAGTACAATATAATCATTATAGAACTTTGGTGGCCTGATGTTACTTTCATTTTTGTTTCCCTAAGTCTGTTGATTTTTCTCTATGTGAAAGGCATATATCTGAAGATAAAATTGACATTCTCGGGGTAAGCTAGAATTCTGTTTTCTTAATGCTTCTCACTACATGCTGGAAATATAACACCAAAAATATAAACAAATGATAGTACGCATTTTTCAATTTCTCTTTAAAGTGCCATGTATTTATAAGGGCATTCGTAATGGCAACAACCACAATTACTTTTGCACCAACCTAATATTATTTTAATGTTCAATGGATAACAATAGTCAATATATGACCATTTTATCAATAGTGACTTTGTATTAATAGGAAGTGCCCAGAAGGAATTTTAGGCGACTGAGTAACTAAAATATGGTAGAATGTTAAAATTGGGTGAGACTAAGAATTGACCTTTTCTTACCTCTTAATTTTGTGCATGGAGAATCTGAATGTTTTGGTTAAGATCCTAGAGATCTTAACCAAACTCCTAAGAGCTAAGTGGGAAGCTCAACTTTCATCTTCATCTTTTTCCTTCCTTACACTGTTTCCTAATACAGAGGTTGTGATTCTGGTTTAAAGTAGACTAACAAATCTCTTTAAAGCTTACTCTCATGTCTACAGAGAATAGTTATATTTCTCTATTTAATATGCATGCCATAAACTTGTGACATTTAAAGCGAACATTTAAATGGAACAGAAAATGAAATAAGGGCCTGCTTGTAATCATGGCTGAAAGGCCATACCTTTCAAAATTGAAGATATCTTTGCATTTAAAACTTTACTAGTATTTGGTGAAAATCTTCAACAAAGAGTAGGTAGAGAACACTTTGCCTTATGTTAGATAATACTATTTCCTGTATTTCCAGAAATTTTCCTGGAATATTTATACACTAAACAAATGTTTGTGGAAACTAGTAACTGTTCTATTTATTTAACATTTGTAACCCGTATTCTAATCCTATAAATAAAACCTTTAAAAGATGAAAAAGTATAGCTGTGGTTATATATCATTATGTATTCATATATGCACACGCACATGTGTGTATACATGTGAGTAAATAAATGCATATGATCCATAGCTCACAGTGCTGAGAAATGTGACCATCTTTTAATAAAGTCTGGCCTCTTCCAATATTGAAGCTTGTATCATATCTTATCAGTTTTCCCTACCTTTAATTGCTGGTTTCCACTTTTAACCCTCTCTGTGCCATGGCCTTAAATAATACGAATGGTAATAATAAAAACACACACACAAAAGGAATCCATTTGAATTATATGAACTTTATGAAGAAGATACTGTATAAAGAGATTACATTTCAGAGATTTTAATCAAAGCCGAGTTTGTCAGAGAGCATTCTCCTGAGGAAGAAATGATTGTACAAAAGCCAAAATAATTGCTAGTTAACTCAGTGAGAGTGTGCGCAGAAGGAAACAAGCTTTGCAAAGCCCTGATGATGAGAAAGGGCGGGACATATTTTTAAAATAGGCCAAAGTGTTGTGTGGCTGAAAGGTAATGACCAACAAAGACGGTGACTCATTATCAGTCTGGAAAGGTGCCAAAAGCCAGATTTTGGAGAGTCTGTAACACTGTGTTTCAAATTTTAAATTGTTTTCTATTGAATTCATTGAATAGTTTTATGCATCACAATAATTACCTTTTTTTTTTTTTTTTTTTTTTTTTTTACTGTTAAAGATTGCTCGGATAGAACAAGGTAAAAACTTGGAGCAGTGCCAAAAGTTGATGTAATCAGTGAGCAGAAGTCTGAGTGACATGAGTTGGCTATCAGAATAGTCAGAGAAAGACAGAAAGAAAGAGAGAGATGAGTTAAGGAAGGTGGCAGCAGTGGGAGAAGAAGTGAAAACATTTTTGAGTTGTTTTGTATATTTTTTTTAAAAAAAGCAGATTTTTCCAGATAATAAAAAGAAACCATCAAAGATAACTGAGGATTTCGCTTGTGAAACTAAATAGACGGGGTGCCATATGCCAAAATAGGGAACACAGAAAAGGGAGCAGCTTGTGAGGGAATATGAAAAGTTTGAATATACAAGTTTGAAGTGCTATAAAACGTTTAAGTAGACTTGCTTAATGAGCAATTGGATATATGATTATGTCTGGGTCTCATAAGAGAAGTCTAGGCTGGAAATACAAGTTATGGAGTTAAAGGCTTATTTTTATGTGCCATATACAGTTTAGAAACATCAAGGTCAGTATCTCATTAGTCATAACAATGTGATAGGCACTATCATTTTATTTACTTACAATTGCAGGTGTAAATAGTTTAAATAAAATTTCCAATATCACAAATTCAATTAGTAGCAGAGTTTACCAAAACTCATAGGGCTTAAAGCAAAATTTGTTATTATTATACTTCATTGTTTTGGGATTAAGAGTTGGAATAGGGCATACTGGAGAAAATGTGTCTTTACCTAAAATGTTCAGGGTATCAGTGCTATTAATTGAATGGCTGAGGACTGGAGCAGCTGGAAGGTGGCTGAATACCCCTTGCTTTCTACACATGACCTTTTCAAGTGGCTTTCCAAGAGGTCAGTCTTGGCTTTTTACAGTACAATAGTTATATTTCTTAACTGGAGTTGAGTAATCCAAGAGAAAGAATCTGTCAACTGCCAGTCCTCTTTAAAGCTAAACTTGGAAATGGCATAACCTCATTTTCCACTGCATTTTATTTGTGGAAGTACTCACGGGCTAGACCAGAGTCAAGGAGAGGATACAAAAACTTCACATCTCAATGAGAAGAGTGCTAATGTATTTGCGGCCGTCTTTCATCCACCACACTTACACCTGTGACACTTTATAATTACTCCTTGCTACTATCAAGTTATACAAAGTACACCTGTAGCAAAGGGCCAGGCATACCATAAGTAATCAATGTGTTTATTTAATGAAATAGTTCTAATGTAGGCAATTATAGTTTTGTTAATCATAAAAAAGCCTTTAAATCATTTCAGATGCTCTGTCATTTTGCCTAAACGGACTAAGATATTTAGGATATAATCACAGGTCTGTACTGTTGAATTCCTCTAGCAGTGGATTACAAATGTCTGTAAATTATTTATGCTAAGGTTCACAATGAACAGTCTTTCAGATTCAGCTTAAAATTTCTAATTTTAAATATGTTTTAAAATATTCTCAATGACTGCATTAGATCAGCATGTAGAATTTTTTCTTAATATAATTGATAGCTTGTTGCCCACTGAATGTTAAAACACTCAGCAATAAGATGATTTCAAAGAAAAGGTAAAATGCTGCCTTTGAAAAAGAGCAAACTCCATGCAAAGAATAACGCCATTTTAAGTAAACCACTTTCCTTGCTATTGTGAGTGTCAAAGTTCTGATTCATAGGGATCAATAAACCAAATAGAAAATGTTCCCAACTCATGCAATCATCAACATCATGTAAAATTATGAGATGGCTGTGATTAGCAATCTAAAATAAAAAAACAATTAGACATTAGGCTTCAATTTTCCTTTCATCCCTCAGAACTTTTAATAATGCCATTGTGAACTATTTAGTTAAGTTCTTTATAAATGATTGTATAAACAATGAAAATTATTGTTGTATCAGCAATATAATATGTAATAACACTCAACCAATTAAGACAAATGATATTGTAGGTATTATAATTGTCTTGTACAGAATTATATTGTGCAGTTGCAAGTCATCAATAGATATATGACATTAATAGTTTAATTATTCTAAGATAATAACAAATAATTATGATCAAAGTGTGAAAGCAATGCATGCAAAGAAACAATGGGAATTGCAGTTGGAATCCTGGCTCTTCCAGTTTGTCACCTAACCTTGAAAAATCAGTTAGCCTCTTTAAGTATCAATTTTATCAGCTGTAAATTGAAGATACTGTTTTCATGTTGAAGCGTCATCGTAAGAATTAATCAAAATGATGTATTCAAATAACATATTAGACCATCAATAGTCAGTTATTATTTTTATAATTATTAGTCATCATTAATGGCATGGTAGAAATTGAACCAGTAAGCAAATTGTTTTTCTCACAAGTATTTATTTTGGAGCATCTGAAAGAGGGTAACTCTGTTACATGATGTTTAAAAAAGGAACATATGCTATGAAAAATGAAGTCTTAGGAAAAAGGAAGCAAAAAGTAAAAAGCATAAAAGTGGCATAAAAAAACAAAGTTCTTTGCATATTACAAAAGAGTAAAACTGAGAAAAAAATAAGAACAAACAGAAATATTAGAATAGTTGAGAAAAATCTTTCCAGATAAATACCTTTAATACCAGTCTAAAATTTATTTTGTAAGTATTTAAATTGTTGGTTATTGATACACAAAATGTCTTTCATAGCGTGATCCAGAAAGTGCAATGATTATTAATATGCTATTTTTAGTCTCCATTTTATTCTCATTTCCATTGCGCCATTGTTATAGAAAACCAGGCATCCCAGGGACCTTGTTTTTGTGTTTCTTTCAAAGTATGTTGCACACTATAATTGATGAAATTACTATTTCATAAGCATATGTTTTCCATAGGACTAACATTTTTGTTTGTTCGTTTAATCAAATTTATATGGATTGCAATATTTTTATCATTTAAATGCAAAGTAAATTTTTTTTTTGCCCTGAAGTTGTCTTTCTCACAGCGAAAGTAAGCATATAAATTAACTTCATCTTAATGAAATTACACTGGAATAAAATATGTTAACATTAGAGGCAATCAAGTCATTTTAATATAATGAGTTGTCCTGAGGTTTATCCCTTTATAGGTACTGACAATTGCATGTTAACCTTATGCTATTGGTTAATCTTCTTAACCTTAGTTTAAACATTTTGCCCATCTGCTCAGGCAGATTCCCCACTCCCCTTTTCTTCTGCACTTTTGACTGGGAGTCTCCAGAGGCTGTTTTTACTTCTCAGGTCTCATGTGTTCCTCTTGGAAAATTTTTGCAGCTGCACTGTTATGAACTGTCCTTTGTAGATTCCTGCTTTCTCTCCATAACTCATTCCTGACTGTCCCCTACTAGAGAAGCTACATAATGGTGGGAATCTCCCCATGGTGACAGCTGCTAATATAGCCAATGCTTCTGGCAAAATACACAAATATATAACCTAGTTTTCTACCCTCACCATTTGTCTGCTGGACATCAAAGAATGTTATTTTTCTCATTATACTTTTAAGACTTCCTCTTTAAAAAGCTTCTCAGCTTCTGTCATTTTTCTTTACTTTCTAGGCTGAAGAACAAATATCAAGAAGTCTGAAAATGTAAAATATACCACATTGAAAATTTTTTTTGGGTTACATACAAAAGTTTGCGGTTTACACCAAACAAACTTAATTGCCAGTTAAACAAACAAAAAAGTCAACACTCCTTGGGAGAATATAACAGAATCAACAATACAAAATTCACAATATCAATGATATTATGCAAAATTAGTTGAAATGAAGAACAAAAGAAATATGACCCATGATCAGTAGATAGAACAATTAGTGGAGCCTGATCATGAAATATCCTGGTGTCAAAATGAAGCGAAAAGGATTATAAAGCAGCTGTTATAACCAAGCCCAGTGGCATCAGGGAAATACGCTTGTAGTGAATAATAAAAAAGAATATCTCAGCAGAGAAAGATCTAGATTCTCTTGGACAGTGCCAATGCCAATGTTTTCAGGGCCAGCTACTTCTTCTATGAATCCATTTTATGTTCTATTTGAATTTCACTTCCGGCATTATCACTTTCTATTTCCTTGTTGCTCTTTCATCTTTCTTGGCCAACTCTCTTTCACTTATCCATTTAAAAATATATCACATGGATTCATAACTGGGAGACAAGGAAGCAACATAACTGCAGGCTTTGCTGACTGTTTGTGAATTGAATAACAAATGACCGGTGACCAACCACCAACAGACTTTGAAGACAGTGATGGGGCTGGTAACGGATCGTGATGCATATCTATTATTTAATGTATTAATTTGTGGACTAAAGAGCTAGCAGCAAAGATTTACTTCACATAATTACTCTCAGTTTTGAATTTGAATTTTGAATTTTGTTGTTGGGGGTTTGGTATTATTTAACGAAACAATAGTTACTGAAATTTACATATATCAGAACTGAGCAAAGCAAGGACAATGTGTATATATTAAACTGGAAGATAGAATATATAAACTCTCTTTAGCAAATTGGCCTTGCGTTGAAGAAAAGACAATCTATTTAAAAGAGAAGAAAAAAATACTTAAAACTCTCACAAATACCGATGTTTAGGATTATATTAAAAAGTTAAGTCTAGAATTAAAATGCCAGGAAAAATATGTGTGTATATCAGGAAAAAACAAGAGAAAGAGTGTTTCAAGGGAGATGCATAGAATTTGCAAATAAGGCTGAATAGATGAGTAAGAGAGGACTGAGAAAATTATCTCTAAATTTTTTTGTTTTTTTTTTTGAGACAGAGTCTCACTCTGTTAGCCACGCTGGAGGGCAATGGCACGATCTCGGCTCACTGCAACCTTATCGCCCAGGTGCAAACAATTCTCCTGCCTCAGCCTCCCAAGTAGCTGGGATTACAGGCGTGTGCCACCACTCCCAGCTAATTTTTGTATTTTTTAGTAGAGACAGAGTTTCACCATGTTGGCCAGGCTGGTCTCAAACTCCTGACCTTAGGTAATCCACCTGCCTCAGCCTCCCAAAGTGCTGGGATTACAGGCATGAGCCAACGCTCCCGGTCTCTAGAATTTTTTTTTAAAGTTAAGTTATTGGTGGTTACTTTCAGAAACAAACTAATTTTGAGAATTGAATGGGCAGTAATAGTGTGGATATAGCAATATTGCTCATGATTTCAAGATAGTTTGAGGTTTGTTATTTCAGCATAGTCTGTCCCATCCTAAATGATACAAAGGTTTGAAAGTCTAGAGGATAAAAAAGATAACTACAAGAGTTGGGACTTTGAGGAAGTGGAATGAGGCAGCATTCAGGGCACAGACAGAATTGTTAAGCTTTGATAGCATAATAGGAGGGACAAGGAAAAGAGAGGAATGTAGAGGGCATTTTTAGTGTTTTTATGTGAGCAGGTATAGCATCACAGTATCTAGTTTTCCTGTGAAATAGTAGGCATGGCCATCTGCACAAAGTGGTGGGAAAGAAAAGGACTAGATATTTTTAAGAAAGATCAAATAGATGCTATGGAGAATGAGAGGAAGAGCTGACTAGGAAAATGTAAGAGGATTGCTGTGCAGTGGGGAGATTCTGCAGGAATACTGTTAGCTCCAGTCTCAGAGTTCTAGTCTCAGCAGTTTATTGATTTTTTTAATTATCCTAAACAACCCATGTATAAACACAGAGAAGATAAACTATTGTATTGATACACGTTAAGTGACAGGGCATGTACTAGCAGAAAGTAAGGGGCACTGGGCCCGTTATCTTAGCAAGCTCTAAAAATTAATATTTCAGGCTTTTTAAATTTATGTATACATATAGTCCATAGCCAAGTGCCAGCCAATAGGAAATGTATAATCATCTAATGTAGGGAACTCCAGCCATCATTCCACACATATCTCTATTGCCTCTTTGAATGCTTGTAACTTAAAGAACAAGGAAAGATGAATAAAAAGAAAAGAGATGACACATCACACTTAATTTCAAAACTTCATGTTATCCCTAGGGTAACTTTCAGTGCTGACAGAATAGTCCCCAAAAGAGATATTATTTCAAGGCTAAATTCAATGAATTAAATATACCAGTCAATAAGAATAACCTTTGTGTAATAAATAAATGGAAACAACCCTAGGGTAGAAACGTCAACTGGGTTCTCAATGTAGTTTAACATCTGACAGTTTAGGGTTTTTGTTGGAGTTCAGGCTATACGACTATGACTGCCTGGCTCCTAATCAATGTTCTAGTGAGGAAATATGGGACAAGTTATTTAATCTGTCTCATCTACAAAAGTGGTTAATTATATACTGAAATTAATTGAACTAATACATACAAAGTGCTTAAAAGAGTTACTGGCATGTACGAACAGTGAGTATCGAATAACTGTTAGATATTACTCTCAATCTAATGGTATTATGCTATTGGTTCTTCCAGCTCATAAGATTTTTGGGAGAATACAATGAGATAATATACACTAAAAATTCTTATGACTTTGTGTGATTTATATAATTTATTCAATGTATTATTAGTTACTGACATCGTGTGAAAAATTCCTAAAACTTTTAAGATTAACAGCAGTGAACTGTATTTCATGGGTAATTTTACATTTTATTTTTAGTGTGTGAAAGGTAATCGAGAGACTCAAGACCCAAAATCCAAACCTTTGGGTTAAAGAAATAGCCTGCATTTTTTTTCTATAAACTGAATTACTTAATAAGCTTTTGAATTATGAAAGGGAAATAAATATGAATTGTTCACATACATGTGTGATTTATGCTGTGATGACTTATGCTTTAGAGAACTTTTGGGATACTTACTGGGCTATGTCCTTTCAAAAGACATTTGTAAAAATAACTCAATTATTAAATGTCTGGGGTTAACAAAATTTTCTGAAATGCTAAGTATATATCCAAATAAGATTTACAAATGTCTTACTGTTACATAAAAGATTTTATAGCTTTGTAATTTTCATAAAAGATAACTATGCAAATAATACATTTCAAGTAGAATGCATATGCGAATGACTACATGATTTTATATGTGTGCCAGAAATCATAAGTTAGATTCTTTCCTGATGAAGTCATTTCTCTAGTTGACAACTGTCAAAGCCATCTCAAAAACCCATGAATATTAAAGCACTGTTCACTGGCACATTTGGCATTTTGAAGTCAGGCAAATAGAACTCATGAAATATGAAAGGAGTGCTCCATGTCGCTTTGTAGAAAATGTTGCCATTAAGATGATGTATGAGGAAATTCACACCTTCATCTGCTGGGAGTGCTCAACTGTATTTTCAATCAACTGTATTACTTTGCTTTGATAGTGTTAACATTGGGTCATATTCTCCTTTTTCCTGGCTTTAGGAGGTCTCAAAGATTTTAAATTATTGTCACATGAAATGCATGTTTTAAACACAAATGTATTGTTTTACTTAGTTATATTATAACAATCAATAGATTCTAAAGCCTTTTTATTCTAGGTGTTAGTAATAGGCCAGGAATATTCCTAGGCATAATATCCACTGCCAATTTTTATTCTGATATTACTGGCTTGAGGAGTCCAAATTTATTAGGAAATTGTGATGGTTTCTTTCATATTTTAGCCTCAGGAAACTTTGTCCTGCCTACATTTTTCTTCATGCTTAGTGATATTATGGACTTGTCTATTATTCTTGAAAACTTTACATGTTTTCTATGTTTTTTAAATTTTTGAGTCATTTTAAAGAAGGCAGTCCTTTTTACTTTACTTACTTTATACTATTTTGAAATATCAGGTAATAAGCATACTTGTTCTAAAAAAGGACAGGCATAGACATGCCATAGACACACTAAAAGTCTTAAAAATTATTTTACTGTGAAAATGGCAAGTTATCTTGAATAGTAATATAATAGTAATGACAGTAACATGATTTTCACCATAACATTAAGATGTTTAATTAGTGCAGGAGTTTAGGAATTGTACATATTGCAATAAATATATTTTGCATCAATTCTTCTATACAAATTTATTTGCAACTCTTTAAATTTAGCAGCATGAAGACATAAAATTCCTTTTCCTTTAGTGTAGAAAGCATGTTCTTGACTGTTGATGCACCAAAAGATACCTAAGGCAATGTACCCCAAATCCTAAAATCCACAACTTCTGTCATTTTGTGTCATATTGTGTAAGACAACTACCCTCTTTTTTGCATAATTATCATGATATTCTGAATTTAATGTTTCAATGCAGGTACACAAATATATACATTTCTTAAAATGAAAGTGACTTGGAAACATTTTGCTTGCTTGTAAATTCATGAGTTTGTGTACTCATATTACTTTGGCAAATGTAAGATGACTAAGTGTGCACATCACACCACTGAGTCTGACTTGCCAAAGAAAATTCATACATAACCACAGTATATATGCTGAATATTCTCATTTGTGTTTCAAGATTGCATGTTTCTATTTATTCCCAAACTACACACACACACACACACACACACACACACACACACACACACACACACACACGCACGCACGCTCCCCTTAAGGAAGAATAGATACCCAGATCTGTTCCTAAATTATGGGTTGCCTGCCCCTATGACCTATACAAAATATATAAAAAGGAAATCCCAGCTATGGCCAGCTCCTCAAAGTGTCTGAGTTGGTACACAGCCCAGACAGTAGAGGGCGCTACAGAGCACTTTGAGAACTCAGGCACAGGGGAGGTTAGTCAGGGATGTGGCATTTTACGTGTCGTATTAACTTATTACATTACATATAGAATAAAACTTAGATGGTTTGGAGCAAATATCCTAAAAAGAATTATGCCTTGTTAGAATGGTAAAACATCTTGTTTGGGCCCCGACAACTCACTAGACACTGATTTTAGCAGTAGTATAAGGTTATGCTGAGAAAACAATTTTTGATTGTTCAACTGATAATCATGTATGTTAAAAGTTAGTCATTGAGTTGGCAGCCCTGAGCAATTAGTAGTGCAATAAAAGTGTTATTAGGATATACACAGATAATTCAGAAGTCTCCAAATGGCTCATTAGGCTAATAGTTTTGTACTCTTTGCAAAACTTTCTTTTGGTCTATCTAAAGGGTCTAGATATTTTGTGTAAAGGGCAGGATTATACAATCTCTGTCACAACTACACAACTCTGCCACTGTAGCAAGAAAGCAGTCATAGTAAACATGCCAGTGATTATCTGTGGCTGTGTTCAATCCAAATTTATTCATGGACAATTGATGATTTCTATAGTTTTCTCATATCATGATTGGATTTTTTTTCAACTATTTTAAAATATAAAAATAATTCTTAGTTCATGGACCATAGAAAAACTAGTGACAAGCCATACTTTTCCAAACTCTGTGATAACTGAGGGCCAGTTTTCCTGGGAAGCAATGGCTCTGTGGATCTTCATAATTTATAAGGCAGGTGATTTCATCTAATTTGAAACCCCAGACATTCTAATTTTTTAGTGTAGAAATACACTACATAAGCCACAGAAACTCTGAAGTATGTTTTCTTAGATATTTATTTTAAAAAATGGCCTGATAGCCAAGTGTCCCTTCTACACTATAGAAAAAAATACTACGATATTTATATTTATAGAATATATTCTTGTTATGGAACACAAGCATTTGACAAATGTGCTTTTATAGGTTACATATAGTGAATGTTACTTCTAGACAATGATAGTTTTCTCTCAAAAATCAGAGTTGTCTGATCTCTCTCTCTCTCTCTCTCTCTCCGTGTGTGTGTAATAAAGTTGTTTGGAACAGCTTTAGTTCCAAAAGAGACAAGATAAGCCATTAAAAGACAGTAATAGGGGGACTGAAGCAACTTTTTTACTAGAGAAATGTTAACTTGTCATACCTAGGTAGTCACTTTACAGGAGGTTCAAGAGTTAACATTTATTCAGTATATATAAGCTCTTCGGGTTATTCACAATTTTCATGTACTATAAGAATACAGTATATGTCTAATTTTTCATCTCTCCAATCAGATTATAAAGAGAAAATTAAATGGAAATAAGATATCTAAAGAAAATGGCAGTGATTAAATGGTTAAAGATCATACTAAAAATTTTAAACCTTTCTGCAAGAGACATTATTTTTTCTCTTCACCATTAATATTATGCTGGTAAAAATTTAATCTATTTCTATTTTTTGGAAAAAAACATTCTAATGCAACATTTCTGAAAGTTGTGGTTTGAGGATAAAGCCGTAATAGCTATGTCAATAATCTGATACATGCAAGCATTAAAAGGCTGCTTCTTATTTATGTCCACAGAGCACCTAAGGCAGGTTTTAACAATATGAATGAGTTAGAAAATTTTGTTTTGGGGTGTGTTTATACAGACAAATTTTGTGTGCAGAAACATAGATAAGAATTAAATATCTACTGATATTCAACCATCAGCCCATATTATAGTCAATGATAACATTCTCTTCAGAGCTTACATATTAATTTTAAGATAATTCTTTAGCATTATTTAATAAAATGTAATTGTTCCTTTTACTTTTATTTTCCCTCCAAGTCTCTGACACAACATTTAATGATTCTTAATTTAATATGAGCAATATTCAGAGTGTCATAGGTCTTAACGACACCTTGATAATTATGACACCTATTAATCTCTTTCAAATTATAAATGAGAAGCTTGTGTTTTACTCCCAAAGTTTAGTGACCAAATTGACTTTTCTTCAAGTTGTTTTTGCTTAAGCAAATGTAATGGATAAGATTGTATGAAACAGAATACCATGAGCTTTCTTTCATATTCATTCACATTAGTTCATTAGTAAAAATAAGGTATCTTATACTTGCCCAATAGTTGCCAAATATTTTACTCCTTTACTGGTTTTTGTGACAGTGAAAACTTTTTATGGGTGATATCAGTTGAGAAAGAAGTAATGCTGACTTAAATGCTCTTTTGGTAAAAGATGGTGCTTCTCCAGCACTGAAAGATGGGGCTATAACCTTAAATGATTTAGTTCTGTATTTTGGCATTAAGAAGCTCTAATTCCGTTTTCAGGTAAAATAAGTCTTCAAGTTATTATATCTAATATAAACATCCATCTGTGGTACTTTATATATAAATTATTACTCTGAAAAGAACTGGAATTAAGATTTCAACTTGCTTGAACAGAATCTCATTTCCTTGAAATACAGCAGGAGCAGTATTTCAAGGAAATGAGATTCATCTTCACACTGAGGCTGAGGACTTGAAAGCCAGAGAACTTGGCTGCCTATCGAATGGCAGAGATAGTGCAATAGGTACAACGTACTAAAGGATGACAGTCATTCTTACAGAAATAATGTTTCTTTAATACTTCCTTGCCACTCAATAAAGATAACCTCAGACTAACTCAGTGTTTTAGATTTCATCTTTCTAGCCACAAAGCAATGACAAAGGCCTTTATTAATTTTAAGCAGCACATTCTTAAAATCACATATATACAATTATACATTTGCGTAGCACTATTGACAATAAATTTTTTAAGGAGCACGTCTTGTAAGTTTATTCTAAAACCTTTTTCTATCTTGTACCCCATTGGAGTTTGTTTTCTATTCTTCCCTATTACCATTTTTTAAAGTTATGGAAATTTGCACAGGGACCATATTGGAATTTGGTGGAGTTGGAGTAAACATACTTAATTTTTGTTTGGCATTTTTCAGATATTATAAGGTACAGGGAACTACCTGTGGATCCTCTCCCCCAGGTGAAATTCTCCAAGTTGTCATGGTGACACACTTGATCTTAGTCATAAGGCCGAGAAACGGCTGTCATCATGATACATGGCTGGGATCATAAAAAGAATCAGAGTCTTGGAAGACAATAGGGCATTTCTATGATAATCTTTGAGATGATTCCTGCATTTTTCTTCATCCAGCTTGGAGACAGAATGGGGTAGGAAGAGGGCATACATTTCAGACTGCTTGGGTAGGTCTTCTCAGAAACACTCCTTTATAAAGTGATCCTCTGTTTGTCATCAATAGGAAATTTTAAGACTGCGAGTTTATTTTACATAATGCTATAGTAAACTATTTCCAGATGCTGTAAAATTATAAAAAATTATAAAAACACATTAAAGTTTATGTTTATATATGTGTATGTATGTGTGTGAAATACGGTAATATGCATATATACATACATATATAATATATAAAATAAAATATATAAAATATGTCCCCCATATTTTATTCTTTTGGAGACAGAGTCTAGCTGTGTGGCCCAGGCTAGAGTACAGTGGTGCGATCTTGGCTTACTGCAACCTCTGCCTCTTGGGATCAAGTGATTCTCCTGCCTCAGCCTCCTGAGTAGCTGGGATTACAGATGTGCACCACCACACCTGGCTAATTTTTGTATTTTTGGTAGAGACGGGTTTTGCCATGTTGGTCAGTCTGGTCTCAAACTCCTGACCTCAGGTGATCCACCTGCCTCAGCCTCCCAAAGTGCTGGGATTACAGGAGTGAGCCACTGTGCCCGGCCTACCCCATATTTGAAACTCTTTTACTATATTCCTTTGACCCCAGCCAAGAAGGATACTAGGTACCTCATGCTACCCCGGTTGCTTGACATGCCGCAGGATTCATAAGAATAACATTACCTTTAAGAAAATAGGTATCATATTTATTTTGTAAACCAGAGCTATTGTGGTTTTTCTCGATTAGATTAGATAGGTGAAATATTTGCATTTTATAAAATTTACCTAAATATGTAACATGGCTCAAATAATTTGGTTTTTATGGCAATGTGGTGGAATGGTAATTAGTAACATTTAGTTAAAATCTACATTGTTTCTCATATTTGCTTAGTGACCTTGGAAAGTTTTATCTGTAAGAGTTTTATTTTGAGTAAAATGTGAATATTAATACCTGTATTACAGGATTGCTGTAGCAAAAGTGAACTGAGTTCGACATACACACATAAACATAGCATACACATATATACCTAATAAGGGTTATTAGCACTCACTTTTTCCATATTTAAATTTACCAATGTAAATTAGCTAACCATTATTGCACTGTTACCTATAGGGCTTGGTCTTCTAGAGCATCACACAAATATTAATTCTATAAAAATCATAAAACACCTACTGTGTCCCAGCCACCATGCTAGAGTTCATAGAACTAGTCAGTAAATCACTTATAATTGTTTGAATATTTTTCTTTTCCTGTTTTCTTTTTCTCTTACATGTTCTTTTGTTTTCCTTTGGAGTCACAGCCACTAGGGATGAATGCTTGTGATAAGCATGATATTTCTATTACAGAAGTAAAAACCAAACACTTTTTGAACAGTGATGTACTATTTAGTTCCATTTAGAGAAATGAGGAAATACTTTCCAGAAACAATTGGCCTAAGACCACTTCAGGGTTACCCTAATCACACACTATCTGGAGTGATTCTACTTTTAAAGTATAGAAAATGAAATTGTGAGGGAATTTGTAGCTTGTACAAGACCATATAGATCAGTATTCGATAGTGTCAGCCACATATGTAATCAAATTTTTATGTAGCCATTTGAGGTTAAATCAATATTAATTGTATATTTCATTTAACCTAGTATATTATAAAAATTAACGTTTTAACATGTAATCACATAAAAATTATTAATGAAATATTTCACACAATATTTTCATACTAAGTCTTTGAAATTTGTAGGTATTTTACACTTAGTTTCATAAGAATTGCTTCATCTGTATTGACATTTAATGAAGTTTACAGTTCAAAAAATAGATTCCCTTATATAGATTGTTCCAAATATGGTCAAAAAGATTTTCAATAATTGAAAAAAGACCATTTCTTCCCATCTTTGCATATATATTGACAGAACAAATTCATCTTTTCTTCACTAGCCATTGTGCCAATTAATATCTAGTTTAAAATATCACTGTATAAATTAAAAAGCAACTCTAAATGTTCAAATATTAGAAAAAGACATTTCTTAGACATTTTCTTTTAGACTTTGAATCTGATTTATATAACATCAAAGAGTAGAATCTACATATTGATTCATGTTAGAAAAATGTGTAAAATTATTATTTTTATTTTGAAATGTCAGCTTTAAAATACTTTTACATTTCTAAGTACTAATGAGCTTTCTTTTTCCATAGAACTTCAGATTTTGTTCATTCATATGCAGTGTGGTATCAGTGAAAAATATAAACACACTGCATTTTTTTGTCTTTGATAATTACATGTTTGGCAAACATTCCTTTTGTTTAAAGAAAATCATGAATTGAAGTTGAGTACAGTAAAAATTTGTGAAAATCAACCAATGACCGTTAAAAAAGAACACAGATAATTAAAATCATTGTCTTTTATTTTTAGCAATTTCATAACAAAATTTCCATATCAGGAGTAATAATTTATCTTACTATCTCAATCTAAAACTAAATTTCTTTTGTGTAGGAATCCAACCTATCTTACATTTGGCCAAATTTATAAACTCAGAATTTGTATAAAATTGTTTAAATGTTTTTATTAGCATTTAATTCAGATTCCAGACAATCAATTTTATCAATTCTTTTCTCAAAGGTAACTTCTTATAAAATTCATTCCATATTTGCTGAAGATGTTTCCTAATACTGTCAACTTTATATTTTTTTGAAGTTTTTATACTTTTTTTTTCATTTCGCACTACCACAATAAATTGCAATTCATCATGAATTTTGTGATGTAACTACTCCCAATCTCTTTTCATCTTTATTATTTTGGTAGTTTCTATATCATCACTATATAATATATCAGTAGTAAATTCTTGCTAGCTATGAAATTCTCCTTGCTAGCTGTGAAAATCCTAGATGGCCACTTCTTCCAATACAATCTTGCATCTTCATTGAGAATCTGCTGTTTAGTGTGTAGCCACCTTCATCAATTATTCTAGCTAGATCTTCTGGGTAATCTGCTATAGCTTCTACATCAGCCCTTCCCGCTATACTTTGCACTTTTCTGTTAGGGAGATGGCTTATTCCTTAAATTTAATGAACCAATCTCTGCTACCTCCATACTTTTGTCCTGCAGCTTCCTCACCTGTTCTATCTTGGATCCTGGATCTTCCATCTAGACCATTAAAACTTTCTTCATATTAGCAATAAAGATTTGCTTTTCTAGTATTCATGCACTCACTGGAGTAGCACTTTTAATTTCTTTCAATAACTTTTCCTTTGCATTCACTATTTGTCGAGCTGTTTGGCACAGAAGACCTAGCTTTTGGCCCATCTTGGCTTGCAACATGCCTTCCTCAACTAAGCTTAATCATTTCTAGCTTTTGATTTAAAGTGAGAGACATGTGATTTTTCTTTTCACTACAGGCCATTAGAGGGTTCTTAGTTGGACTAATTTCAGTATCGTTGGTCTCAAGGAATAGGGAGGCCTGAAGAGAGAGAGAGAGACAGGGAATGGCCAGTGAGTGGATCAGTCAGAACACACACAGCATATATTGATTAAATCCACCATCTTACAAGGGCACAGTTTGTGGTACCCCAAAACAATTATAATAGTAATATCAAAGATCACTGATCACAGATCACCATAAGAGATATAATAATGATGACAACATTTGAAATACTGTGAGGATTATCAAAATGTGACTCAGAAACATGAAGTGGGCACATGCTGTTGGAATAATTATGCTGATAGACTTGCTCCACACAGGGTTGCAGCAAACCTTCAATTTGTAACAACCACAATATCTGTAAAGTGCAAGAAAGTAAAGCGCAGGCCAGGCTTAGTGGCTTTGCACTATAATCACAGAAATAATTTGGGAGGTTGAAGTGGGAGGATTGCTTGAAGCTCAGAGTTTGAGACCAGCCTGGGCAACATGGTGAAACTCTGTTTCTACAAAAATAAAACAATTGGCTGGCTGGGCATGGTGGCATGCACCTGTAGTCCCACATACTCGAGAGTCTGAGGTGGAAAGATCACTTGAGCCCCAGGAGGTGGAGGCTGCAGTGAGCTGTGATCATGCCACTGCACTCCAGCCTGGGTGAAAGGTGACAGAGTGAGACCCTTTCTCAAAAAATAAATAAATAAAATAAGATAAAATAATAAAGTGAAGCACAATAAAACAAAGAATGCCTGTATTTACCAATTATGTTTTATATAGGTAACAGTAACTGTGCCTTCTGCATAAAATGTTCAAATCAACACATTGCAGTGTTACATAGTACATGTAAAAGTCATTCAAACTGAGTCAATCCACTCGCCCCAATAGATCAGTTATGTGTATATATACAAAACCATAGAAATGAAACATGAGCCTAATGTGTATTACAATGCAGCATGAATACTTATGTAATGTAAATAGTTAAAATGAAACTTAGTCCTTTCAAAATAATGAAATACTATATATGTTTTGAATTTTAAAATTTAAATTTACTTAATTAAAAATTCAATCCCTCAGTTGAACTAAATACATTTCAACTGTTCAAGGAGCGCATGTGGCTACTGGCTATGTATTGTATAGTGCAGATACAGATAATTTGAACCTACATCTTTCTGATTACAAAATTTGTTATCTTTCCACTGTGCTGTGCTTAATATCTGTCAATAGATGATCTAGACATTATTGATGACATCAAAGTAAGAGGCTGGGGAAAAAAGAGTTAACATTTTCCATGGAAATTTTATTGGCTATTTGTTATTTTGAAGATATAAAACTAGAATAGCATAAAAATATGAAATACCTACATTTATAATCCTGAGGGTTTAATTGAAACAAATGCAATATTGTTCATAGGAGGTAATTTTGGTATAATATTATATGAGTGAGCAAATTACATGATTCGTGTATACTTTATTTTTTAAAAATCTAGAAAAAGCATTATAATTTTGAATATTGCTTTTACTAAAGACCAAGGGATCAAATTGTCTGTTTTCCTTTTTAATATTATTTAAATTTAAATATAATGATGTTCTCACTCATTCTGTTTGACTCTGAAAATTTTTATCTTGGCTTAGATGATAGCTCCAAGTCAATATTCTGTTCTAGAAATAAGACTTGAATTAACATGTGGATAAATATTTGTTTATTTTACTGGTTTTCTCCTGAGAATTTTGAATGCCTTTCTGAAACCTTCATAAACAGTTAAACACACACACACACAAACATACACACACACACACACCAAAGGCCTGCTTATTTAGGGTTAGTACTGTCGTGATTCTGCATAAATCAAAGTTCCAAAGCCCAATAAAAAGGTAATATACTGAACCAATATTTAGCAGTTATTAAATTCTTATTGCTTGACTAGTATATTGATTTCAAGCTGACAGTAACTGAAAACCAAAAATTTCAAACTCCATGTTAAAAATAAGTTTCAAAAAAACCTTCATGTGCTAGTTGGGTCTCAACTATTCCCTTTTTTTTAAATGATAAAATAGTGTATAATAAATATTTTCACATTTTTCTATCTTTTATTATTTCTCTTTGAAAAGCCAACACCAGCTCTAGGCAGTCATCTACCATGATTAATGACAGAGGCAGTGGCCTTTGTGTTACAATGTTGTACTGCTACTAGAAGTTTTCAAGGTCACTGTTTCCTTCTGAAAAGTTCAAAGGAAGTTAAATATTCATAAAACATGACCTGATTTTATGCGAGGTGCCGTACTTGTTGTTTTATGACAGTCCATTTTAATGAAAAGAAATGCAAAGAAATTTTCACTCTAAATACTTGACATCCAATTCAACTGGGAATGTTACTGGAAAGCATTTTATGATTGAGGAAAATAAGATATTCTTTAGGAGCCCCTTATTTGGAAACATTATTTCCTTTACAGACATTATCTGTAAAAACCCCTTGACCTACCTAAATGAGAGTCTATTAGTGTCTGATGTGCTAATAAAAATTAAGCTGTGAAGCATTGAGGGTCACCTTATTAAATGCCTTTGTTCCCATCCCAGGTTTATGAATCACATTTATTGGAAAGATTTATCTTGGATGGGTAATATTTTGTTCTTAGACTTTTCTTATTAGCAATCTAAAGGGTACTAAGAGGAAGGGAAGAAACTCCAACAACGCTAAAAATCTCTTAATTTAGACAGGGAGGAAGGAAGAAAGCAGGGAATAAGCGAAAGAAGGGAGGGTGGGAGGGAAGAAAGGAAGAAAATGAAGTAAGGAAGACAATAGCACTTCTGTGTTTTTCATCACAAAAATCTATACTGGTTGTTCCACTCTATTTATTTTGTACTACAGCCTACTTCTGGATACTCTCAAATAATAATCATAGTTCACTATACAGTTCTATGGCAAAAATGTATCCTAAATGATATGATACAAAATTAATGGGTACTAATTACTCCAAATTTGATTAAAATCTACATAAACCAAGAAGTTTCCTTTTGTCATATATTGGGAATTGAGAGAAGGTTTACATAACTAATTCCTCTTTAATTGACAATATCTCCTTAAATAGGCAAAATGTATCAGATCTTCCATCATATAGTCTTCCTTCTAGTTCTGTCAACTATTAGTATTATATAGAGAATCACTTAAATATAATAGAAAAAATGCTAATTAAATTAAGCCTAGAGGCAAGCCTTTTAAACAGTAATAATATTTTCATCCAATGGGAATATATTATGTATATATATATTAAACAAAGCATAAGAAAGATGAATGAAGCATGACTCTTGCCTTCAAGGAAAATGTACATTTGATATGTATATATGTAAATAATTATAGTAGAAACAAAAGGATATTCTCAGTGCTGTAATAAACTACAACAAAGTTCAATGGAAGCATAGAGGAAGAAGAGAACAAAATTAAATATCTAATGGAATAAAGAAGAATTCATGCATACATTGGCATTTACTCTACACCCTAAAACCTAAGCAGAATGAGAATGGGTGTTTAGAATAGTGGAAATATGATAGGCATTTTCAGGGCCAAATTTAGACCAGTAGATTAATTATATATTTTTTAAATGAATGAATAGACCAGTAAAAGTCTAAAATAGTGTCTTAGAACAAAAAATGCTTTGGAATTATAACCATCATTATAGGGGATTTGATTATTATACTTTTAAGTAATTACAAGGCACTGAGAGTTTTGAGCAAACACTGCCATAAATGTATTTGTATTATAATATTAACAACTCCATGTATTTACATGTTTCTCCAAAGGAGATAGGGTAGGACTATACAACTTACTCGAATATAAAGAATGACCAAAGCTATATTTAAAAATATATTTTTGTTGCATGTGAGACTCAGCATCATTTATATCAAGCACATGTATTAGTATGGTTCTACCTGCCAAAAATACATTGATTTCTAGAGATGAATTTAAAAATCTATAGCTAAGTTGTAGTTAAAGAAAAGAAATGTATTGAATAAGTCACCTGAAGAGTAAAGCATGAAAGAGTTGAAATAAGAAAAGTAATTAATCAATCATTTTACTCTTATAAGAAGTTTAAACATCATTCAAAGTTAGGGAAACTCAGTTTGATATTTTAGTTCTTTTTGTTTGACTTACGAAAAGATACCCAACATGTGAAAGGTTTTTACTTTTTTATACTTGATAATTGCATAGCAGTTATGGAGAAAACAATTGTGATTATAGGTAAAAAAAAAAGTTATGTATTTTGGAAGCATTATTTTATATTTGCCAATAACAACAGTCAACAATTATTTGACAAATATATATATATATATTTTCAATACACTAAACACACTATATCAGAAGGCATGGTTATTTGGTCAGGAAGGAGGACAGTTGACCAAATTTAACTGCTCTTTTCATTTCTGGATATATATTGGTGCAAGCCACTCAGAGCTAAGCAAGATAAATTATCATTACATAAGATAAGAGACACCTCTTCAATGGTACTGGAAAAGAAGGATGTTGGGAGGAAAGGAGTATTGAAAAGAAGATGGATTCTTGCATTTGGTAGAAGAAATTTAAATGACTTTATATGTAAACGTTTATTTATTCTCTGTACAGTAAAGCTAGCTAAAGTCAGTGAAAGAAAAATAGAGTCAATAGTTTGAAGTGTTCAGAGAAGATTTAGAATGGAATTGTGAAAAACAGGGAAATGGGGTGGCTCAGAGAATTGTTAGACATTGCTAATAAATCTAATTGAGATTTCAGGTTATGAATTTATAATAATGTCAGGTTGTCTGAATTTTGCAGGAGTGCTTAGCAGCCTGTGACTAGACATGAGAGGAGTCAGACCTATGACTTACATTCACCAAGGAATGGAGGGTTTTTTTTTTCCCCAAACAGGGACACAGAAAGTAATCAGACAAGACATTGCAGGACAGAATCATGAGATCTAAGGGTGAATAGTGATGAAAGGTATGACAGCAGAGATGAATGCTAGGAAAATGCAGAGGCATACCAGGCACCAGAGATTAAAGAAGACAAAGAACTGGTGGAATGATGATACTGAAGCAGTTGCATGGATATGTGGAGTCAGAAAGTGAACTGGCCACATTTGTCATTGCCACTGGTATAGTTTTTGGAAAAGACAGGATGTGGTCATGCAAGAACTTAACTGATGTATTAGTATTATTTACTGAAAATGAGAAGATCAAGAATATTGATGAAATGCAAGATGTTGAAAAAGTCAGTGTGGAGGAAGGCTCTAGTTCATAAACTAAGATTGTCAATTACTATGAGGATGTGACTTGAAATGCTATCAGAAATGGCAGCGGAGAAATGGGATAAATAGTACTATATTTGCATGGCAACAATTGTCTGAGCAAATAATAAAAATCTCTTGTCAGATAGGTACCTTGCAAATATTTTCTCCCAGTCTGTAGGTTGTCTCTTCACCTTATTGATTGTTTCCTTGCTTGTTCAGAAGCTTTTTAACTTGATGTGATCCCATTCATCCATTTTTGCTTTGGTTGCCTGTGCTTGTGGGGTATTACTCAAGAAAGCCTTGCCCACTCCAATGTCCTGGGAGTTTCTTCAGTATTTTCTTTTAGTAGTTTCATACTTTGAGGTCTTAGATTTAAATATTTAATTCATTTGGATTTGAGTTTTGCCTATGGAAAGCATAGGAATCTAGTTTCATTCTTTGGCATATTGATACCCAGTTTTTCTAGGACCATTTATTGAACAGATTATCTTTTCCTCAAAGTTTTTGGCCCCTTTGTTGAAAACGAGTTTACTGTAGATATATGGATTTGTTTCTGTGTTCTCTATTATGTTTCATTGGAACATAATATGTTTTTATGCTAGAAACAAACTCTTTTGGTTGCTATAGCTCTGTAGTAGAATTTGAAGTCAGGTAATGTTATTCCTCCAGGTTTGTACATTTTGCTTAGGATAGCTTTGGCTATTCTGAGTCTTTATGGTTCCATATAAAATTTAGGATTGTGTTTTCTATTTCCATGAAGAATGACCTTGGTATTTTGATATGGTTTGCTTTGAATCTGTAGATTGCTTTGGATAATATGGACATTTTAATAATATTGATTCTTCCAAACAATGGACATGGAATATCTTTCCATTTTTTGTGTCCTCTTCAATTTCTTTCGTCAATGTCTTATAGTTTTCATTGTAGATATCTTTCACTTCTTTAGACTTTTCCAAATATAAGATTGTATCATGTGCAAACAAGGATAATTTCATTTCTTTCTTTCAAATTCGGATGTCCTTTATTATTCCTCTTTTCTGATTGCTCTAGCTAGGACTTCCAATAACATGTTAAGTAACAGTGGTGAAAGAGGGCAGCCTTGTCATGTTCCAGATCTTAGATAAAAGGCTTTCAGTTTTTCTCCATTCGATATGACACTAGCTGCAGTTCTGTCATATATGGCTTATGTTCCTTCTACACCCAGCTGTTTGAGAGTTTTTATCATGAAGGGATGCCGAATTTTATCAATTTTTTTAGCATCAATTGAAATTATTATATGGTTTTTGTCCTTCATTCTGTTGATATGTATCACATTGATTGATTTGTGTATGTTGAACCATCCTTGCATCCCCGGGATAAATTCCACATGGTCATGATGAATGATCTTTTTCAATGTGTTGTTGAATTCAGGTTGCTAGTATTTTGTTGAGGACTTTTGCATCAATATTTATCAGGGTGTTGGCCTATAGTTTTCTTTTTTTGATGTGTCTTTGGTGTAAGTATCAGGGTAATACAGGCCTTGTGGAATGAGTTTGGAAGTATTTCCTCCACCCTTATTTTTCAGAATAGTTTCAGTAGGATTGGTATTAGTTCTGTAAATGTTTGATAGAATGCTGCAGTGAAGCTATTGTGTCCTGGGCTTTTCTTTGCTGTGAGGCTTCTTATTATGGCTTTGATCTTGTCACTTGTTATTGATCTGTTCAGGTTTTGTATTTCTTCATGGTCTAATCTCGGTAGGTGTATGTATTTGGGAATTTTTCAATTTCTACTAGATTCTCCAGTTGATTAGCATATAGTTGTTCATAGTAGCCACTAATGATCCTTTGAATTTCTACAGTATCAATTGTCATGTCTCCTTTATCACCTCTGATTTTATGTATTTGGATTTTCTCTCTTTTTTTCTTAGTCTTGCTAAAGCTTTTTCAATTTTGTTTAACTTTTCAAAAAAAAAAAGCAACCTTTTGTTTCTTTGATCTTTTGTATTATTTTCTTCATTTCAATTTTATTTATTTCTGCTGTAATCTTTATTATTTCTTCTACTAATTTTGGGTTTGGTTTGCTTTTGCCTTTCTAGTTCTTTAAGATGCATTGTTAGGTTGCTTATTTGGTCTTTCTTCTTTTCTGATTTAGGCACTTAGAGCTATAAACTTCCATCTTAGTACTGCTTTTATTGTATCCCATAAGTTTTGGTATGTTGTATTTCCATTTTCATTGGTTTCAAGAAACTTTTCAATTTTATTCTTAATTTATTCATTGATTCACTGGTTGTTCAAGAGCATATTATTTAATTTCTATGTGTTTGCATAGTTTCCAAAATTCCTATTATTGATTTCTAGTTTTATTACATTATGATCAGAAAAGATGCTTAATATTATTTCAATGTTTGAATGTTGAAGACTTGTTTTGTGACCTCACATATGATTTATCACTGAGAATGATCCATGTGCTGAGGAAAAGAATGTGTATTCTGCAGTTGTTGGATGAAATGTTCTGTAAATATCTATTAGGTCCACTTGGCCTATAATGAAGGTGAAGTCCGATTTTTGTTGTTGTTGATTTTCTTCCTGGAAGATCTGTCCAATGCTGAAAGTGGGGTGTTGAAGTCTCTATTATTTTTGTATCAGAGTCTATCTCTCTCCTTAGCACTAGTAATATTTGCTTCATATATCTGGGTGCTCCAGTGTTGGGTGGATAAGTATTTAAAATTGTTATATCCTCTTGCTGAGTTGACCACTTTTTCATTATATAATGCACTTCTTTGTCTTTTCTGATAGTTTTTGTCCTGAAATATATTTTGTCTCATATAAGTATTGTTATTCTTGCTCTTTTTTGGTTTCTTTTAGCATGAAATATCTTTTTCCATTCCTTTATTGTCAGTCTGTTTGTAACTTTATAGGTGAAGTGTGTTTCTCATAGGCAACAGATTATTGGGTCTTTTTTTTAATCCATTCATCTATAAGGAGATCAAATCACTCTATGGAAAAAAATCTAACATGATTCTTTAAAATGGACAAAAGCTCCAAACAGACATTTTTCAAAAGAGGACATACAGGAGACAGGAGGAAGATGTTGGATAGGAGGCAGGACTAATGTGCATTTCCCACCTGGAATGAAAGAAGATTGTGTGGAGACTCAGACCATGAACTTTTGTTCCAAAAACCATTGCAGGAGTGTACCGGGAAAACAGAGAATTCACAGATATTCTGAAAGAAGCGGCATGCTGCTACAAATTCTATGAGACAGGCGAAAAACTGTGAGTTCCCAAAGTGTGAGAGGGGAAAAATCTGCCTCCTAACATATCCCACTGGGGAATCTGAAAATCCAGATCACTGGAGAAGGATTTAAACTTACCTAGAGCTGGAAAGGATTTAGGGAGTCACACAAAACATAAATGTAGAAGTAGCAGCAGGAAGAGCCTTATAGGCACTCCCATTCTCCAGCTTGCACCCAGGGAAGCCATCCCTGACTATATCTCACAGGGGCCCTCAGGAAAGGCAGCCAGCACAATTAAGTAGGGGTCACAGGGTGAAAGCAGCTTCAAACTAAATTTTGTAGTAATATTGATTGGGCATGAACCTGCCTGAGCAGAATCCAGGGGTAAAAGGGAACTGTTGCAGATTTGAGTGCAGAAGTTGGTATTGTGGACAAATTGGGAGAGATGTGGCCTAAAAGCCCCACTTGCTTTCTCAGCATTGAAGCTTATGGCCTGGGGCTGTTCTGAGTTTTATGTGCAGGCTGCCCAGATCTAAACTCGGAGCTGTTAATAGGATACTGAGGGAGCAAGACCAGGCTTGCCAACTGTGTGGGAGCTGGGTGAGGCCTTTCACTACCTGCTACCCCCAACTTCCCTGGCAAACTATACTGCACAGCAGAGGCAGCCATACTCCCCTCTGGAACATTACCCCAGAAAACTGAGAACCACTCCCTAAACCCCTACAGTGGCCTCAGCAAGCCCTGCCCAAGGACAGTCTGAGCTCAGACCCACATAATCCTGCCCCTACCTGATATTTCTCTATCCACTCTGGTTGCCAAACACAAAAGACTTAAACTCTTGGGAGCTTTCTGGCCTCACCCATTACCTGAGAAACCAGAATACCTCCCCCTGGCCAATGTAAGGCAAGCTTGTATCCCATTACTACTACCACAGCTGGTGCTCTGTTGAAAGGACCACCTCCTTTATGGAGGCCTACCAATTCAGGCCATTACAGCAATTCATGACAGAATAACTCTGCTCCCAGGAAGGTGAAAACAACAGCTAATCCCACTGCCTGCAACATCCTGGCTAATCAGAGGTCCCAAATCTGTTCACATGACAACTTCACTGCTAGTATAAACAGGATTTGAGAAAGTCAGCACAGTGAACATATCTACAACCAAGGATTCTCACTGATGATTTTCAGAGTCTACATCACTCCCCTGCAACCTCTAGCAGAGCAGGTGCCTGTATCCATGGCTTGGAGACTTGAAATGGGTCCCATCACAGGACTCTTTGCAGGCATTCCCCAGCACCAGCCCAGAGCCTAGTAGCCCCAATGCGTGGCTAGATCCAGAAGAGCAATAATCCTGCAGTCTGGCTCTTAGGAAATGCCAACTCTATGGGAAGAGGGAGGGAACCATATGAAGGGATCACCCCGTGGGACAAAAGAATCTGGACAACAGCCCTTGGGTTCCAGACCTTTCTGCTGGTGGGTCGTTTCTCACAGCAGAAACACAATCACAGTGCTGGGTATAGTAGGGAACGTCTGCACCGGTACCCCAACAGGCAGGCAGCCTCTGTGATTGTGAGGGGTCTTGGAGAAGGGGACCTTGTTCTCCCCTGGCACTGTACTGCAGACACAATTGGGGCTTCTCCCAGAAGAACGCAGCATGGAGGCCTCTATAGACAGCCTTTCTGGAAAAATCCAGGGTGAGTATAGCCCCACAGGAGGAGCACACTCCAGATCCATGCCTGGAAAAACAGCAGAGTCACAATCCCTCCCCACTCAAAACATCAACATTTCTGTCCATGAAAAGAAGTGCCTGTCTGATCTGAATGGCTGAAACACTAGGACAAGAGTGAGGCTGTAAGGTGAATAGCTTTCTTGCTGACATGGCAGGGGAGCTGAAGTAGCTCCCACTCTTCTCCCTGATAAAACCTCAGCACATCTAAATGAGAGCTCCACTAGCCTCCTTCATCAAGGAGGCTACCTTAGCCCACCATTGGGTATTACATCTACCCACCTGCCTTAGCCACAACCAGTGCCTACTCAGGAATAACTCCCCTATTAGCCTGAAGCCTAAATCATTAACTCAGTAAATAAAACATCAGGAAAAAATTAAGTAAATAAATAAAGTGTACACTCTGAGAGAACGAGATAAACTTCAAGAGATTACTGTCATTCCAATTCCACAGGAGACAGTGACCACACATCAAGAATATAACCACTAAACCAAGCATGAGGGAAAGCCAGCACATAAAGACTCTCTATAACTAAGGATCTCATACAGAGTGTTCACCCCTAGAAGCCCCAAGAATCAAATTAGGCTAAAATAAACATCAAAGTCTGATCCTTAAGAGGGATAAAAAAATTAAATTAAAAGAAAAATCAATCCAATAAAAAATAAATTAAAAAATAATTTTAAGAAATAGTCTACCCAAATGAGAAGGAGCCAGAAAAGTAATTCTGGTAATATGACAAAATGGGGTTCTATAACAACCCCCAAAATATCACACTAGCTTCCTAGCAATGGATCCAAATGAAGAATAAATCTCTGAATTGCCAGATAAATAATTCAGAAGGTTATTGATTAGTAAGCAATTCAAGGAGATACCAGAGAAAGGTGAAAACCAACTTAAAGAAATTAAAACAACAATACACAATATGGATGAAAAATTTTTCAGATAAATAGATAGTATAAAGAAAAAGACAACCACAACTTCTGTAAATGAACAACACAGTTAGGGAAATACAAAATGCAGTGGAAAATTTCAACAATAGACTAGAACAAGTAGAAGAAAGAATTTCAGAGCGTGAAGACAAGGCTTTCAAATTAACCCAATCAAACAAAGATAAAGAGAAAAGAATTTTAAAAAATGAACAACACCTCCAAGAAACTTGAGATTATGTTAAGTGGCCAAACCTAAGAATAATTGGTGTCCCTGAGGAAGAAGAGAAAGCTAAATGTTTGGAAAACATATTTGAGGGAATAATTGAGGAAAACTTCCCTGGCCTTCCTAGAGATCTAGACATGCAAATACAAGAAGCTCAAAGAACTCCTGGGAAAGTCATGGCAAAAAGATTATCACCTAGGCACTTAGAAATCAGGTTATCAAAAGTCCAGACAAAGGAAAGAATCTTAAGAGCTGTGAGACAAAAGCATCAGGTAACCTACAAAAAAAAAAAAAAAAAAAAAAAAAAAAAAAAATCCTATTAGATTATCAGCTGATTTCTCAGCAGGTAGCTTATAAGCCAGAAGGGATTGGGGTCCTATCTTTAGCCTCCTGAAAGAAAATAATTGTCAGCCAAGAATTATATTCAGCAAAACTGAACTTCATAAATGAAGATGAGATAAAGTCTTTTTCAGACAAACAAATGCTGAGGGAATTCATCACTACCAAGCCAAAACTAAAAAAATGCTAAAATGAGTTCTAAATCTTGAAACAAAACCTTGAAATATACCAAAATAGGATCTCCTTAAAGAATAAATCTCACATGGCTTGTAAAACAATAACAAAATATAAGGTATTTAGGCAACAAGTAACATGATTAACAGAACAATAACCGACATCTCAAAACAAACATTAAATGTAAGTGGTCCAAATGCTTCACTTAAAATATACAGAATGGCAGAATGGATAAAAATCCATCAACCAAGTATCTGCTGTCTTCAAGAGACTCACTTAACACACAAGAACTCATACAAACTTAAGGTAAAGGGTTGGAATAAGATATTACACATAAATGGAAACCAAAAGCAAGCACGAGTAGCTATTTTTATATCACATGAAAGATACCTTAAAGCAACAAAGAGAAAGAAGGACATTATATAATGATAAAGGGAGTAGTCCAACAGAAAAATGGCACAATCCTAAATACATATATACATCTAACACCACAGCTTCCAAATTTACAAAGCAATTGCTACTAGACCTAAGAAATGAGATAGAGGGCACCACAATAATAGTGGAGGACTTCAATACTCCACTGACAGCATTAGATAGGTCATGAAAACAGAAAGTCAACAAAAAAACAATGAACTTAAGCTATATCTTAAAACAAATGGACTTAACAAATATTTACAGAACATTCTACCCAACAATTGCAGATTATACATTCCTTTCATCAGCACATAGAATATTTTCCAACATAGATAATATGATAGGTCACAGTATGAGTCTCAATAAATTTCTGCAAAAGTCAAAATTATATCAAGTACCCTCTCAGACCACTGTGGAATAAAACTGGAAATTCACTCCGAATGGAACCTTCGAAACTATACAAATACATGCAAATTAAATAATCTGCTCTTGAATGATCTTTGGGTCAACAATGAAATCAAAATGAAAATTTAAAAAGTTATTGGAATTGAATGATAACAGCAACACAACCTATTAAACCTCCAGGACACAACAAAAGCAGTGCTAAGAGGAAAGTTCATAGCATTACATGCCTACATTGAAAAGTCTGAGAGAGCACAAATAGACAATCTGACGCCACACCTCAAGTAACTAGAGAAACAAGAACAAATCAAACCCAAACCCAGCAGAAGAAAAGAAATAACAAAGATCAGAGCAGAGCTAAATTAAATTGGAACAACAACAACAAAAAAGAGAAACACAAATGGCAAACAGGTATATGAAAACATGCTCGACATCATTGATAATCAAAGAAATGCAAATCAAAACTTAAGTGACATGTCATCTCACCCCAGTTAAAATGTCCTTTATCGAAAAGACAGGTACTAATAAATGCTGGTGAGAATGTAGAGAAAAGGGAACTCTTGTACACTGTTGGTGGGAATGAAAATTAGTACAACCACCACAGAGAACAGAATGGAGGTTCCTCAAAAAACTAAAAATTGAGCTACCAGACAATCCAGCAATCTCACTGCTCACCATATACCCAAAAGAAAGGAAATCAGTATATTGAAGAGATATCTGCACTCCCATGTTTATTCCAGCACTGTTCATGATAGCAAAGGTTTGGAAGCAATCTGAGTATCCATCAGCAGATAAATGAGTGAAGAAAATGTGGCATATATGCACAATGGAGTGCTACTGAGCCATAAAAAAGAATGAAATCCTGTCATTTGCAAAAACATGAATGTAATTGGAGATCATTATGTTAAGTGAAATAAGCTAGGCACAGAAAGACAAACTTTACATGTTCTCACTTATTTGTGGAAGCTAAAAATTAAAACAACTGAACTCATGGAGGTATAGAGTAGAAGGATGGTATCAGAGTCTGGGAAGGGTAGTGGGGGGCTCAGGAGCTGGGGGGTGGGGATTAGGGATGGTTGATAGATCCAAAAAATAGTTAGAAGAATGAATAAGACCTAGTATTTCATGTCACAACAAGGTGACTATAGTCAATAATAATTTAGTTTTACATTTATAAATAACTAAAACAGTATAATTGGATTGTTTGTGACATGAAGGATAAATGTTTAAGGTGATGGATGGCCTTTTTACCCTGATGTGATCATTACACATTACAGGCCTGTGTCAAAATGTTTCATGTGCCCCACAAATGTACACACCTACTATGTACCCACAAAAAATTAAAAAGAAAAGATTTTAAAAAGAGAAATGTGAAATATATAAACATTTATATACTAGTTAATCTTAAAAAAAGAATAAAATCCTATTATTTGAGCTGATATGGATGACACTCGAGGACATAGTGTTAAGTAAAATAAGCCAGGCACAGAAAGACAAATACTGTATATTTTTACCCATATGTGGGAGCTAAAAAAGTTGATCTCATAAAAGTAGAGTGAAATAGTGATTACTCAAGGTGAGGAAAGAGATGGGTAGTTGCCCAAAAGCTGTTTAATAAGTACATAGATAGGAGGAGTAAGTACCAGTGTTTCATAGCACTAGGATGACTATAATTAACAACAATTTATTGTATATATTTAAAAAGCTGGAAAAGAGGACTTTGAACGTTTCCAACAAAAAGAAATGATAAATGTTTGAGGTGATGGGTTTGCTAATTACCCTGATGTAATCATTAAACATTGTACATGTGTATCAAAATATCACTCAGCATCCCATAAATATATACAATTATTATGTCAATTAAAAATGAAAGCAATTTTAAAATACCATATGCAAAGCTATAATAATGGAAGCCAATCAGTAATTGCTAGGAGTGAGGGACTGGAGTGAGGAGAGTGACAACACAGGGTTGTACCAGAGAACTTTTGGGGGTGAGGGAGATGTCCTTTGTAATGATTGTGGCAGTGGCTACAAAAATGAATGCAACTGTCAAAACTATCGCATTGTACACTTAAAATTTGTGGATTTTATTTATGTAAATTATACTTTACCAAAGCTGAGTCCTCAAAAAATAAATTTAAAAAGAAACAAACAAAAAACAATAATAATGATGTGAGGAGATTATAGGGGAGTAGAAGAGAAATGACCTGAGTAAAGTCATGGGAAGTTAAAAGGACAAAGGCCTGTACCAGCCTATGCCAGAAGAGCAGCATCAGAGGGTAGGCAGCTTCCACATGAGCTGTGAAAACCTCAGGAGAGGGTTTACAGTTCATTCCCAAATGTACTGGCAAATTTCACTGATGATATTGAGAGTTTAAAAGTATTTATTTACTATAGAATAGGGCTTCTGATAGTAGAAGTCAATGGCATTAAGAGAGAAAAAAACATCACAGAAAATTAGGAGTGTGATATTACAAAGGAATATGGTAGAACATGTGGGAAGGGGGTTTCACCCTAGGAAAACACTACTTTGAGACACAGTGGCCTAGAGAGTAGACCCTGGAAGAAGGGTTGTACTTGGGCTGCTCAGAATTCGGCCCTGGTGAAAAGGGAGCTCTCAGGATGTGATGGGTCATGAGATGCTATTTTTCTCTTATGGTGACACTGTTTAGGTGGAAGTCAATGTGTTTTCATCATATCTTGTGCCTGCAGGAGAAGACAAAGGAGCAAGTCCCTACGGTGGGCTTTGGGGGATGTCAGAGAGCAGTAGCCTTTATGGCCCTAAATGCGTGGCAGTTTTACAGCTTAGGAATTTGGAAATTACAGAGTTCGTTTAACTTGATGAAAGTAACATAGCTACCCATCATACTCTTTTAATCTTTATTGCCCACCTGAAATGACAAATCAATAAGCAGGCTTGCACTTTTTAAAAAATTCTCCATTACTTAGCAAGGTCTTAGTTCACCATTAAATGAGCATATGTCACCTTTCTCACCCTATTGCACTATGAAAAATTCATTTATTCTTTAAAGTGCAAATTTATCTCTATTCTTGATACTTTCTCTGTTCCCTAAGGTTTAGTTTTTTATTTTTCTTATATTTTAGAATGATTTTCTTACATTTCTATTCAAGGTTGTATTTTATTTCATATTATATTTTATTCTTCAAATGACCTTTTTCCTAAATTCTAACAAAGGTACCATGGGTTATAAGATACAATATGTTATAAGATTCTGTAACTAGAGGTTTAAGGGAAAAATAATATAGGAAAGTGATTTTATCACATATAACATGTTCCAGATTTCAGGAATGATATGAGTTGAAAAATAAAAGTGCCCTAAAAAAATCTCTGTCCATCTCAAGAGTTTATGCTAATTTACTCTGTTTCCAGTATAATGCCTATTCTTAAGGATTACTGAAATAAGAAGCAAGGCATTCTTTCTAAAGGTTCTTGCATTTGAAAGAAATAGAACACATTTCAATAAAAAAAGTCACAGACTTTTAGGACACACCCACACTCTCTTACAAACCCACTTCCTTCCTGTTTTCTATTACTAAGCCTTAATCCTTTCAAGCTAACATTAAAGACCTTCAAAACCTGATCCCAAACAACTTTCTTCCTCCGCAAATTTCAGTCTCCAGACCAATTCTTGTTCCAAGTTTCACTTAAGCTCACACATAATTCTGTATGATAATTTGGATCAGAATGTTGTGCTTCAGAATCTGACTACTCAGTTCCTCTATGACGGAATTTGTCAATGTCAAGGATACTCTCTAAGCCTTATATTTCTTATCTGTAGGTTGCAAATAGTAATAGTACAGTTCTCATATATTTGTTGTGCAAATTAAAATTTCTTATAGTAGTATACATTTGACAAATATTGGAATTCTTACTAAATGGCAGGCTCTGGGTTGCAATTTCTCTATTAATCAAATTTTTCATAATTTTGTTTACAATATGGGAATATATAGCATCCATCTTACAAGAACCATCTCAAATCTTATTTTCTTTCTGAAAAATTACTCTTACAACCCTTGCCAAATTACCACTGAACTCTTCGGATGGCGTTGTGTCAACAGTTTTCACAAGCACTTGTTTGACTTTACTAAGTATCATTTCACATACTTAAATTTCATCTCTTTGATTATAATATTGACTGGTAGAAGACACTGATAGTGTTTTCCTTTCCTTGTATGCCATGCTCTTAGCTACTGACTTGTGGAAAGTAGTTGCTAGTAAGTGTTAATAACTAGAGCAGTTAATTGATTTGGGAGATTTACTTGAAAGACACAGCAGCTTTAAAAAAAATTCCAAATTTTAATAATAGCAAATGCATTCTACCAGGCCATTTTTCTCCTTTTATATATCAGTTGGAAATATAACAACATTTGGACAAGTGAAAAAAATGTATGCACTTTTGAGGGAAATAAATGTACTGCCCCAATTCATTTTGGCTGTAACTTTATTTTCTCCTATTCTATGCATTAATAGTTGAGGTATTCAAAGGTATTACCTAACATGGTTTTTCTCTAACCAGTTTAAGGTAGCTTGTCTATAACTATTTATAGTCCAGTAGTGTTTGGGGTTAGGGAAAAACTTACATTTTAATGAACACTTTTCTTAGAAAATATTACTAATGTTGTACTCATAGTACTCATCGCATAGCTTTAGCTGTCTCAAATGGCAGCTGGTGCTTTTATTACTGTATAAAATATCTGACTGCTTTTGTAATAAAGAAGCTAAAGATCCCACTGCTCTCTTCCTAGGCAAAGGGAGCAATAAAATTGCCATTTAGTAAACTCTATCCTTTCTAGTTAATAAAATACACTATGTAGGAAGTTAGAGAATCAGAATTGATTTGGTCCTCGGAGTCTCCTAAAATACAAGAAAAACTGTATTGTCTCCCTAATTGTGTTGATTGTTCTATATGGCTTTCAGAATAGAAAATAATTCACACAGAGTTCTAGTCTTTAACACCAGAAGGTTCACACAGTCCTTTTGCCTTGTGCTGCAGTAATATCTACATTGGTTTGTGAAGTTGCCCAGGCTGCAAGGAGGTCCCTAATAGTGAAACACCTGAGTCAATGGTAGTCTTATGTAACCCTCTATTTGAACTCTGGATAACTGTACCAAAAACTCACAGAGACTGGGAAAATAAGCCACATACGTGCCTGCCCAGGACTTAAAAAAATCATGGTAAAGCAAAAGAAACCAATAGTGATTTTAACAGAAGCAGGAATGTAAAACAATGCAATATACCACAAAACCACATTTGTTCAGTCACCATTGATTCGGAATTCAAGATGATTTATGTGGGGCTTGGAATGAAGTTTCTTTGTACTCCCTTTGAGAAAAGGTCTTGTTAAGTAAATGAGAAGCATCATCAAGGATTCAGATTTGTTTACAGATACAGTAAGCAGTCATATATGTCAAAGTGTCCATATTCATAAAACAAATGTTAAATGCCAGGGACAGGCACAGGGGGTAGACCATTTGAAAATCTTCATTACCTAAATTGTATTCCAGGACTTGAAAATATTTGTCCAGCACCATGCCAGGCTAGGAGCAACAACCCACACGCTGTTTAAACTATGGCAAAGTAGTCATAGGAGCATAATCTCTAGAGTCAGACCTCCCGGATGCTAATCACAATTCTACCCTCACCAGCGAGGCAAAGTTGGACAATTTCCTTAATTACCTCATCTGTAAAATGGGCATAATAATATAAACTAGCTCAAATGTTTTTATGAAAATTAAAGAGAAATAGGTATTTAGGAAATATATAGGTCCTATATCTCCTAATAGGACCTTTAAATAAATGGCTTAAATGTAGTAACAATGCAACATAATATAATTTAGTATTTCTAGTGAAGATGGAAATACCAGAAATATGCCCAATTTTCTCTCTTTCTCCATCTTTCTCACTTTCTTTCCTTCCTTTTTCAGCAAATAGTTAAAGCATATTATCAATCTTCATGTAACTTTTTGTTTCTTTTTAAAATTTACCACCCTCCCTCCTCTACACACAGACATCTTCTAAGCAGTAGAGGTAGATTCGCAAGACTAAAGATTGGAGGTTGAAGCTGAAACTGGGTTGATTTGCTCTGCATAAGGATGTGGAAAGCAGCCAAAACTGGTGAAGGGATAGATGGAAAAACTAGGAGGAGTCTAAAGCCTGAAAAACAAGACAATGAAAAGGAGAAGTGTAAAGGATTCCCATTCGTGCCTGAAGGCTGGACAGTGACTGTGGAAACAAAACGGTTTTGAGGAAGGTGGTTCGTTTGTTCTTAGTGGTTTGATACACGATTCTCCCCTATTTCTCTTCTTCATTATACAGGAAAATCTACATGACTGACTAATTATTGGAGTAAGTGGCTAAGTTTTTGGAAACAAAAGGAGGTACTGAGTTGGGGCAAGGCAAAAATAAATCCTTAAATTAAAAAAAAAAGAAAGTTGATGCAGAAACAAATCAAACCAAATATTAAAGATTTAACACGGATGGAGACCTAGAATCCATGTGCTAAACAGTTTCCTCTTTATGAAAAATGTCTGCAGCCCTTGAACAACTTAGCTCATAAAAGCTGCTGCACACTCATGCAAAAACATACAGAGACTTTAAAAGCAAGATGCTTGTTAAAATTTGTTCAGAAAATGTAATTATGCTTCAATTTACATTTTAAATGGTTTAGGTTGCATTAGAAAATTTAAAACATCTTTTGTCTGTGATTTGTGTTTGTGTGTAACTGGTATGAAAGCTGTTTGAATATACTTATCTAGAGTATAATGCAAACAAGCAAATGAAAATAAACCTTGATTCTCTTTAGTAGAAACAGCTGACAATTAGTCACAAAATATAATTATTCTGTTTTATAAAGCCTAATTCATGACCACATGGACAAGACAATTTAAAAATGTCTAGACACAGCAGAAAAAAGAACCTCAGTTCAGGTGTAAGGAAATGGCAGCAGTCCAAAGCACTAGTATTTGAAAAAAAAATCTAATAAAAAGATCCCAATGTTACAAGTTGACCTTATTTTATTAAAAAGCTGCTATCTCTGATCCATCTATAAAAGGGAAGGATAATTTAGTTTAAGGACAGAAAAGGGGAGATATCCTAAAATGATCAAAGGAATGCTGGATGGGCTCTGTGTTCATTAAGAATATTTAATAATCTACATTTAAATGCCCAGAATAGAGGTTTTTATAAGGTTGATGTTTCTCTGAAATTTAATTGAATAATTAGTCCAAATTCTAAACTGAGAACTAAAAAGATGATCTTACTTAAACAGAATAATTGAGGGCATTCTGTGATTTTTAATTAGGTTGTTAATTAATTTTCTTTTTCACTTTTTGAATGATCGATATTGTTGTATATTCATTTGCAGTGATTGTTAATTGCTGCTGTTACTTGATTTCATATATTGAAGTTAATGAAAATATTCTGTATTCTTTTTTTGTCATCGCTGCTTATAGTTTTTATAATATATATTACTTATTCATACTGGTCCTGATAACAGTTGCTATATGTCTACTAAATACATGTCTCCATATGTCAGCTATAGTTCATAATCTTCTTTAATCATACATAGCTTTTAATAGCTAATTTAACACATTTCAAAAACACATGAAACATTATTTTTCTTGTTAGCAAAGAAAAATATAGTCTACATGAATATTATAAAGATAGTGAAATGCAAACCATAATGGTTTCTATCAATGAATTAATTACATGTTCTTAGCTTTTCTCTGTGGGGTTCTTATCTTCAGTCTGACAGACACAAAATGTGACTGTATTTAAGAAAGTGAAAATAACCACAGTGGCAATTTATTTATCTTTCATTATTGTAAAAGGAAAGATTTTCCTTAATAAAGTTCTTTGCACATAAATTACTTTTCCGGAAAACAGAATTTTGTTGCTTTACATATTAACTTTAAAGTTTTTGACTATTTTATAGATATTTAAATTAACATTTCATCTACTTTCTTGCTGTTTTAACCAGATAATACTGAGCATAATTTAAACATTTTTGTAGATAACTGAGGATCAAAAAATAAATCCAAATTATTTTAACCTTCTGTAATTAAAGAACCTCAGAATCCAGAAAGTCTTAGTATCATGTATGCCGTGATGAACTTAGCCATAAAGCTACTGGAAATTATTAGCAATGACTATGTCAGGGTTAAATAACTGTGGAGTCAGATATTCCCCCCAAGAACTTTAGTTTTTACTTCAATTGTTGCATCAAGTTACTTTACTTTTTTTCTTTTCTTTTCTTTTCCTTTTTTGGACAGGGTCTCACTCTGTCAGGCTGGTGTTTGGTAGCATAATAAAGGCTCACTGCAGCCTCAACATCCAGGGTTCAAGCAATCTTCCAACCTCAGCCTCCCGAGTAGCTGGGACTGCAGGTGTGCACCACCACCTTGGCTAGCTTTCTATTTTATTGTAAAGAAAGGGTCTCACTATGTTGCCTAGGCTAGTCTTGAACTCCTGGGCTAAAGCAATCCTCCCACTTCCGCTGCTCAAGGTACTAGGATTACAGGCAAGAGCCACCGTGTCCAGCCTGCACCAAGTTTTGATTTTGGAAGTCACTAAAGCTCAAAGCACTTTAGAGGAATGGCCATTGGCATATAGGAAAAACATGCCTAACTGCCCTAAAATAGTGCAGGCTTCCACAGTCCATGGCAGAGCCACAGCTCTAAGAGGTGCTCAGAGCAAGTATGCATTTCAATCGTGTCCTCTGTAGAAGTTCTAATACTGCACAGATTAATGAAACAGGGAAAGATAATAGCATGACTCGTAGACATGCTGTTGTTAAATTCAAGGTGTTGCAGAAAGCTTCTTAGTATTTAAGCAATGACAGCTGGAGGAACTAGATTCTCTCTGCAATTAAAATGTAAGATCTGATACTAGAAAGTTAATAGGTCTTGTGAAAGCAAATCAGTATTTTTCAGAGATGTGCATCTTATGACAAAAAGAATCACAATATTGAAGAAAAGGTGAACCAAAGTGCTGCTGGCACTTCAATAGTTATTTAAGCTAAGGCTTCCACTAATTCCCTACAAAAGGGGAATTCAAACAAATCAATAGGGATATAATTTATGCACTTTCATTTATTAACATTCATCCCCTCTCCATGGTAATCACATGCAGTAATCCCACAGTTTAAAATTCCTGGAAAAGTAAAAATTGTATTGATTTTAACTATGTAGTAAGATCTTAGCTTAGACCATGTTCCTTATTTTAGAATTTTAAGATATTATTGCATAGGTATAGGTGTGTGTAAATATATACACACACATACATATATGTAGATATATATCATAGTAGATGGGATGGGAGAGGGGATATACTGTGAGTGTGTGGTGCTTGTACCATTTGTTAGTAAATGATAACTAGTTCATTCTGTAGTGTAGGGTTTATTCTCTTACTCTTTTCCTGTTTTTAATCTTTTGTAAAAAGTGTTTCTTTGAAGCTTTTTAAGTCCTGGGGCAGTGGCTCATGCCTGTAATCCCAACAGTTTGGGAGGCAGAGGCAGGTGGATCCTTTGAGTCCAGGAGTTTGAGGCCAGCCTGGGCAATGTAGCAAAACCTCATCTATACAAAAAGTACCAAAAAATTAGCCAGGTGTGATGGTGCATACCTGTGGTCCCAGCTATTTGGGAGGCTGAGGTGGGAGCATCACCTGAGCCAGGGAGGCAGAAGTTGCAGTGAGCCAAGATCGCGCCATTGCACTCCAGCCTGGGTGACAGAGTGAGACCCTGTCTCAAAAATAAATAAATAAAATAAAATAAAATAAAATAAAAGCTTTTTAAGAGAAGCTATTTCTAATAGAAAGAACTCCACCTTAAATATTAAAAGTACAATTTGTGGTTGGCATATCACGTAACAAGGCACAGTATTTTATGAAAAACTTATTCAAAGAACTTAAGCAAGAATTATATCTGGTTAAAAATGTGAATAATCTATCCAGAAATGAGTTAAATCTAAGGTTCCAAACTTTTTCTTCTTTTTTTTTTCAAGAAAATACTAAGTAAATTACATACAGAGTTGTAACTTTCCAAGAAACAAAAAAAAATTGGGGGATTAGAAAGAGAGTGATTCCTAAAGGAGACAAAGTCTGCTTTAACAATGCTTCAGTAATTGGGCATCTGATTTTCTTTTCATATCTCTGCAAATGATTGGTAATATTTTGCTACTCCTAAAGTTTTAACTATAGTTTTTCACTCTAATATATCATTAAGACATATATTAGAGCATATTTTATAAATTAATCTGAATGCATCTGTTTCTCTGCTTTAATTTCCCACTTATATTGTACATATGCTGAGTTTTATTAAAGTATTGGCAATATTTTTTCTCCAATAATATAAATAATTAGTAAAACTGAGCAGGTAAAATAATTAATCCAATGGATCTAAAGTAGATGGTGATAGAATTTGAAAGGATCCAGGAGGTAGAAATAGAGCAGTTTAAAATTTTTTAAGAAAAAAAAACCACCATTAACTAATAGATTCACAAAATTCCAACCCTGTATCATTTTGATGTTGTTTACTGGAAGTAAATCCAGAGAGTTGCTGTTGATTTTATCTCTGTAACTGATCCATTGTCACTCTTTCTGAAAGGTTCCCTCCCTTCTCACCCATCAGAAAAGGAAGACAAAAGGGAAATTTATTGAAAATCTTTTGTGGGGACAAACTATTAATCTTAATAACTCTTTGCAGTTAGGAACAAAAGGTTTAATTTGGCACCAAAGAATAAATTATTGTAAATCAGATGATGATAAACTTGAAGCTAGAGCTTGAAAGTTGTCCACTTATGAATATTACTAGGAACTAGGTATGCAAACAGTTGTATCCTCTTAGCTCTGGAAAGAGTTCCACAAGTGATAACGATTTATGAAAACTTGATTCATATTCTCTGATCACTTGTACTAATTATACTCAAAAGCCAGAAATTGACCAAAAATATTTCCGTAAATTCAGTGCAGGAGTCATAACCTTAAGAAATGCTTATTTAGATTATTTTGGTTTGTATTTTTCTTTTGATACAGGTACTTCTGACAGCTAAATAAGTAGGGTGTAAAGACCTTCTTTTGATTAGCCATACAATATAATGGAAATTGAATAAGTCTCCTAGGTCCAGAAATGAAAAGACAGCTGAAGGCACCATGACTGAGGACATTAACCAAGACATATGTAACCATTTTAGAGCCCAAACGGTCTTTCGAAGGGGTGATGAAATTAAAGCAACCAACCATGACATTTTAAAGAATTATCTGACATAGAAAATTGGCTTAAAGATTGAATATTATTTTGGTGATAGCTGTTGAATATATGAAGGCTTAAAGAACAAAGCTGCCCTTGACTAAAGCTTAGAGAATATTAAAACTGTACACATTCTACTATTAGAGAATATAATTAAGAGAAACGTGAGGAACAGCATCATGACTTAGAGTGAACTCAACATGGACAAAAGTTACATAATAAAATGTATAAAATAATGAAAAGTTTTTTTCTGTTCTAACTGTACTTTGAAGTTTATTTAAAATAATTGTGTATGATGTTCCTTTTTCTCCCTTCTTAGAAAGTCCTAGAAATTTAGATACAGAATGTCCTAAAGAAATAAAATCTTGATAGATGTGTGTAATGATTGTCATGGTAATAATTTCAAATACAAGTATTACTCCAAAGAGTTTTCATATGGTTATAAAAAATGCAAAATTGTCTGTATTTTTTATTCAAGCAAACGATATGTAAATCCTAAGAACAACACAAAAGCTGCTGGAAGCCATCAGGAAGCCAAAAGCCATGAAAGAAGCAAGAAGGAGATCTTTGACAATATAGGAGAGAAGAAGTACAATACCACCTCTTCTTACCACCTTTACTCCCTTAATCGATAATTGATTAATGTGCCAAAATGATACTGTTATTGACACCATTAATTGTGTTACATGTAGCCTATAAAAGCTCTCAATTGCTCCCCTCACTGCCTACTTCACAATATAAGGTTTTGAAATGGAATCTATTATTTTTGCCACCAGAATGGGAGAACCATCCATTCTCCACCTCTTATAACACGTGTTCTGTGGGAGCTCCATCTCCCAGCTCAGATGTGAAGGGAATCAAAGTATGTTCTTCCCTCAAGGATTATATTAGGGATGGACCCATCACTCAATCAGGACCAATGAAACATTTTCTGAGATATTGAGAAAGTAGTTATCACTTTTTCTAAGGGGATTTGAACCGAACCCAAGACTGTGTAGCTTCTCTTAAAATGGGAGTTTTGACTAATATTCTAAGACAAAAGAGATTAGTGAAATGTTAATACTTAGTAGAACTCAAATATAGTTAGTATTACAGATCATTAAAAAAACTTGTATGTCTGGACTGCTATAACAAAATATCATAGACTTTGTGGCTTATAAACAACAGGAATGTATTTCTAACAGTTCTTGAGTCTGGCAAGTTCAAGATCAAGGCAGGGGAAGATTTTACCTTTGGTGAGCATCCACTTCCTGGCATATAGACAGCTGTCTTTTCACTCTGTGCTCACTATTTCTCATTTATCTCTCAGAGGCCTCTTTTATAAGGGCACTAATTGCATTAGTAAGGGCTCCACCCTTGTGATCTAATTACCTCCCAAAAACTTCACATAAAAATAAACACTCACATTGAGGATTCAGTTTCAACATATGAATTTGATAGGGACCAAGAAAATTCAATCCATGGCACTCTTAAACCTCCTTACCCTCTTTAAATATAATAAGGCCTACCTGTTGAAGTTGGCAAGATGATATATAATCAGATTTTCTTTGGATAGCTCTGTGAGAAATTCACCTTCCTAAAGGGAGAGTGTGGTGGGTGGTAATTTTCCCCCACCATAAGCCTTATATAGGGACTTCATTTGGATGGCTTGGGGAGTTTTAAATGTGTCTGTTGCAGTTAGGGAGAGACACAGTGGGCCAGTGTTTAAATCATATCTGGAAAATCGCAAAGAGCAGGGACAGCTATGAATTTAATAATGGGTCTGAAGGAAAATGTTGTTCCTGTTTGGCAACAAATTACAAACCTGTACTTTGGCTAGGAGAAAAATTCATGTACGTTTCCTGTGATCCAGAAATGATCCATGGGAGAAAGAATCTACCTGAAGCAGCTTTATCTTACGAGTAAGAAGAACCCCTAGAGAGGAGCTTGAATGCCCATATATAGTGCTTGCATAGAGCGGACTTACTGAAATCCAAAAGTTGAGGGAGGTTCGGGCAAGCAAAATTAAATACCATGCCTCTGCTTTTGATGAAACCATTAACAGTATCCTCTAGGGAAATAATCAAAGCAAGCAGCTTATTGGCCCAGAAAGCAAATAATATCTTAAAATGTCATTGTCAAGGAAAACTAAACTTCATGTACTCTTACTGCCTCTCCAAGTCTATTCTGAACCCATCTCCTTTTCATTTTATCATGAAGCAAGTTCTGTCTGAATATCTGAAATGGAGGCCCCACAGAGGACAGAATCAAATGTAAATTATAAATGACAGTATTTGTACCCTTGCATCAAGCTATCCTGATATGCAGTGTACTCTGGACTTTTCAGTACTGCTAGTAGTACTTAAATTATTTTGGGATGGGCTTTCCTCCAGTTTACACTGAAAGTATACTAATTGGATATAGTTGGGATGATAACTAACTTCTTTCTTCTTAATGTCAAACAATTACATTTTCTAAAAATAATATCTTCTGGAAAATATTTCAGATTTCTCAACTCTCTTTTGTTGCGAAGATTCTTTATACATCACTAATTACAACGATTACAATGATGACTACGTACTATTACAACTACTATTACAACAACTATTCTCACCACTGCTATTGCTATGACCAGACTGATAGAATGTAACACAGAGAGTAATGGCAAGCAGGTAGAACATATCTTTCTCAACAACTTTCTGCCTTCTGAAAGTAAGATTGGGATATGCAACTAGTTGTGGATAGTTCTTGGCTGTGGTGATGTGTGCTACTTTCATGCTGAAGTAATACAACTTCTCTGCAATTTTCTTGTTTCTCTACCTATGCTACACAACGGGAAGAGCATGAGTTCTAGGATATGCCCTGATGAGGTGGCAGCTCCTCCAATAGTCTGGATCTCTCATTGACTGCACTAAGCAGAATCCTCTTCCTATCAATTTTAGATATATTTAGAAACAAGGCACAGGTGTCTGTGGATATATTTTTCTTACCATAACATAGCCTAACTTACAATAGCAGAAACTGTCAGTGTCCTATTCATATCCTCTCTCTTACCCTGGAGTTCACCTGCAGACTGGTCCCTTATGCACAGAGCACAGACAGCTTCCCACCTTTCCCTGCTTCGGCAAGCTTTGAGACTGCAGGGAGCTGAGGGTGGTGATAGGTGTGGCATACATTCAGGACAATAATTGTACCAAAGGCAATGCTTAACCCACAAGGAATGGAAATTGATGGATAAACACCCTAGATCCTCACTCTTTGGTGGGATGATTCTGAGATATGTTCTGCAGTCCTCAGAGGGTCTCCTCCAGAATGAACTCAAGTTATCCATATTCAATGAACATTCTTTGGGCAATTCAATTTATCTGTAAGCAGGAAGATTCTGACCAAGGAGAGTTTATTTTCCATACTGCCGGACCTCATTAGTCATAATTGTTCAATTATATCTCATTTATTTATATAATCATTGAGCATTTAACAAAATTCTTTTATTGTTCTATGGCTCTTCAAGAATGTACTGAAGACTGAGTTCTGGTGAACTCACTGAATATTGTTTCATGTTTTCTTCCTGAGATCATAAACACTCATTGTTCTAAACACTCATACTCCGTATATGCTGATGCTACCACAGGTGCAGGACCATCATGATTTGAATAATTCTCCAAAAGAAAACTTTTACTTTCCCACCATATTCCATAAACAAATTGTCATATTGCCTACATTGTGATGAAAATACAATCTCTTACATATTATGAATATCGGTGTTAGGCTATGTTAGTAATTGGAGATCTATGAAGACATTCAAATGCAAAATTAAGAGTTGCACCTTTTTGCTTCAAAGTACAAAAATATTTGCAAAATAATAAGGACTTTACAGCACAATACAAGGACTTAAACTTTTTTTTAATTTCAGAGTTGTAAGAATCTGTCATATTTTTAATCAAATGTGTAAGAACCTGTAAAGTGAAAATAAAGCTAATATAAATGTTGTCAGAAATTGTAGTTGATGTGTCTTAGTTTACAATGGTAGTAGAGAGATGAACATTTTAGATGTTTTCAAGGCACTGGAAATGAAATCAAACTACCATTGCTCCCAGTTAAAATGCAACACTTCACACAATAAACAAACATTCTATGTCCTGGAAGCCAATATTAAACCAACTTATTTTCTTGTGATTTAAAGACATTATGGTCACTGGACCATAATCTAATGCAGGAAGTAATACAATTATTAGCCCTTCAACACCAATCTCTTCAACCTCCCCGGAAATAGCACACATTTACAGAAAACCATTTGCCATTATTTCTATGAAATATATTCTTCATTTAAATGTGTTTGTGTTAAAATTTAAACGCAAGTTACATTTCTTTTTCATAGGCAATTGTAGAGGTCATTATGGTGTTAGCCCTCAAATCTAGTCCACCTCTCCACCACTGTTGTTTCCATAAATTTGGGGGATTGACTAGGTTTGACCTCAAAGTTCATCACAATACCTCTTTCTCTTCCTAGTAAATAACATAGGAATCAGGCTAAGCTTATTGAGGGACATGGGATTGCTTCAGGAATGGAAAAGTGACCTTAGTCAAACAAATGAAATACCAAAAGACGTTTCCTGAGGGACTCAGGGAGGAATTATGTCATGCTTAAAGAAAACCTCAGAAAGTACAATTCCTTCTTCCTCTGGACATTACTTGAGGGTATGAGGCTGTAATCTTCCCCAGGAACCAGTCCTAGGACAAAGGCTGGACATAGCAGAGGGTGGACCTGACAGAATCACTAAGGATCGGAGCCAGGGTAATGGGATTAAGCCAACTCTGAAACATCTCTAACAACCATTATTTCAGTTTTGCGAAATCTGTACATGTTTTTGCTTCTACTTTTGTTTGTAAGAATTTGGTTTGTTGGGTGGTTATGTGTTTGTTTTTCTAACTTGTGGTTAAAAGCGTTTTAGCAGGCATGGAAGTTTTCATTGCATGCTTTACCATTACCTACAAATAATTCATTATTAAAATAATATTGCAACAACAAATAACAAAATGGAGAAACATAAATTTCACTTTTGGATGGTTACAAGCTAAACTGTGTCCCCCAACGTTTATATATTTAAGTCCTAACCCCCCACTACCTAAAAATGTGACTGTATTTGGAGATAGGACGTTTAAAGAGGTTAAGTTAAAATGAGACTTTTAGAGTGGGCCATAACCCAGTCTAACAGGTGTTTTTATAAGAGGAGTTCAAGACACTCAGGAGACTATGTGGAGAGGCAGCAAGTGGTCTGACATTCACAAGCCCAGGAAAGAGGCCTCAAAGGAAGCCAACCTTGCCAGCACCTTGATTTTTGACTCATTAGACCTCCACAGTCACATGAACCAATTTCTTAAAATAGATCTCTCTTTCTTTATATGTAAACACATTCTGTTGGTTCTGTTTTGCTGGAGAAACTTAATAGATGGACTAAATGACACCTATTTCTAGATGCAACTGAGTGACAATTAAAGTTATGATCAGTAATTACTAAAACTTAGCATTGCTCATGATTTGTTTTCTGTTCAGTCATCCACATACAACATGTGAAACAACTTCACTTTAATATCTAATGGGGTAAAAGAGGCATAGGATAAGAACCCATGCTACAGTAAGATGTGGCCAGCCTCTTCTCTGCCTCCCAAAACACTGGATGATATATAAACATAATTAAAACATCATATAAGAGTAAGAGGCACCACTGAGCTTTCTGAATACTCCTGTGGGAGTTAATGTTAGCATGGATGTTAGTGTGGAAACACGTTCCTAACTTTTTCTCCCTGAAGGTCCTACCCTGTGACAATCTTTAAGAGCCTGGAAAAATGGCTCTGATATCTGTCTCTCTCTCTCTTTTTCATGTTCCCCACTCCCAACAACTACCCCTCTCCCTAGTCTTTTATGTTCTTTCCTTAAGATGTTTATTTGGGCTATTACTTGTATTCCTTATGAAAGAAAGTCTACTACAGATGGTCTCTGACTTACCATGGTGTGACTTAATGATTTTTTAAAACTTTATGGATGATGCTTTGAGTATCCATACAACCATTTTATCTTTTACTTTCAATAAATCACACAAGATAGTCAACACTTTATTATAAAATAGGCTTTGCATTAGATGATTATGCCCAACAGTAGGCTAATATGAGTGCTCTGAACATGTTTAAGGGTAAGCTATGATGCTCAACAGGTTGGGTATATTAAATTCATTTTCTACCTACAATAGGTTCAACTTACGATGGGTTTATCAGGACATAACCCCATCGTAAATCAAGGAGAATGGGTGCTTCTCTTCATAAAGTAACTTTGATGGGTTGATATTTGCTGTGTTCAAAAAATCATGGATAATGGAATCCAAGAAGTGGTAAAAGCTGATTGGTATGGAGCTAGGGAAGTTGCCCCTCTTCTGGGAGTCTTGATCCAGGTCAACAAAGCATGGTTTGCTCTACCAGGTTGCAAACTCTCTGAAAGTCATTTGCATGCAAGTTCAAATATGTTTTCCAAAGAGCACACTTACATGAAGAAGACAAGACCTATTCCAAGTCTCCTTTCCTTGAAGAGATAATCAAGAGTATTCTGCAGACAAATACAATGTTCTTTCTGTTGCCTGCCCCAATTCCAACACTTGGATAACTAAGAACTGTAGTTACTTACAGATGGCAAAGAATGTTGTTTGTTATGCCTCTGTCCAATCAGAGACAAGTTTCAAAATTCAGATCTAGTTCTATAAACTTCACTAGTAATTATCTGAGAGAAATATATCTAGGTGTTTATTAGGCACTATGCTATTACTTTAAAGCAAGCTTGTTCAACCCGTGGCCCATGGGCTGCATGCGATCCAGGACAGCTTTGAATGCAGCCCAACACATAGTGGGTAGACTTTCTTAAGACACTGTGAGTTTTTTTTTTTTTTTTTTTTGCTCGTCAGCTATTGTTAGTATATATTATGTGTGGCCCAAGAGAATGTTTCTTCCTCGAATGTGGCCCAGGGAAGCAAAAAGATTGGACACCTCTGCTTTGAAGAATATAATAATAGTAAAATAATAGCATTATTAATAATCCTAATAGTAACAGCATCTTTTAACATTCTTCTCCTGTGACAAACGCACAGTCTTGCTTTTAATTATAATTTTAGCTACCTCTACTAAGAAGCTATTATAAATATATTGCAAATATGAAAACAGGATAATAGTAGTTGATTGGAGGTATTGACATAACTTAGGTCCTAAGTATGTTAGAAATCTGATTTATAAAATAATGGTCCATGAAATATCACATCAATACAATGCAATATAGATCAAGGGCAAATAGAATTGTTCTTGTTCAGATTTAAAACTCGGAAAATGGAGCTACTGCTTTTGAAATGCACATTAGAAAATAATTTATAAATTTGGAAATTGCTTTCACTTTACAGAATTTTCCATATACCAAATAAAGCATGACATTAAATGATAAATATCATCATATTTCCTAATAAACATGTGTATCACTATTTCAGAGAAGCACCCACTTAATGTTAAGTGTACGGATTCAAGAATATGGGCTGTTAAATTTCTGTTTATGTAAGCAAGTGGGCAGGATGACAGCAGGAATGGGCTCGTAAGAGGCCATTTAGAGGAGCTGTATAAAATGAATCTTAATGGAAAATGAAAATTTCATGCCCCAATTGTGGGTAATATGCCTTTATCAGTAGTATTGGCTCTTTATTCTGTACAATGGTTGTTAAGTGTTATATTATCAACTTTTGTCAGATGTTACTAAAGGCACTTTAAAACTGTAATGTGTAGCACATGGTACATGGACTTTTCTAAGTTGTTATCCTACTACCAACATAATATTTTGGAATATACTTTAAATGAATCATTTAGCTTCTATTGTTACAGTTCTATTTTTTATCATAAAAGTAATTTAAGGTTATTTATTATTAAAATATTTAAAATGAATACTAAGGTAAAATTTCTTCATAATTGCATCTGCCAAAGGAAACTGCTCTAATGTTTGTATATTCTTGTGTTTATTTGTTCTTATACTAATGTATTCTTTCTAAAAGTGGGAAAGACTGCACATACTCTTTTTTCACTGGTTTTTGTCACATAATAATATATTAAATATCTTTTCAGATGAATACATTAAAAAATGTATTGCATTCATTACATTATGGAGATACGTTAATTTTTTTGTGTGGCAAATTCTGTACAGAATAATTTATTATATGTTTTCTTCAGTTTCGGTAAAATAAACAATGCTTCACTGAACCTCATTAGGCTGCATCTTTTGCTCACTGTTAGGTATGTTTTTAATTTCTAGGAGATGGATGGAAACAAATAAATATTTAAACGGTTAAAATGTAAAGTTTTCATCCAGAAGTGGTGAATGTTATGATCTGATTTCAAATTTAGGCAACCTCTCTTTATGGTTGATATTCTTTCTATTTAACACCATCTCATTATAATTAATTTCTATGAACAAAATGTCTCATAAAACACTTTTTTCTGATTACAATCCCATCAGCATATATAATAATATGCATTTTACTATTGTTTTAATAAAAATAGGAATTATAATTTTCTATAATTTTATGAATTTTATAAGAACAGTTTCTAAGTCTTTCCATTTTTTGTATATATTTCTAGAGAGTTTATTTTTATGTCTTATTTGATCATTTATCATTTTAATTAAATGATTGTTTAGGTTGTCACTTTTTAAATGTTTAGTTGATATTTTGGAAATATTTTTTCACATAAATAATTAGTTTCATTGCTGGCATTATTTTCCTCGTTGCAAATTTGTTCACTCTAATTCTCTCCAATTCTAGTTTTTTTGCTTCCAACTATTTATTTTATGGCCTCTGAGTTTTCTGGGAGTACGAATAAACTATTTTTAACTGACTTAGATATTCCTGGTTCTTTTTTTTTCATATTTTGTATTGCAATAGCAATAACACAGCAACAAAACCAACAACTGTTTTGTTTTTATTTCAATAGTTTAGGGAGTACAGGTGAGTTTGGTTACATGGATACGTTCTTTACTGGTGATTTCTGAGATTTTAGTGTGCCCATCACTCGAGCAGTGTACAATGTACCCAGTGTGTAGTCCTTCATCTCTCATCCTCCTCCCAACCTTCCTCTCTAAGTCCCCAAGTCCATCATACCCTTCTAAGCAATAAGTGTTTTTTAATATGCGTGTAGAGTACCCATGTTCATTAGGACACAGCTCTGATCTAGCTAGTGAATGGGTAGGATATCCTCACTACTTGAGAATAAACAACCATTAAATATCTATCAGGTCAATCAGTTTTGGGTACACTTGACCTGACTCATGTCATTTCCAGGCTGGCTCATTTAATTGCCAATTAAGACCACACAGAGCCTTCTGCTCTAGTATTAGCAATGTTTGAGTGGCCGCTCCAACAGTCTGGGTGTGGTCTGAAATCACTGATGTGCTACAGTTGGCTGTTATCATTCCATATCCTAGACCATCTTGATTGATACTGGTAGTTTCAATCACCATACTTCTATAAAAATTAATTGAGAAAAACAAAGGGGCAATACACTTGTAATCTTCTACTCAATCCATAAGAGAGTTCAATGACATAACAATATAAAGGGATGAAGACACTTCTTTTATTACTTCTTGATCTTTTCAATTCACCAGCATTCTTTAATCCCAGGAACAAAATTTTGTCCTCCAACCCCAGCACTTACGTTATACAATTTTCTCATCTGTCATAAAAGTATTTTAGTTTATTTAATGTTATGTTCATCTGTCTTATTTTCTATTGCATTTTTACTCCACATGTGTGTGTAATGTCTTTACATTACATATATATACATATATATGTATATATATATAATGTCTTTCTCCAAGTTTTCCATGCTCCCAGCACTCTCCTTTTTGCCTTCTTTCATACTGTAAAACCCATTAACTTTTCTTTCATAATACTAACTATGACCTCTACATGGACCATACTCACGTGTGCATCTCTTCCAAATCATCTGCCTTATTTTTCAGTCCTCTACTCTAAGTACATTGTTTTATCTAAACCAAATGGATGCTGAATTCATCATTTGGCTAAATATTCATTTGGCAAGAACAGAATTGATCTATTGTTAAAAAGTTATTCCTCTATTTCTTAGCTGTCCATTGACAATAGGGTAAACTTCACACTCCTCAGATAATCATTAGCATGACACAGCTCCGTTGTCCTTAGTTAACTCATCCCATTGCCTGGCAGGAAGTTCTCCATACAGTTGAACTAACATGTGTCCTGTTAGCATTGCCAATATTTTCTGGTTCTGTCTCTTCATCCACAGAAAAAATATCACTTATCACATAATAAGCCTGTAGATATTGGGAGAAGATCCTTGCTTTCCATACACAACACTATTGTATTGTCACAATAGCACATGTGACAACATATGAACTATTTTTCTCTTATATATACTTATTCTGACTCTCATCATCTTATATGTGTTTACCCATTCCATTGTCTGAATTCTATAATAAGAATAATTGTGCCTCCTGAAGTTACAATTAAATATGCCGTGTTGTTGGGGAGGGAGTTGGCAGAGACGAAAACAGATTATTACCATCTCAAGGGGGGACTTAAAGGATGTATGTAACACAAAGAAACTGCAATGAGTCAGAGCAAAACAAAGAAGCAACTCTGAGAAATTTAGCATGAGCTTGGAAAAACAGTGAAATGTAAGAAGTAGATGAAAATTAAAAGAAATGAGTGTCTGAAGGCATAGTATGAGATTGCCTTCACCAATCATTTTCTTAAGACACTTCTGCACATACAGATACTCATCAACATGCTCTGTTAGGAAAGGTCATTATTTATAATGAGGTCAATTAATTTCAACTTATGTTCTATGAAACCCTAGGCTACTTAGGCTTTCTAGTTTCTAAAACAATGAATTATTTTCTCTAGAATAAGAGATATACTCTCTTAGGAAACTTGTTTACTGCAAGATTTTATTTTTTAAAATATAGCAGTTGTCTTTTGAGAAATCACTTTTGTAGCTTTCAAGAAATAAATCTGCATTACAGACCGAATCAGAATTCTATTTCTCATTTTCCCAACTATCAGTTTTATCAGATACTAGGTAGAGTAAGAAGATCTGAGTGGGGCAGTGTAATTACAAGCATATGTATCCAATTATAATTGCAATATTACCTGTTCTGCACTGGTCCCATAAGAAATTCATAGACTTGAGACTTCAGAGAAAAGTGACTTTCATTTATATAGGTGTACATTATATGGATAACATGAGGGTAATTAACTGAATGGCCTCTGTAATTGGGACTGAATCAATCTTCATTCATTCCTAGTAAAAAATATACTCAGGATTAGGGAACATAATAGGATGAATAAAAAGAAAAAAAAACCCAGCAGTATAGATCAGTTCTTTTGTCAGCAAGTTGAATTGAATTCTTTTAGGATTATTTCAAGAACATGCATGCAGATTCAAATAGCATCAATCTAATTGGCAGCCAATTCACTGCTTTCCACTGAAAAGATATCTGAGTCATGAATTGCGATGAAAATTAAATTTGCTTTCAGAGCCATAATATCTGATTCAAAAAGCTGTAAGGAAAACATTGTAATTCGTTCTCACAAAAGAGAAAAAACTTTGCCATAATTGTTGATTAGTTACACTTCATGGTCTACTCAAGAGCTGGTCTTGTATTAGTTGTTAATAATGTTCATTTTATGGATTTTTTTATTTGACAATTACACAGTTACTTATTGACATAAGATTGAATTGCTATTTTCTTGGATTTTATTTATTTCCTCAAATATTCACTAAAAATATAACCATAGTAGCAAATTTTGCTCAAATATGTAATATACATAATCATATATATATGTATATATATGTGTATATATATATATATATATATATATACACACACACACACACACATATAATCAAACTCAACTTCTGGTCTACTTATAGATTAGAAATAACTAGAAACTGATAATCAATCCTCTCACATACTAATTTCTCAAGTATTCTTTCCTTTGCCTTTGGGCTTTGAAGTGATAATCCACTGAAATAATGGCTTCTTTTTACACAAATACTGCACTCTATTAATTAAGGTAGCTATGTAAAAAGTCTTGATATTTGTTAGATTGATTCATTCCTTCTTCTGTTTTTTAGGTTTCTCTTGACTATTTTTGTATACTTACTCTCTGTTAACGACACTTCAAATTAAGTTTTAAAAAATCACCACAGAAAAAAATCTTGATATGGTTTTGATTGGCACTTCATTGAACTGTGAGATTTGGGAAATATTTCAGAAAATAATTTTTGGCATACATTTTGGAAAATTTATATTCTTGCTTTAACACCTTCCTATTCATACCTCACCTTAATTTAGGTCTTTCTGTAAAACCTTCACTAATCCTCATAGATCTTACACATCTTTTCTTAAAGGTCTATGACTATCCAATGTCTTTTGTTGTTGTTACAAGAGAAATGTTTCTTTTAATTACGTATCTTGATTGTTTTTTCATTGATCTTTTGGAAGGTTATTAATTTTTTCATGTGGCTCTTATGAGTAGCAACATTGCTGAAGTCTCTCAGTTCCATGAGTGTAGATGAGAACTTCTTTGGTTTTCTACATCGATAGTCATAAGCTTGGCAGAAAATTCTGATGCTTTTTTCCAATCTGCATATCTCCTGTTTTATTTTCTTCTTGTATTGCATAGGCCAAGACAGCCAGAGCTTGTTGAACAGACACCATTTAATTAACAAGCTTATTTCAACATTTACAGCAACATTTAAAACAATATTTGCTTTCAAATTTCCAGTAGATATCATATGTCAGCTTTATCAAATTCTATTAATTTCCTAAGTTTGTGTAACATTAAATGCTTTATAAAAGATGCATTGTTTCTCTTTTTAAGTTTTACTCCTAAGAACTACATTTCTTGACTTTTTAGTTTGTATAATCATTGCATTCCATCCACCCATTAACCTAGAATTTTTGTATGCATGCTCATAATTAAAATAACTTTAAAAATGTTTTTTTATTACTATCGTGTGATAGGGAATGCAAGGATGAACTAAACACTTCAGACAATTAGGGTCACTTTCTCTTTTTCTTCATTTTCTGATATAAAGTATCAGAATAATACAAAGTAGCAGAATAATAAATTGATTAAGAAGGCACCTCTGAAACCCACTGTTTGGGTTCACATTCTGTTTCTGCCTCTTACTGTTATGTGACTGTGTAGATTACTTAACTACCCAATTTCTTTCTCTTGAGTTTAATTTCTTCAACTGTAAAATGAGGATTATTTAATAAATGAGTATTGAAAAAAATAAGTGAATTAATAAATATGAAGTACTTAGAAGGCTGCCCAATACATGGTATGCACTTGATAAATTTTAGCTAATTTTTATGCAAATGTTTATCAATAAAACACATGAAGATTATAAATAAAAGGAAGTAAATTTACTGTCTGGGTAAGAGGTTAAATTCAATGTAGATAATGTTATAAGCCTTCTCCCCAGGCTGCTCCTCAGCAGGCCGAGCTAGGTCCCAATTCTTCCTTAGCCTCCACTCCTCCACCCTATAATCCTTTTATCACCTCCCCTCCTCACACCTGGTCCAGCTTACTGTTTCCTTCCGTGACTAGCCCTCCCCCACCTGCCCAGCAATTTGCTCTTAAAAAGGTGGCTGGAGCTAAAGGCATAGTCAAGGTTAATGCTCCTTTTTCTTTATCCCAAATCAGATAGCGTTTAGGCTCTTTTTCATCAAATATGAAAAACCCAGCCCAGTTCATGGCTCGTTCGGCAGCAACCCTGAGATGCTTTACAGCCCTAGACCTTAAAAGGTCAAAAGGCCGTCTTATTCTCAATATACATTTTATTACCCAATCCGCTCCTGACATTAAATAAAACTGCAAAAATTAAATTCCAGACCTCAAACCCCACAACAGGACTTAATTAACATTGCCTTCAAGATGTGCAGTAATAAGAGTAGAGGCAGCCAAGTAGCAATGTATTTCTGAGTTGCAATTCCTTGCCTCCACTGTGAGACAAACCCCAGCCACATTTCCAGCACACAAGAACTCCAAACACCTGAACCGCAGCTGCCAGGGGTTCCTCCAGAACCTCCTCTCCCAGGAGTTTGCTACAAGTGCCGGAAATCTGGCCACTGGGCCAAGGAATGCCCACAGCCCAGGATTCCTCCTAAGCCGTATCCCATCTGTGTAGGAACCCATTGAAAATCAGACTGTTCAACTCACCTGGCAGCCACTCCCAGAGCCCCTGGAATGCTGGCCCAAGGCTCTCTGACTGACTCCTTCCCAGATCTTCTCGGCTTCGTGGCTGAAGACTGACACTGCCGGATCGCCTCAGAAGCCCCCTAGACCATCACGGACACCAAGCTTTGAGTAACTCTCACAGTGGAAAGTAAGTCCGTCCCCTTCTTAATCAATACGGAGGCTACTCACTCCATATTACCTTATTTTCAAGGGCCTGTTTCCCTTGCTTCCATAACTGTTGTGCTATTGACGGCCAGGCTTCTAAACCTCTTAAAACTCCCCAACTCTGGTGCCAACTTAGACAATACTCTTTTAAGCACTCCTTTTTAGTTATCCCCACCTGCCCAGTTCCCTTATTAGGCCGAGACACTTTAACTAAATTATCTGCTTCCCTGACTATTCCTAGGCTACAGCCACACCTCATTGCCACCTTTTCCCCCAGTTCAAAGCCTCCTTCACATCCTCCCCTTGTGTCTCCCCACCTTAAGCCACAAGTATAAGACACCTCTACTCCCTCCTTAGCGACCGATCATGCCCCCCTTACCATCCTATTAAAACTTAATCACTCTTACCCGGCTCAATGCCAATATCCCATCCCACTGCACGCTTTGAAAAGATTAAAGCCTGTTATCACTCACCTGTTACAGCATGGCCTTTTAAAGCCTATACACTCTCCTTACCATTCCCCCATTTTACCTGTCCTAAAACCAGGCAAGGCTTACAGGTTAGTTCAGAATCTGTGCCTTATCAACCGAATTGTTTTGCCTATCCACCCCGTGGTGCCAAACCCATATACTCTCCTATCCTCAATACCTCCCTCCACAATCCACTATTCTGTTCTAGATCTCAAACATGCTTTCTTTACTATTCCTTTGCACCCTTCATCCCAGCCTCTCTTCGCTTTCACTTAGACTGACCCTGACACCCATTAGGCTCAGCAAATTACCTGGGCTGTACTGCCGCAAGGCTTCACAGACAGCCCCTATTACTTCAGTCAAGCCCAAATTTCATCCACATCTGTTACGTATCTTGGCATAATTCTCATAAAAACACACGTGCTCTCCCTGCTGATTGTGGCCGATTAATCTCCCAAACGTCAATCCCTTACAAAACAAGAACTCCTTTCCTTCCTAGGCATGCTTAGTGCGGTCAGAATTCTTACACAAGAGCCAGGACTGCACCCTGTAGCCTTTCTGTCCAAACAACTTGACCTACTGTTTTAGCCTAGCCCTCATGTCTGCGTGCAGTGGCTGCTGCTGCTTTAATAGTTTTAGAGGCCCTAAAAATCACGAACTATGCTCAACTCACTCTCTACATTTCTCATAACTTCCAAAATCTATTTTCTTCCTCATACCTGACGCATATACTTTCTGCTCCCCGGCTCCTTCAGCTGTACTCACTCTTTGTTAAGTCCCATAATTACCATTGTTCCTGGCCTGGACTTTAATCCCGACTTCCACATTATTCCTGATACCACACCTGACCCCCATGACTGTATCTCTCTGATGCGCCTGACATTCACCCCATTTCCCCATATTTCCTTCTTTCCTGTTCCTCACCCTGATCACGCTTGATTTATTGATGGTGGTTCCACCAGGCCTAATCGCCACACACCAGCAAAGGCAGGCTATGCTATAGCACAAGCCACTAGCCCGCCTCTTAGAACCTCTCATTTCCTTTCCATCGTGGAAATCTATCCTCAAGGAAATAACTTCTCAGTGTTCCATCTGCTATTCTACTACTCCTCAGGGATTATTCAGGCCCCTTCCCTTCCCTACACATCAAGCTCGGGGATTTGCCCCCGCCCAGGACTGGCAAATTGGCTTTACTCAACATGCCCCAAGTCAGAAAACTAAAATACCTCTTAGTCTGGGTAGACACTTTCACTGGTTGGGTAGAGGCCTTTCCTACAGCGTCTGAGAAGGCCACCGCAGTCATTTCTTCCCTTCTGTCAGACATAATTCCTCAGTTTAGCCTTCCCATCTCTATACAGTCTGATAATAGACCAGCCTTTATTAGTCAAATCAGCCAAGCAGTTTTTCAGGCTCTTAGTATTCAGTCAAACCTTTATATCCCTTACGGTCCTCCGTCTTCAGGAAAAGTAGAATGGACTAAAAGGTCTTTTAAAAACACACCTCACCAAGCTCAGCCACCAACTTAAAAAAGACTGGACAATACTTTTACCACTTTCCCTTCTCAGAAGTCAGGCCTGTCCTCAGAATGCTACAGGGTACAGCCCATTTGAGCTCCTGTATAGATGCTCCTTTTTATTAGGCCCCAGTCTCATTCCAGACACCAGAACAACTTAGACTGTGCCCCCAAAAACTTGTCATCCCTACTATGTTCTGTCTAGTCATACGCCTATTCACCGTTCTCAACTACTCATACATGCCCTGCTCTTGTTTACACTGCCGGTTTACACTGTTTCTGCAAGCCATCACAGCTGATATCTCCTGGTACTATTCCCAAACTGCCACTCTTAACTCTTGAAGTAAATAAATAATCTCTGCTGGCAGGACTATGCTGAATCTCCTTAGGCACTCTCTAATCAGATGTCCTGGGTCGTCCCAATTCTTAGACCTTTTATACCTGTTTTTCTCCTTCTCTTACTCCATTTAGTTTTTCAATTCATACAAAACGGTATCCAGGCCATCACCAATAATTCTACACAATAAATGTTTCTTCTAACAACCCCACAAGATCACCCCTTACCACAAAATCTTCCTTCAGCTTAATCTCTCCCACTCTAGGTTCCCACGCCACCCCTAATCCCGCTCGAAACAGCCCTGAGAAACATTGCCCATTATCTCTCCATACCACCCCCTAAAATTTTCACCATCCCAACACTTTACCACTATTTCATTTTATTTTTCTTATTAATATAAGAAGACAGGAATGTCAGGCCTCTGAGCCCAAGCTAAGCCATCATATCCCCTGTGACCTGCACGTACACATCCAGATGGCGGGTTCCTGCCTTAACTGATGACATTGTCTTGTGAGATTCCTTCTCCTGGGTCATCCTGGCTCAAAAGCTCCCCTACTGAGCACCTTGTGACCCCCACTCTGCCCGCCAGAGAACACCCCCCCTTTGACTGTAATTTTCCTTTATCTACCCAAATCCTATAAAACAGCCCCACCCTTATCTCCTTTCTCTGACTCTCTTTTCGGACTCAGCCCAGCTGCACCCAGGTGAAATAAACAGCTTTATTGCTCACACAAAGCCTGTTTGGTGGTCTCTTCACATGGACGTGAGTGAAACTATCATATGTGCCAAAGATACCAATTTTCCAATTGGACAGAAGTGTTTTTTTTTTTTTTTTTTTTGAGACAGAGTCTGGCTCTGTCACTCAGGCTGGAGTGCAGTGGTGCATTCTCGGCTCACTGCAACCTCCGCCTCCTGGATTCAAGCAATTCTCCTGCCTCAGCCTCCTGAGAAGCTGGGATTACAGGTGTGTGCTACCACGCCCGGCTAATTTTTGTATTTTTAGTAGAGATGGGGTTTCACCATGTTGGTCAGGCTGCTCTCAAACTCCTGACCTTGTGATCCACCCACCTCGGCCTCCCAACAGAAGTGTTTTTGATGTTTATAATTCTTTGAAAAAGCATATATATATATATATAATTTTATAGAGTTACCAAATTTCCCAGATTTTCAGTGACAGCCCTAATTTTTAAAAGGCTTTTTATATCTCTCAAACAAACATCAAAATGCCTGGAATTCAAACATGTAGTGGGTTTTGTTTAGCCAGACATCTCTTCAACACTGTGTAACATAATAATCCATGGAAGTGTGGTAGTGAGATACAGGTGATGGGGAATAATACAAAGTAATTATAATGGCATTTTAAAGCAACATCATGTAAAAGAAACTTGGCTGTGTCCTCACCCAAATCTCATCTTGAATTGTAGCTCCCATAATTCCCACATGTTGTGGGAGGGACCTGGTGGGAGATAATAGAATCATGGGGGTGGTTTCCCCCATAGTGTACTCATGGTGCTGAGTAAGTCTCATGAGATCGGTTGGCTTTATAAGGGGTTTTCCCTTTCACTTGGCTCTCATTTTCTCTGGCTTGCTGCCATGTGAGACGTGTCTTTTACCTTCTGCCATTATTGTGAGGAAAAATGTGGAACTATGAGTCCATTAAAGCTTTTTTTTTCTTTATAAAATACCCAGTCTCAGGCATATCTTTATCAGTGGTGTGAAAACAGATGAGTACACTCAATACAGGATTTTTTTTATCAAGCCAGTTACCACAATAAACTTAATTGGGTGGGGAGAGCTCTAAAAAAAACATTGTAAAACTCATGTCTTGGAATAATCTACCTAAAGGCAAGGAAGTTGGGTTTTCTTTTCTTTTTTTTTTTTGTTTTTGCTGATTTTATTTTTGTATTTTGCTAATTTTTGATGGTCTTAATCTCCTGACCTCGTGATCTACCTGCCTCGACCTCCCAAAGTGCTGGGATTACAGGCGTGAGCCACAGTGCCTGGCCAGAAGTTGGGTTATCTTAGAGTGATTGACTCAGTCACTTCCCATGGCTGATATACTCACTGCAGATAATGCTGGCTATATAATTCATGGGACCCAGACTATACTCAAATACCCCCATTAATCTAAGAGCTAGTTTAATTATTTTTTCTCTCTTTTCTATCTCCTCTTTCCTCCTTTCCCCTGCTTCCTACTTAGCTCTTTAGAAACACAATTATAGCCTTTTACTGTCTCTTCAGCAGACACTCCCTACAAAGTAAGTTGATTTAACTGTGGACTTAGAAACTCCAGAGCGGGCTGTCACACACCAGGAGGTTGCCTCCAGAGATAACATTCAGTTTGCAACCCAAAGTCCCGCTACAAAACTCTCTCCCATCTGGAGAGTTTTGGGCCACCTCTACAACCCTTTCTGACCACAAAAATGCCAACTCAATTGTCTGGTAGATAAGGCACTGAGCTAGCATGCAGACCACCTACCTGCTCACTTCCTCTCATGCCTTTTAAAAGTGCCTGCTTTCTGCTCCAAAAGCAAAGCAAGACCCTTAAGACAGGAAGCTGGTACTGTTTCCTCTAAGCTAGTTTTGAAATAAAAGTCTTGAAATACCAGACCTCTCCTTTGTTATTGGACTCTGTAGGTGGCAAGCGACTGAACCTGCATTTTGTTTCCAAGGGCATAATGTAAAAGTGGGGACCTGGCCAAGGGCAGGGAAGTCAAGCTCTCCTTCCCACGGGCCTGCCATCCAACCACCTGAAAACCACAATGCACTGCATCCCAGCTGAGACATACTCTGCATCTGGATGGGAGTGGTCAAGGGGCCCCTAATGAATCCACCATTGAGTTAACAGCCCGGGCTGGGGTTGGGCACTACCTGTCCTGAGATGCTGCTGGGCACATGTCCAACCCTCCCAGTATGTGTGCTGAGGCCCACACTAGGGGAAGGGGTGCAAAATAGTGAAATGCATATGTATACTTCCTTTCCTCCTTCTCCACTTCCCTACTCCATGGCCCTTCCCCACCACCTCCTTTACTTTCCCCAAGGAGGAGAGCAGCAGCAGTTGTTAGGAGGGGTTGAAGCAAAGGCAGCCAAGAAGCTATCCAGGGTAGGTCATGCAAGACTCTAACCCCCACATTTCAACCCACCCCTCATTGATTGTCCCAATGACTTAACTTACAAAACACAAATTAAAATTCAAGGAGAGCATTATTAAGAATTTCAAGGCCAGGCATGGAAGCTCACACTTGTAATCCCAGCACCTTGGGAGGCTCAGGTGAGAGGATCTCTTGATCCTAGGAGATTGAGGCTATAATGAGCCGTGATGGCACCACTGCACTCCAGCCTGGGTGACAGAATGAGAGACCCCGTCTCAAATAAATAAATAAATAAATAAATAAATAAATAAATAAATAAAATCAAGATGCCTCTGAAGCTGGCCTTAACTGCAGAGCATCCTTCCACATTTCTAGAAAAGTTCTCAGTCAGGTTATGTGGATACTGAAAGTTTTCTGGAGCACAACGGATATGATAGCACCTGTTACAGGAATAGAGCAAACTAGTTCTGGAAGCCCCATGTGAATATTTTTATTTATCAGAATTTAGAAGAAAAAATAATTAGCAAGCTTTGCCCCTCAAAATAAGAGCACTCTAAAATAAAATTGTGGATCATATGTTCATTACCATTCAGAATTTGTACACCGTACACCAAAACGTGACTAAGGCAGGCCTAAAACTATACGGGTTTATTTAGACAAGGGGGAGGATGTATCCAGGAAAAAAATATAAATCATAGGAGCATCTGTCACCTGAGTTTTTTTCAAAAGGGTTTTTCGGTACATCAATATTTAGAGAAAGTGCAAGGAGGAAAAAAGGGAGGGAGGATAGGCCATGAAGCAGATGGTTACATTCTTGTAAGGCTCTGATAAGCTTCAGTAAATCTACATTTTACATGTGAAAAGAGAAAATGAGGCTATGACACAGGGCTGAGAAATTACAGCTATCTGTGAACCAAAAAGAGGCAGTTTTTGCCTGACTCAGTTCCCAAGCTTAACTTTCCCTTTAGCATAGTGAGTATGAGGTCCTAAGATCCTATTTTCTTTCACAACATCAATTACAGAACAGAGAAAGATGTATGTTAGTTTTATGATTTTCTCAAAACTTTGTAAGTCAAATGTTGAAATCTATCAATTATCCTTGATTTACTATCAAGGGGTTGATGTGGGGACTATGGGTGGAGGACCTCCAACAAGCTCGTCTGGAAGAAGCAAACGAAAGTACTTTCGGTCGGGCGCGGTGGCTCATGCTTGTAATCCCAGCACTTTGGGAGGCTGAGGCGGGCGAATCACGAGGTCAGGAGATCAAGACCATCCTGGCTAAGACAGTGAAACCCCGTCTCTAATGAAAATACAAAAAAATCAGCCGGGCGTGGTGGCGGGCGCCTGTAGTCCCAGCTACTGGGGAGGCTGAAGCAGGAGAATGACGTGAACCCAGGAGGCAGAGCTTGCAGTGGGCCGAGATCGCGCCACTGCACTCCAGCCTGGGTGACAGAGCGAGACTCCGTATCAAAAACAAACAAACAACAAACAAACAAAATACTTTCGTCTATTAGGTGAATGATAGTCACTTTTATGACCCTCCTGAAGTTAAATTTTACTTTATTAATTTGCCAAAATAAAAGTGGGAGAAAAAAATCTGAAGATTAGAAGTGGTTATATAGACTTAAATATTCTTAATGTCAGGATATTAACAGTTTTAAAATGAGAACATGTATACTTTCACAAAATTTAATATGGAAACTAAAATTAGCATATAAAGCAGTGAGAAATTAGTAGTAGTTTTCACTCCTTAATAGACTGACTATAAGATTACCCCAAATTATCATCTATTCAAATATATTTAAAATCCAATTTGACTTCTGAAATATAGTTAACCCCCTCTTTCAGGAATAGATCTGTAGTTAAAATATATATATAAATATTTACATTTTTTCTTTGTATTTTTCATTTTTATTTAAATAGAATTAAGGAAGAGAAATAAATCTTAATCATTGAGAATAATTTCCTTTAAACATATCTCATAACTCAATATGAATTCTTTGCTAAATTTAAAAAGAAAAATGAAACAGAAAAAAAGTATACTGAAAGTAGCTAAGCATTCTTTGGATTTTATAAGGCCTTCTCACTCAGGTGTTGTGTAATGCAAAATGTTGCAGAAGTGATAATGCTTAATTTAATTTAGGAATTTCATTTAACATATAAAGATCTTGTGAAAGAATAAAAAAAACTCAGACCCCCAAATCACTAAGCCAAGGCAAATCTGCTTCCTATTTTATTCCTAAGTAAGATAGCTACAAAGATAAAAAAAGCTCCATACCTCCCTCATAATTTGCCAACAGAGAAATTCCTTGTGGGCCTCAAGATCTTAACCACAAAACAGTTGAGTTTCACCCTGGCAATGTAAACTGACAGCTTATCTTCACAGCTACTGGACAGAAAGTCATCCCTCTGCTCACCTGAGACAAATGCACATTCCATTGCTTCCTCTGCCCTACTGTTTATGTAACAATGAGGATTCACTGAGCCAGTCTAAATTGTGCATTTGGTGAAAAGCTGATCAAAGACTCAAAAGAATGCAACATTTTGTGCTTATCTATCTGGAATCCAGAAGCCCCACCAACACCAAACCAATATATATCTTACACATATTTATTATTGTTTCATGTCTTCCTAAAACATAAAAGCAAGTTGTACCCTGATTACCTTGGGTGCATGTCCTCAAGACCCCTGAGGTTGTGTCAGGAGGCATCCTAAACCTTGGCAAAATAAACTCTCCAAATTGATTGAGATCTGTCTCAGATATTTTCAGCTCACAATTTTAAGGCATTTGAAATGTTTCATTTATAACACTTGATTCTAATCATTTTTCCAAAAAGTTACATAGTTGGCCATTCTAAAGATTCTCTGCAAAATACTACTTTTTAAAATATACCACTTGTTTATTCATATTGCTTGGCAATAACCTCAGTTAGGAATATTTCATTTTAATGAAATCCTCCAATAGTTCGTTCAGAGTGGGTCTATGTGTCATAGAGACTTTAAGATTTGTTTGTTCAAAGTGTTTTTCCTTCTTTATACTGTTGAACCACAGTTTAGGCAGATGTCAACTTCAGAGCTGGAGGTGATTTTCCCTTGGTACTTCGACGAACAAGAACACAAGAACACTGCTTCCGATTGTGTGTTAGCCTTGATGAGAAGTTTGATGTCGCCTTCTTCATTGTACTTTTATAATTTGTATGTCTTTTCTCTCAGTTTACATACAAATATACACACTGCAGTTTCACAGTGGTGCGGGTAGATGTGGATTTACATGCAGACTTTTTGTGCACTTTTGAATTTCAAAAAAATTCAAATCCATTATCAATTTTGGGTTGCTTCATTTCTCCATCTCCTCTTTAATCATTTTCTTGATATTATTTTCAACATGCTAAAGTCTTTCAATCGACCCTTCCTGGATATTAACTTCTCTTTCATGTTATATATGTACAGGCTGCGTTCTAAACGAATTTCTTAATGTTATCTTAACCAGAGGTATCACTTAAACTGTGCTCCCTACTAGTTATTCTACCAGTTCAGGGATTTTTCCACCCCTGTTTACTAATTGAATGGTTTTTAATTTTTTTCATTTCTAATAATTCTTTGGGTTCTTTTTCCTACCCTAGTAAGTGCTTCTGTTTAATAATGCCTGTTTCTTCCTCAATGCTATTATTATTATTTTATGCATTTGAGGAAATAAACATAGGTTTGTTTTATTTAATTGCTAATTAATTTTTTTGCCTTGGTTTATTAAAGCAACTAATTATTTACTTGCCTTGTGGGTTTTGGAATTTTATTTTGCAAAATCTTCTTGAGGAGCTGTTTCCTTTGCTTGTCACTCTGTTTCTTTTCCTTCTCTCTCTCTCTTTGACCCTCTCTATCTAGATGTTCTATAGTTTCTTCCAACTAACAATTTTGTCTTCAAATACAAAGATAGTATTTATGCTGGCAGATTGGGGGTAATATTGGCATTAGAAATATAGTTACATGGCCACTTGCCAGAGGGAAGCTTGGCTCGGAACCTGGCCAGAGACTTTGTTTCTTCTGATATTCCCTGCAGATTCCACTCTCCCTGATATGTGCTATAGCCCCTCCTTCTTCTGGAATTAGCTATAGTCTCCCACTCCAGAGACACCATGAACCTTGGCAACTGCCTTTCAGTTTGGGAAACTCTGCCCCAGGCTATTTTCTAGCAGTAAACCTGGAATGGATCTCCAAATTTATAGGAATTACTTCTAGTTCTGTTACCCGTGGATACCAATTCATAGTTGCCTGAAACTTCTTTTCCCTGACCCAAGTAGGAACCAATTTCAATCCTAATTGTTGTTTTTGTCCAATTTCTAGCCCTTGGGGTTGTCTGCTTTATTTTTGCCTGGGTTGTGTCGATATTTTTTCTTTCACATTTTGTCTATCATTGTTATATGTTTTGAAAGGGTCAGGGGATGAAGTAAGTATACTCAAAGTATGAAATTACAATGTTTTCTGTACAAAAGCCTTGAAGATTATAGAATGGGAAAACACCGAAGGTAAATTATTTGATATAATGTTAAAGGTGTTAATGATGATTAAAAAACACTGCCTTTGTGTGGATGGCCGTGCTGTAATGTCCATTGCTCTGGGTCAATTCAAAGATTATGCCATGCGAATCATGTATGAATCTTGTGATACTCTTATATTTATGTCTATTTTACAGGTGAGAAAATTTAGGTGAAGTAAGCAAAGTGACCTGCATAATGTCAAAAAACTGGGAAGCGACAGAACAGAAATTTGGAGATTGACTTGAACCTAAAAGGGACACATTTTGTATAATAACATGCCATCTCCCTAAGTGTTGATTAAAAATTTAAAGATGTATAACTATATTTCAATGAAGAGATCTCTTATTTTGATTTATATGTATATGTAGATATAAATCAAATCTATCATCTATCTAAAATATTCCAGAAATTGTTTCCTAAGCCAAGAAGCTCTCCATTTTGCAAAATGCAATAGCTGAAAAAATGCTTTTAGTTTTACATCTTTTTTTAATGCCTAAAAGTCAAGATTATTAAAATCAAGTCAAAATTAAAATTAAATTATCCTTCATTGTCAGAAAGACTGAGGACTTAATTTTTCTTTTCCTAGCTTGGAATAATTTAGAAAACATTGTAATTAAGAGTTTTTAGAGTTGGCTGAAACTCAACTGTGAACCCATCTGTGGCAGGGACCAACTCACTGCTCAAGAAACTTGTTTCTTTCTCTTGGACACACAGCTGAACTACCATAATTAGCCCCTCATGTGGAGATGTGCTTTACAGTTGAAATGTGAGCTGAGCTGATGGGGTGCTACTGAGGCAGTTTAGAGTGGACATATCTCCCCTAAACACCCTCCTTTTCTGATTCCTGCCTGCTTGATATCTGGGTGAATTCAGCCAATTCTTGGAGAAGAGCCACAAAAGTCTCACCCAATGAGAACATCACAGAATTTACTTAATATACACTTTTTAATCACTGTGGTTTTTAAGGGTGTTGTAGCAGAAAGTATTAATAGTTAGTATATATAACAACTCACATATTCCTAGAATATTTTAAAATGGTAAATATGTCACAATTTTTAAATATTTTATCTAAGATTTTCATTTCTTCTTGATATTTTAATGCAATTTTGCTATGAAAATCACCCATTTTCTGTAGATTTTCTAATGTGTTGCCACAGATTTGCCAACATAATGTATATTAGGTTGGTGTTAGTAATGGCGGTTTTTGCCATTCAAAGGAACAAAAATCTCTAAAGAATACAAGAAAAATGCTCATGAGAGCAAAACTGCAATTACTTTTTGCCATGGCAAAAACCACAATTACTTTTACGGCAACCTAATATTACAAACCCTAAATAATATATTCAAAACAAAACAGTAAGCCAATCTATCTTGTGATTATAGATTTAAAAATTATATTAGAATCTAGAAATACATCGTAAGAGCAATTATTCAATAACCAAGCTGGATTAATTCCAGAAAATCAAAAGTAGTTTGATATATCAGAGAATATAACAATATGCAACAGATGCATTGAATATGACTTGATGGAATTGTAACTTTCTACCTGCCATGGGGTGAGTTGTGTCACCCTCACAAAATTTGTGTGTTGAAATCCTAATCCCCAGTACATCAGATGTGACTGTAATTACAGATAGGCTCTTTAAAGTTAAAATGAGTGGGTCCTCATTCAATATGACTGGTGTCCTTATAGGAAGAGGACAGGCACACAGACACATACAGAAGGAAAAACCACGTGAAGATGCAGAGAGAAGACAGCCATCTACACCCCAAGGAGTGAGGCCACAGAAGAAACCAATCCTGCTGGCATCTTAATCTTGGACTTCTAACCTACAGAACTGTGAAAGAATAAAATTCTGTTATTTAAGCCACCCAGTCTGTGGTACTTTATTATGGCAGTCCTAGAAAACTAATATACTACTCTTCCTTATTTAACATTTATACTTTCAGGGTAATAACTCAGACCAATAATTTAAAATTGGTGACATCATTAACTGTTCTTTTCATTTTTGGATAATAAATGGTTGTACAATCTCTTTAAGTCACAGCATAAAATTTGGATTAAATAATCACCTATTAATTAATATATGAAAACATGAATCAATCTGCTTCAATGCCATTTGAGGCTAAGGCTTACTCTCCTTCTTCTGAATGCCCAGAGTCATAGCTGGCAGATATATTAATCAGTAAAAGGAAATGCAGCCGGCTTCTGCTCCCTCTCTTTTTCACCTGTTTCCTTAGTTTCTAGTTGCAGTTTTGAACATTATTGGAAGAAAGGAGAGAAAACTGGTAAGGTGATAGAATACTTCTGACTTGATTCGATAGATTTCATGCTCTTTGGGTCTGAGAAATGGTTAAAACTGATTTTTCTCTCATGAACATTTTTCTTGTATTCTTTAGAGATTTTTGTTCCTGAGAATCTTTCACCTGAAAGTTTCATGTTATGAATGACATCTTCCATTTTCCAAACCTTTCATTCACTCATGGTCCACATCACATGGGTTCACGATGTCTAAGTCTTTCCTAAACGACTCACAGTTATTTCATAGGATATGACCACATATCTCTTTACCCCAAAAATCTTGAGAATGCAGATTTATCCTAATGCAGTCACCATAACCCGCTATCAAAATAGTGCGTAGTATAGTAATTTTGAGAAACGCTGCATGTTATACTCTTCTTGTTAACTTTACCAATATCTCTCAGCTCATTAGAAGTATTCAGTGGATACACCATACAAAACCTATGTAATTTTTGAACACCCTATCTCAAATGTGTTTATACATGGAAATTATTATATGTTTATCCCTTGTTAATGTCCTGCAGAAACAGCATTCTCTGGTGTAGCAGAGATAGTCAATACATGTATATTTAGGAAAACATTGATTTATAAAATTTGACCTCAACGCATATTCTTTCCTCTATTTTTCACATCTTCTAGAAGCAGTCCATAAATGCAAATTATGTAACGACACAAATTTTCTATTAAGCTCATTCTATAGTGTCTGTTAAGAATTTGCTGCCTGTGGCTGGGTGCAGTGGCTTACGCCTGTATTCCCAGCACTTTGGGAGGTCGAGGTGGAAGAATTACTTGAGGTCAGGAGTTCAAGACCAGCCTGGACAACATGGTGAAACCCTGTCTCTACTAAAAATACAAAAATTAGCTGGGCATGGTGGCGCACCCCTGTAATCCCAGCTACTCAGGAGGCTGAGGCAGGAAAATATCTTGAACCTGGGAGGTGGAGGTTGCAATGAGCTGAGGTTGCACCAATGCACTCCAGCCTGGGCAACAAGAGGAAAATTCCGTCTTAAAAAAAAATGCCGCTTGTATATACTCCACATACATTTTGTGCATGAAGTCAATTGACAACTTATTAATTTTTTTAGTCTCCAAAGAATTCAAAATTTTGATAATTTGAACTATTTTTCAAAAAATACTTGAGATATAATAATTTTAGTTACTAACAGTTATAGTCAATTGTTGAGTTTACCATATTTCAAAATTGAAAGGTGACTTTGAAAGGTACTACCTAAAATAGAGCAAGTTCTTTTGTAGAGTGTCTTTCATTCACTGATTTTCAAATGCTTGTTTTTATTCTCTTTAGGTCTAGCCCTTGCCCTTTTGTCCACCCAGTATGACTTTCTTTTGCTTTTGCTTTTCTCTAGTATGTCTTTTAAGTTCCAATTCAATGAAAAACTAGCCCCAGTTCAGCCTAATCTCTTGACTACATTTTCAAGACAAGGATTCACCATGTTATATACTGCTATTATAATTAATTTCAGTAGCTTCACCTTTGTATGTCTTCCCTACCCTAAAGAAAAGGATACCTACTTTTCCTTCTTTTTTAGGCCACTCAGTAATAATAGTGTTGGAGATAAGTATATGGTAGGCACATAATAATTATTTTCAGGCAGAACCATTATGATAAGTAGGGTAGAGCATCACACTTGGGAGGACATATTCTGGAGTCAGATATCCTGGGTGCTAATTTCAAATATATCTACTAAAGCATGACTTCTAGAAAATTACTTATTACTCTTGTCCTCAAGGAAATGGGAATACCTATAATACAGTCTTATTGAGGAAAATAACTGGAATCATTTAAGCCCAATACTTAGCAAAGTGCTTACTACCCGTGGTTGCTATTATCACTATGCATTACAGGTAGAAACGGTGATTGATGCTGGCATTTCCCACTCGGTGTTTGAATATAAACAAGTTAACTGGCCTCTAGAAAAATGTCAGAGGTAATAATAGACTCAGATGATATTATAAAGCCTACAAAAAATACATACAGCCAACCTTGCCGTGAGAGACTATTAGTGTAATTTGTAAAGTGTCATTAAGAAAGCATCATTGAAAAAGCCACTGTTACAACCATAACATATCATAGAATTGTGTTGCTACTAAAAATGATGAATGAATGATCATTGCAAAAATTACGTAATTTTTATTCTTTCATTAGGCTATTGCAAAATTCATAAAAGTAACATCTCAAACTCACAAAGAAAATATTTTATTAATTACATTGCTTAAATGTATGCTTAAGTAATTGTCTTGTATAGCTGTGTATTAAAACATACTTTTAGTTTCATGAATAAAATTTTAAATCTTGTTTATAATTCAGTATTTAAAATTTTTTTGTCTAAAGGTAAAAATAAAATTGAGAAATGAATAGCATGTGTCCAATATGTGGAAAATCATTCTTTGAATATATCTCATTTATAAATAACCTTATCATTAGTTGGAAATGTATTTTTCTCTTTTGTGTTTATGCTACAAAGAATCAGGATAAATGTGACAAGGGACCAGTTGTGGTAATATGGTAATGAAGACTTGAACAGATGTCAGCATTAATAAGACTCAAATGAAGTGCATGTAATAAATGGTCGACTTCAGCTGCTATGGTGGGCCTGATTTCATTGGTAATGGTGTCTGGAACTGGTTCAATTCTTAATAATAAACAAAGTTTAAATAAGCCTACTGAGAAATTGTAAACTACTAGAATATTTTGCAAGTCAAAACTTCATAGACATCAAAAACTTTCAGAATACACGGATTATTAAAAAGAAAAAAAAAAGGTTAGCTGGGTGTGGTGGCACTTGCCTGTAGTCCCAGCTACTTGAGAAGCTGAGGCACAAGAATCGCTTGGGCCTGGGAGGTAGAGAATGCAGTGAGCTGAGATCTCGCCACTGCACTCCAGCCTGGGTGACAGAGCAAGACTCTTTCAAAAAAATAAATAAATAAAATAAAACAAACAAAAAAATTGCAAAAACAAAATGTCTGATTATAAGAATGCCTTTTATAGTCTAAAACAGAATTTGCTAATCTGTATGTTATCACTTCAGGATAAGACCCTTGGCTTCTCATTTCAGTTCAATGAAAGAGTAAATGCTTACAAAATATTTAAAAGAAAACTTGGTACCATATAAGTGACAAACACATGTCTCTATAACGATAATAACAATAATTATTATTTACTGAACATCTATAGTATCAATTAATGCAAAAGTTTTAACACTGCTCTTCCTTAGGTCCTGCTGTGGATTGAATTCTGTCCCCCTAAAAAGATATGTTGAAGTCTTAATCCCTGGTACCCAAGAATGTAGCTTTATTTGGAAATGGGTTCATTGCAGATACAGTCAGGTTAAGATGAGTTCATACTGAATTATGATGGGCCTTAATTCAATAGGACTACTAGGTTTATAAGAGAAAAATTTGGACACAGACAGACACAGAGACAGTATCCATGTGAAAACGTGACAGAAATTGACCTGATGCTGCCACAAGCCAAGGAACCCCCAGGCCTACCAGAAGCTGGAAGAAGCAAGGAGGCATCACCTTGTAGAGTTATCAGAGGACAATGGTCCTACCATCATTTTAATGTCAAAGTTCTAGACTGCAGAACCCTGAGAAAATACATTTCTATTGTTTTGGGCCTTCTAGTTTGTGGTACTTCCTTATGGCAGCCCTAGCAAACTGATACACGCCCTCCTCCTTTTTTCTCCAAAAGAAGACATATCATAAAATATGTTAGAATTAAGACAAAACAGTATAAAATTACAAACTTAGAAACACTATATCTGACACTTCTCCCACATACAACTTCCCTTCCTCTGCTAAAAATGTGAAGTGGGTCAGCTTCATAGAAGTGTGTGTATGTTGGGGAGGAGGGAGGATAGAAACTGAATTAAGAGTAGCATTCAATGAAAATAGAATACTCTTTAATAATTGCATAGTTTTATATTTTTGTTAGATTATAGTAATACATTTCATCATAATATACTTTATTATTCTGACACAATTCCTTTTTAAGAAGAAATTCGATTATACTATTATTCTGTTGTATTTAGTAATTCAGATAAATAGCTTCCAGAAATCTACTGTAGAACATTACTTTGCCAAAACAGAATTGATTATCTCTCTATGAAAAAATGAGCTTCTAGAATTACATGACTTTGAGCATTTCTAGAATAGTTTACAGGAATATCCTTTGCCAGACATTTCCAATTTAATAGATAGCAATTTTAATGTTATAAAAAGTTAATTCTATAAACTCACATTGCTAGTTCAAGTCCAAATATACCTAAATCCAAACCACTAATACATTTTCTATCTAGTATTTTGCTTTTTAAAATTTCAAAGTTTGAAATAAATATAGTTTAAAAAATATAGTAGAATCTTCTATTTATATGACCAGGTATAATTTATTATCATGGAATTTGCTATGTATCAAATGACCCACAGGCTCTCTTTTCTGATCAAACAGGCAAACAATAAATCTAATTGTCTGAAAGACAACTCAGTACAAAGCTATAATCCTAGGACAACATAATATTCAAAAGTAATAAACATATTGCTTAGCTAAAGAAATTGACAATACTAAGTTAGAAGTATCATTTAATATTGAAATGATTTATGAAATATAATATAGTCATATAGATGCCATATGTTAAATTGCTATAATCCCAAAAGAAAATATATAAAATACATTAGTAGTTTTAAATACTAATGTGCTATATGCACACACACATATATATGTATGAACATATATGGCATATATATGTTGCAAAACTACAAGTTGTAGAGGTGGAGCTTGTTTCTGTTTGGCATGTGAATAACTTTGGACAACGGGATATTAACAAACATGACAGAAGCAGAGGCTGAAATAATGCTCACACAATGGGTCTTGCTTCAGAGAATTATTGCACCACAGTGGATTCAAGCCTGGGCAGTTTCTTAAAGTATGAGAGACCATGAGTTGGAAGGCCCAAGTCTCTCCCCTAAAGCCTCAGACATGTGGGTGAGGCCGTCCTAGGTAACCTAGCTGAACCATCCCAGACCACACACACACACATACACACACAAACACACTCACAGACACACACAGCCAACAGGCTTACTTGTGGAAAATGTGACTAAAATGACTGTTAATTTAAGGCAGCTAGCTAAGTTTTGCCATAGTTTGTTATCCAACAAAACAATTTTTGGTTACATATCAAAATCCTATATTTTTTTATAATATTCAAATATAGGACTTTAAAAAAAGACCAGACCCATTGCATTTCAATGAATTGCTTTACAGAAACCTACAAATCAACTCAATTTTATTAATATTTTGGCAATTATGTTTTGGAGAGGACTGCATGCCAAATTATCACTTCACAAAGAAATGCTCAATAATTCTTCACTTGGTAATAGGTAAGCCTTTTTTGGAACCAAGCCAAATAGAATAATTTATTTAACTTTTATTTACTATCAGAAAATGCATAAGGAATCTTCTCCCTGTCCTAAATGTCCCAATTATAAATTCAAAATATATTTTGTGTTCACACACCTCAAAAAACGAAACAACAGCTAGAAATTTACTGTTACTGGACTGTCTTCTCCAAGTCTTTGGAACCTTGTAGTCCGTAGCGAAGTCAAGTCAACACTGAACACTTACCTCAAAGAGGCATTTCTAGGCCTTCATTCAGAGGGATAATTCACAGCCTAGAAATAGGGTTGGGAGTGGGAGGATCGGGAATGGTGGCATCAGGATAATTATGGCATTTTCATTTTTTCTCAAATACAAATAATGCCACATGTTAATAAACTTTGCATGTTTTCTGTGTACAATTCAAGCTCCTGATAAATCAGAAGCCTATTTACCTAATTATTTTGCTACCAAGAAGTAAGAGCTGCAGACATTGCCATCTCCTCCATGCAGGAGCTTATTTCAATGTTTTGGCCCTCAGTTCAACCCTGCTACTAATTTCTCAGATAATTGTGAAATGGAGGTATAAAGTCAGATTTCATCTTTCTCCATCTTTTATCAATTGAATTAACTCTAAACTTCAAGCATTAGATATTGACTTCAGTAGTGATTTATTTCTTAATCATTAGCTCCGAAACTTTTTTTAAAATAAGTTATTTTGTAAATTTTTGCTCAGGCTGTGTATTAAGCCATATTTATCTTTTTTAAAGCCAATGGTTATATTTTTGCAATTAAAATCTTATTTTGCATTTTGTGCTCATTTCTAGAATTCTGACTGGATCCAGAATAAGCAAACACATTTTTGAGTTTTTAAATATAAGAAATTGTGAAATATGCAAAAGCTTGATTAACTCACTCAAAACATATAAAGTATTGGGCTAATCCAATTCCCTAGGATTAAGGATGAAGAAGCACACATTTTTACCTTGTTTTCCACTAAAAATTTTTAAGATAAGATTTTTATCTTGAAAACTGATATGAAATTTATCAAATATACATGGAAGGAAAGACATTATGTCCATAGCATCCAGATTTCTGTCATTTTATTGAACATTTAAATATATTCCAAGATCCATCACTAGTATTCCTTGAAAGCTTTATAATATCCTTACTAAAGTACAAAACTTTTACTTCTGATTTCTAATTAAGGAGAAATTTTCACCAAATGCTTGGTCCAGCCAACATCCTGATGGAGAAGATCAACTTAAAATTTACAGTAGGTAGTATTTAAGCTTAGAATTTCTCTCCAGTTCATAGGACTCTCAAATTTGCTGGCCATGGCTAGGGTTGATCATGGCCGGTGATTTTGGGTAATTCTATGTGGAGAGGAAATATTTTAGGTAAACCAAAAATCCTCTCTTCAATTTATACGCAAAGTCAAGTTGAATCCATAATTTTCACACATTCTTTAAAGGTGGTTTGGGCCTGATGCAGTGGCTCACACCTGTAATTCCAGCACTTTGGGAGGCCAAGGAGGGTGGATCACCTGAGGTCAGGAGTTCAAGACTAGCATGGTCAACATGGTGAAATCCCGTGTCTACTAAAAATACAAAAAAATTGCCAGGTGTGGTGGCACATGTTTATAATCCCAGCTATTTGGGAGGCTGAGGCATGAGAATCACTTAAACTCTGAAGGCGGAGGTTGCAGTGGGCAGAGATTGTGCCACTGCCCTCCAGCCTGAATGACAGAGTGAGACTCCATCTCAAGGAAAAAAAAAAAAAAAGTGGTTTGGAGTTGTTATCATATGTAGCCTATGTTTGCCTCCATTTAGTTTTAGAAGTCTGAAACCATACCAATCAGTATTAACATTTTTAAGGCAAGGCTGACGACTAGTTTTTAAGGGCATTTCTTGAAAACACAGTGCTATCTTTGTATAAATAAAAGGTTCTCTAAAAAGCAGACCAAATCAAGAGTAAAAATACAGAACAAGTATTTCAATGTAGAATTATTAATGCAACTGCTCCTAAATAATCACGTGTAAATAAATTGGTGAAATACCTCCTATGCCATTTATGAAGGACACCTACAACTAACTAGCATTAACTAAGCAATTAATTCATATAGAGGACACGGATAATGCTCTGTATACACATGGTGATGTAATCCTTGCCTCAGGCCTTGTGGAATCAAATCCATTTCATTTGCTGTTATATTCCAGTGTTTGCCATAGTGCAAACACACAATGATTGGCTGTGGGATACACACTCTAGCAGTATATTAGAGGGACAACTGCTCTAAACAGAGTCTTATAGCAGAGTCAAGAAGGTGATGTTTAACCTAGGACCAGAGGTTTATACAAAAATGGTAGGAAGAAGGAGAGGAAGTATCATGTGAGGAGTATTTAAGAACAAGGGATAGGCCAGGCGCGGTGGCTCATGCCTGTAATCCCAGGACTTTGGGATGCTGAGGCAGGCAGATCACGAGGTCAGGAGTTCGAGACCAGCCTGACCAACATGGTGAAACCCCACCACTACTAAAAATACAAAAATTAGCCGGGCGTGGTGGTGTGCACCCATAATCCCAGCTACTCAGGAGGCTGAGGCAGGAAAATCGCTTGAACCTGGGAGGCAGAGGTTGCAGTGAGCCGAGATCACACTATTGCACTCCAGCCTGGGTGACAGAGCGAGACTCTGTCCCCAACCCCCCCCCCACCCCGCACAAAAAAAAAATAGAACAAGGGAGGGCGATTGCGAAGGTGGAACATCATACAAGTCTGACCCAGAGTTCACTGACTGAGAGAGGACACTGGCAAGACAGGAAGGTGGATAAACAAAGCAGTTCTTATCATCTGAGGCTTTCTCTACCACAAGAAAAGTGTGGACTTCAAGTTAAAAACAATGAGTGCTGTGGTGGGTCGAATAGTGTCTTCTCAAAATTCATGTCGTCCTGGAACATCAGAATGTAACCTTATTTGGAAATAGGGTCTTTGCAGATGTAATAAAGGTAAAGAACTAGATCATGCTGGATTAGTGTAAGCCCTAAATCTAATGGAAGTAGCCTTACAGGAAGAGGAAGAAAGGACACAAACATAGAGAAGAAGCACTTGAAGATGGAGGAAGAGATTACGGTGTTGTGTTTAAAAGACGAGCAATTCCAAGGATGGTTGGCAATGACCAGAAACTAGGACAGAGACATTGGGATGGTTTTTCCCTTGGAACCCCCAAAATGAAATGACCCTGCCAAATCCTTGATTTCGGACTTTTGGCCTCCAGATTTAGGAGAAAATACACTTCTGTTGTGTGAAGTCACCCAGTGTGTGATCATTTATTAAGGCAGCTCTAGGAGACTAATACAGATGCCGCTGAAGTATTTTGGCAAGGGGCATTCCGGCATTAAAAAAAAATGGAAAGGTTAGAATCTTGAGAATAAAAAGTGGAGAGGGAAGATAACAGGCAGAAGAAGACTGCTATAGTAACCTTTAAGATAACTAGTAATAAGGAGTAGAATCAGAAGCTGAGTAAGAAGATCGCACCGGGCTCTTTCTCCTGGAAGGAATTGGAAATGTGTGCACACACTACTGTTCTCACAACTAGGGTATGCTTCAGGCGTCCTAGGACCCAGGATGTTAAAAGCCTCCAATTTCTGGGGAGATTCTGTATAATTAAGAGTTGTCCCACCTGTATTCCCACCCAGAATGAGAAGCCGGGAAAAAAATAGGGAAAGCATCAAGTATCATATATTTGTTCAGAGTACTCAAGGGTTTCATTTGTTATTCTTTTGTTACTTTTAATGGGGGAAAAAAATTCAAATAGGTTGTAACCTAAATGTCACGAAATGAGTATAAATTTAGAAGAGAAAGAAATTGTTCACATTCCTTTGTTATTTTTGTATTACAAAATAAGTGCAATGAAAATGTTAACAGAGGCATGTAAGTATTGCCAAATAATAATAAATGGTTGTCTAATAAATTATAAATTAGACATGAAATGCACCAGCTGATAATTAAAGAACAACCTTTTCAAAGAACTATGACTATTTTCAATATATTTTCTCTGAGAATAACATTTCAAGTAGAACTACATCTACAAAAAAAAAAAAAAAAAACCCATAGGGGGAAGAAAACTACAATCAGGCTCACAAACTTGTTATTGTTGATGTTAAAAGCCAATGACCTAAAGTCTCAACTGGGAAAATAGATGATATATAAGCTGAAAGATGAAGAATTCTTTTTAATGGAAGGCCATGATCCATCGTTTACCACAAAGCCCAAACATGAAACAAGCACACCTGTTGACATTCAACACGGTACTCAACAAGCCCAAGAGCAAACACTTGTTTATAATCTAGCAGCTATTTTATCAAACTGAAAACACATTTTACAATACGGTATCAGTTATGTAAAACTTTCCAGTGTTTAAAGAAGTAACGAGAAAACTTAAGTGGGTAGGGGGTAGTTATTTTGAAATATACTTGGAGGTTTTGATAATGGGATTGTTTCTCATATTCTCAGCTTTCTTTCAAAACTGCTACTTGCAAAGTATTCCTATGTCTATTTCCTTAGAGCTATTTGGAGTATCTTATATTAGGCTATTGTTTTAAAATTTCTTAAATTTTTCAAGAATAATTTCTCAAGATTGCTTATTTTTTAATAATTAATTAAAGTACAACAACAAGAAAAAAATTATAGGAGAAAATAAACAGGTTTGATACACAAAGATCAGAGGTAGACTTCCCAGTGAGGTGACGACTGCTGGAAATAGTAATAACACAATAGAAAGAGCAATGGATTTGGAATCAAGAATTGGGATCAGGGTTCAGCTCTGTTTGTTTTAACCAGGCAAGAAATAAGATAAAACCCCCAAATTCACAACTATAAAATGGAGGTAAAGCCCAATGCAGAGGCTCTCAAAGATAAGACCTTTTAAATATGCTTTACAGGCCCTTCTCCCAACTCCTTCCTCCCTAAGCACCAGCCAGACTTCAGCAGACTATAAATACCAGGCATACATTACATTCCAGATGTTGGAGTCCACTCTGTGACTCTCTGGATCACACTTTCTTATCCAATCAGGCAAATATGACATCCCTACCTGGAGCCCACCTTTAGCGCTCTCCATATTGAATTGCCAAAGCCCATTTATAATGGCCTGTCTGCGGCTATGTCCATCCCCACTCTCATTCACCAAGACTCAATTCTTACAGAAAAACCTTTCTTAATTAACTCCACTTGGCACACTAGAATATCACACCACACAAACTCCAACAAACACTTTCCACATTAAGAACTAGGTCTTAGAAACCTATTCAGCTATAAATTCAGAATGTATATGCTGTGCTGGAGATGCCAGAAGGTAAACTGTCTTCTCCTTCAGTTTAGGATCTCCCCTATGACTAACAGTATAGGAATCTATAATGAAAGGTGTGGTGGTGGTGACAACTTATGTCTAAGATGATCAGGGTTTCCTACTCTCAAAAGTTAAAAAAGAAATCTGTCATAGAAAGATAAGAGATGACACCCTTCTCCCTGATCACCAAGGCTGCTTAAAAGAATAATAAACTCAAGATTGCTTTTTAAAAGCAAGCTTACAATAGTTCTGACCAATAAGAAAAAATAAAGTTGAACCATCCTTATTTGGTTTTAGACATATGAATTCTACCACTCAGTTTAGACCATTAGTCTTATACATGAAAGTAAACGAAAGGGTAAATAAATACATTCCCTCTTTTTCTCTGAACTTATTCCTGAACACCATTCCCTCACTTGTGTAAGGCAAATACAATTTTATTTCTTTTTAGATAGAAAAAATAAGAATTGTTAAGTCAGCTAGCTTTTTATAGGTGTAATTCATATGGTATTATCCCATTGACTCTTCTTCTTCTTTTTTTTTTTTTTTCTGAGACGGAGTCTCGCTCTGTCGCCCAGGCTGGAGTGCAGTGGTGCGATCTCGGCTCACTGCAAGCTCTGCTTCCCAGGTTCATGCCATTCTCCTGCCTCAGCCTACCAAGTAGCTGGGATTACAGGTGCCCACCACCTCGCCTGGCTAATTTTTTGTATTTTTAGTAGAGACGGGGTTTCACTGTATTAGCCAGGATGGTCTCGATCTCCTGACCTTGTGATCCGCCCGCCTCGGTTTCCCAAAGTGCTGGGATTACAGGCGTGAGCCACTGCCCCCAGCCCCCATTGACTCTTCTTTTGAGTAATAGGTCTTTCTGGATTCTGGATTATAAAATATATTTATCACTTCATATCCACTATTGTGTTGTTAGAGGATACTTTCTGGCTCCATATTCTACATTTATTTGGCATACTAATGATCAAAATGCAAGGTGAGCTTCTTTACCCTATTTAGTTCAATTTGATTCAACAAATATTTATGGGAAAACTATTATTAGAGGTGCCTAATACAAATACAACAAAGTAAAACGGAAGCCCTTTCTCAAAAGGATTGCATTCTAAGGCAGAATGGTAACTGTTATAGTTTGGACTCCCCAGGCAGTAGGCATTTACATAGAGATTTGTCAGCAGGAAATTTATTAAAAAGAAAGGAAAAAGCAGGACTGTGATGTAGTCACAACAAAGACATCACTGAAATCCATGAGAAGGTCTGAAGCTCAGATGACCATCAGAACTGTCCCAATTTTGGGGGAGAGGCTGAGCCTTAGTGTCCCTTCAGTGGCCAGCCAATCAGTATGGGCTGCCTCTGCGAAAGAGGAATGGTGTTGGGCAAGGAAGCTTTGCTTGTCCAAGGTCGACCGCCAGAACAGACAGTACTGTGGCACCTACAGCAGATGGAAAAACAAGTCCTTCAGCCCTGAAAGGGGATCTAGGTGCTGCTTCATAGCCACCACTAGACCAACTGTTCAACTTTATGTAAGTTAAAGTGTTCTTAGAGAATAACATAAATGAAAGAAAATACAATATAATCATATGATAGACAATAACAGGTGAAAGATGATGGGAATATGAAAATGGGGTATGTTCGGGGAACAAGAAATGCAACTTTTAAAACCAGGCTGGAGCCATATAATGAAAAGTTTTTAATTTCTTGGTGAGAATCTATACTTAATTGGACAAAATGGGATGAAACAATATAATTAAAAAGCTTTTGATTCCTTGGTGTTAGTCTATACCTAACTGGAAGACACTGAAACATTCTGATAGAAATGTAATAATAGATTGTTTGCTTTGGAAATATTAGCCTAATAAAAGTATATTGAATGAACTTCAGAGGAATAAAAAGATGACAATTTCAAGAACCACTAGGAGTCTGAGATTTGAGGTTCTATCCTACTTAGAAACTAACAAGTTACTCTGCCACAGTTTCAATGATACCAGCAGAAAACATAGGACTCCTGGGGCAGAGGAAAAAAAAAAAAGTATTGCTTACAGCAACAGCAGTAATCAGTATTATTATTTGTGCCAGTTCTCAGAGCCAAAATTTCCACTGGGCAGTGAGAAAAGAATCAAGTGACACCAGAACATGCAATGGATTACATTACAAGACAGGATACCCACACTGAGGAAGCTTGATTCTTTTATAATATAATGGGCATAAACTTGCCTTCCTTTGCCTTGGAGGAAGACATTATCTTTATTATGCTGGAGCAAGATTCTATCTCTATCTTCCAAGACTCTTTTCTATAAAACATCTTCAATAAAATAGTCCATAAAAAGGGCCTTCAGTGCTTCTGCTCTCAAGATGTGCAGAAATATAAGAAACCCACGGATAATTCACTCCTAACATATAGGCCTTTTATTCTCTCTCTTCCTGTATAGCAATACTGTTGTATTTAGTTTGTAATGTCGTTATGTTAATATGGTTCCTTGAATGCTATTGGTGCTAAAGCTGGGTTATCAAGATGAAACCAGATCCTGTTTAAGTAAGCGATTTACATTTAGGTTACCATCACTCCTTAGGGTTAATTGAAATCATATCCTTAACTTTCTACTTCATATAGAGAACTAAATAATTAGTTTAAAAATGACATTACCCTATAGTTAAATTGGTATATACATAAACAGTTTACCTTATTCACACACCACTTTTTAAACCTAATTTCTTTTTGGATATTCCACTCTTTAAATAACACTCTTTAAATTCCACTCTTTAAGCAAATTCCACTCTTTAAATAACTATATAGCTTTTCTTTATACTCTGAAAGTATAACTGAGAAAGGCTCAGACCTTTTTCTATAATCCTTCTATAAATATATGGATATGTAAACTTACATTGCATTGAAAAATATACAGATCAGAAAGTCCAATGACCTGGGTGTACTCCTAGCTACATCATTTGCTGTGCCGTTGGACATACCAAACATTAATGGCACAAATAAAATGAGAGTTTCACTCCTTTTGATTTCTAGCATCTTTCCCAAATTTACTATACTATGATCCTATAAATTAGAGCACAGTACTAAAAATGATGCACTTCTTAGATTGTATTTACCAATTATGTTTCTCTTTAAAAAAAAAAAAAAAAGTAGGTTGGGCGCAGTGGCTCACACCAGAAATCCCAGCACTTTGGGAGGCCAAGGTGGGCGGATCACAAGGTCAAGAGATTGAGACCATCCTGGCCAACATAGTGAAACCCCGTCTCTATTAAAAATACAAAAATTAGCTGGGCATGGTGGTGCACACCTATAGTCCCAGCTATCTGAGAAGCTGGGGCAGGACAGTCGCTTGAACCCGGAGGTTTCAAGGTTGTAGTGAGCTGAGATTGAGCCACTGCACTCTTGCCTGGCGACAGAGCGAGACATCATCTCACAAAAAAAAAAAAAAAAAAGTAAAAGCAAGCTTATTAAGAAAGTAAAGGAATAAATAATGGCTACTCCATACGCAATGCAGCTACAAGGGCTGCTGTTTGGCTATTTTTATGGTTATTTCTTGATTATTTGGTAAACAAGGGGTGGATTATTCATGAGTTTTCCAGGAAAGGAGTGGGCAATTCCCAGAACTGTGGGTTCCTCCCCTTTTTAGACCAAACATATAGGGTAACTTCCTAATGTTGCCGTGACATTTGTAAACTGTCATGGCGCTGGTAGGAGTGTCTTTTAGCATGCTAATGAATTATAATTAGTCGATAATGAGTAATGAGGACGACCAGAGGTCACTTTCATTGCCATCTGGGTTTTGGCTGGCTGTTTTACTGCATCCTGTTTTATCAGCCATGTCTTTGTGACCTGTATCTTGTGCGGATCTCCTATCTCATTTGGTGACTAAGAATGCCTAACCTCCTGGGAATGCAGCCCGGTAGGTCTCAGCCTCATTTTACCCAGCCCTTATTCAAGATGGAGTTGATCTTGTTCAAATGCTTCTGACATATTTCTCTCCTTCCTTTTACAAGGGAACCTTTAATCCAAAGGGTTAGAGACAAATAATGATCCATCTTCTGTAACTTCTTCAGGTTGGATAGGGGCGATGATATTCCTGCCTAACTATTAGGGTGTCTTGTATTCACAGTAGAGAGGAACTCAGTCAGAAAGCATGGGTATGTCAAAGTCCCCTCATAACTTTTGCGTTCTGACAAAAGGTTATATATGGAAGATTAATAAGTGTTCGATTTAAGAGTACATTGAGTAAGCTTATCTTTCATTGTAAACATAGAGTACAACAGCAATATATTCCACAAGAGTGAAGCAAAATAAGTAAATCTATCCTGAGTAAACTAATTAAGAAGGCTTTCTATGAACTGGGCAACTGTTGGAACCAAGCTGATAGGGTTGCTAGCTGGTTCCAATATGTGCTCACAATTAGAATATTGATCCAGATTTTTACATTACCCATCCCCCTTGTTTCTTCTGAGCAGCAGCTAGAGACCACTGGTTGGTTTTACAGGAATAAGCACGTTAGCCTAAATTGTAGAAAAAACTCAAAAACAACTGATGAAACTGAAATCTAATAACAGGTGTACCATAGTTTTGAAACATAATTTATTTCTTCAGTTTCCCATTTATACTAAAAACAAATCATAAGACTGATTTGCTTTATTATAGTTGGCCTGATTATTTGTATAAAGTGCAGCAAGAATAATTATTTGCTACGTAGGGTTTTTTTAATTGGTGTTGATGGAACTTTGTCCCATAGAAGGAATCTCAAATAAGACTTTTTTGTTTTTTAAAGTCTAACTCAGCCATGGGTTTGTACCATCAAATACCTATGAGTTGGGTAAATTCTTCTCCTCTTGAGGCCCTGAGAGAACTTGTGGCTCCTGGGCCTGTCAGAATGTGATATTCTTTACTTTCCACAGGTCAGGAACCCTGTACAGGGACTGTTAGACAAGGTATGAAGACAGTTTACCCAAGGGGCTTTTGTTGGCTCTATAAGTCAAATCTGATTTATTAAAAGAAAGTATGCCATTTCAGTCAATTCCCTGGTAAAATAAACAGACTTTGGGACACAATTGGAGAATTGGTGCTACCATCTTTTTCCTTTGTGCCAGGGGTATCCTCAGTATTTTCCTTTTGTGGTTTTCCAGGAAGATGTTACTGGAAAGGAGTCCCAACCCAGACCTCAAGAGTGGCTTCTTGGATCTCTCACAAGAAAGAATCTGGGGAGAGTCCACAGAGTAATGTGAAAGCAAGTTTATTAAGAAAGAATAAAGGAATAAAGAATGGCTACTCTGTGGGCAGAGTAGCCTTGTGTTTCTCTTAATAATTTCTCTAGTGACAATGAAAGAGACTAAAGCAACTAGATTCACACCACCAGCTTAATGCATCTAGACCTTAGGTGCTCCCATCAGTTGTAATAGTTCAACACCAGATTGTCACATTTTCCTGAGGTGCTTGTTATTTACCTTCCTAGTAAGGTTCTAAAAATCCTGCTGGTATACAACATTGACTTTTTTTTTTTTTTTTTTTTTTAAATAAAGACAGTCATTTCTCTGAGTTTTTTTAAAAAAATTTATATATACATTTTATTTGTTTTAAAACAGAAGCCATTTACTTAAATTGCTCATTGAAAAGCTATCCTGGCAGGGCGTGGTGGCTCACACCTGTAATCCTAGCACTTTGGGAGGCTGAGGTGGGTGGATTGCCTGAGATCAGGAGTTCGAGACCAGCCTGGGGAACACAGTGAAACCCTGTCTCCATTAAACATATACAAAAATTCACTGAGCATGGTGGCATGTGCCTGTAAAACCCTGTTACTCGGGAGGCTGAGACAGGAGAATCACTTGAACCTGGGAGGCAGAGGTTGCAGTGAGCCGAGATCATGCCATTGCACTCTAGCCTGGGCAACAGAGTAAGACTCCATCTCCAAAAAAAATAAGAGAAAAAAAGAAAAGCTGTCCTATTTTAACTCACCATATCCCTCATTAATTTGTTTTGGTAAAATTTGACTCTAATATTGTGTCCCTGATGTTAGAGGCAGTGCTGTAAAGAGTAGCCAAATTCAATAAACAGAAGCTATAGATTAGAAAGCTATGACAGCTGAAGAAAGACACCTACAATCTGTACCTGTAGTTTCCCTTTGCATACACAGTGATAATCTGTCCTCACTTTTTAGTTAAACCTATAATGAGTAGAGTAAGAAGTGATTAGACAACTAAATTGTTCAGATATGTTCTCCATTGGAAAATAAATAAGTTTATTTTGTGGTTGCTTTACTTGCTTTCTATTCTTTTTAAGCTCTGACTAAAAAATATGAAATATGAAGGTCTTCTAAAATGGCCTTTGGTTTTTTCATTGTTGAGTGTGGATAAAGGGAGATTATTTCTATTTGCTTCAGGCAAACATGTCACTCATTTCCACTTAAATGCTGGTATCATCACGTAGAACAACTGCTTTTGTCAGGCAGATATTTTGAGCTCACATTGCCAATTGCTCTATAGGATCCAGTCATTCTCATAAACAGATTTCTCTTTCTTTACATAGGGTCTCCCTGTGTTGCCCAGGATGGTCTGGAACACCTGGGTTCAAGGATTTCTCCTGCCTCAGCCTCCTGAGTAGCTGGGACCACAGACATGTGCCACTATGCTCAGCTCTGAGTAAGTATGTATATACAAATTCTAAAAGAAGACACCCCAGCGCCCCTAAAAATATTTATTCTGCAGAGAAGTTATATTCACTAAAATTGGTATAACTCTAATGGAACACTAAACAATTTAACAAATATTAGAATTATTCTACAGAACTCTATTTTAAAGTTGCCCAAATTGTAATAGCTCTATCGGCTGATAAATTTCTAAGATGATGAGATCTTTTAAATTCCATGGCTCAGACTTAGTATCTTACCTAAGAGAACATTGCCTAATGATTAATTCACAAAAATGTTTACATTCATAAGGCAACAATTTCTCAACTGCATTATATTGTTTTCAAAAAAAAATTCCTGCATTTCAGACTCTAGTTCCCTTAGAATTACATATTTTGTAATGGTACAATGTGATAGTCTTTCTAATTGGTTAAACGTAACAAGCCGTCAACTATAAAGTTCTTCCTTACTACAAATATAAAAAGTTTTACTTACTAAGTTGAACACAGAATTCTAGGTTCAGCCTAATTATTGCATATTTCTCAGGCTAAAGCATGTTTTACAATATTCATTTCCTTTAAGTTTATTTCAGAAGGTATGGATGGAAGAAAGATTACAAGTTTCTCTAATAAAGAAAAAATATTTTATTATAAGATACTTTTTGACATTTCATTTAACAAGCATGGTGTACATTTATTAAAATGTTAAAGATAATAGATTTTCTTTTAAAAACTGAATATAAAATCACAACATATATTTGAGTCAAAGAAATATAAATAATGGGCTATGTAATGACTGTAGAAAACTGATGTTTATCAATGCATTACATTTTTCACATCTGTTTTCAGAATTTATTTTTCAATCACAAAGAGGAAGATTAATTGCAATTATGTGATTGATCATAGTTGATATGGGAGTAATGTAAAGTTTGTAAATATCTAGGATATTCAGTTAAAAAAGTATTTATATTTAACATTGACAGTGAATTGTGACCATTGAAATTGTACAAAATTCATTTATCTGATAACAGTAAAGACCTAATATGATTATTTTCAATATTTTGTGAACTTCTTCTCATAGAAATGACTCTCTTTCCTAATTTTTAAAATATACTTATTGATACATGTTAAAAAAACAAAAATTTTCCCATTTGTAAACATTTTCCTTCAATGCATATTCCGTCCACCCTGAAAGCATTAGCTTAGTTTTCATGTGATATCTTCCATAGTTTTAATATAGAAAAAGACTTGTGTATTTGTTCAGCTGTTTATGCATTAAGTCATGGTTTTATGGATGATATTTTGTTGCATTCTTACAATCAGCCTTCAATATCTGTGGATATCACACAAAAGATTATATTTTCAAATCAGACTTGGGTGTATCAGAGATTTTAGTGAAGTTCAATTATTACCAATAATTTCAAGGATATCAGTAATCACTAGGAAGAGGTAAAGCAGTGAGAGGTTTCAAACTGTCTAACGTATATGTACATTTTCATTCTTACTGCATTAGAATGTGCTCTAGATTAACATGTGAGGCCATATTACTTACACAAAGGTGCTTTTCTGATCATAAAACATAAACGTTTTACATGCAGGTTCATTATTTATGCTGTCTTTTGTCCATTGATCCCCAGTTATCACAAGCAATTCAACCTAAGTGCATCCAGCAAAATGGATACCTTAGGTTAGGATTCCCGCTAGAAAATACCATTTTTTTTGTCAAATATGTTAGCATACTCACGAGGACATCTGAACAGGTCAGTTACTTACTTTCTTCCCAAAGACATTCCCTATTCTAAAGGGAGAGAATGGATTGTACACCTGCTCTTTACCTGTTGACTTCTTATGAGTCAGATAGGTCATTTCAGTGTTAGCTAATGAAGGGCAAGACTAAGGTAGACAGAGGTTAAGATAAATTAAAGAGTTAGAATTCCTAATTAATATATTCTTAAAATGCCGCAATGCGTTGATAACTAGACAACAGTTTTCTGGTCAGAGTTGTGAAAACTGGAAAAGTAAATACTGTTCCTCCACGCATTTAATGAAGGTGACACCATCTCCTCATATTTCTGTTTCTTCCTTTTTCATAGATGTCAGCAGCAAGGTTGGCTGTCCATAAATTTTAGTTTCTAAAACACAGAGCGCAGCCTTTACCAGGGACCAAAGTGAGTAATGTTTCCTTGGGTTTTAAAGCTTCCCAGTGTGGACTATAAAACTACAATTATAAATATATGCTTTTATAGCAACTTATTTTTTGACAATTGCTTAGGGAATAACCCACATTGTAAAAGCAGCAGCATATTTTGCTATTCATTCATGTTATTAATTTAACATGATTTAATTAACGTTTATAAAGTTCCTACATATCTGTCACTACACTAAGCCATAAATCTACAGAAATTAGAGGTTAGACCTTGTCTGTTCAGTAAAGTCAGAGATGGCCTTCCTGAGAAAACTACTTTTAACAGACCTGAAGGATGTGCAGGATTTAGGTACACTACAAAGTAGAAAGAACATTCCCCGCAGTGAGGCCATCATGTGGCAAGACCTTAAGTCCTGAGCTGGGACGATGCCCACTGTATTTGAAGACCTAAGAAAGGTAAGGATAGTTAGGTCAGAGTGACTGCTAAACAGCAAGGCAGGATGTGAGATTTCAGAGTAGGCAGTTTCTACAACTCGGAAGGCTGGCTCTCTGATGAGAAATGAGAGTGGGTGAAGTGGTAATATTTGAACAGAGAGCTACATAAAGTAAGAGAATGAGTCACGCAAAGGAATAGGAGAGATGCATTCCAGAAGAAGAGAATGAAAAAAGCAAAGGGTCTAAAGTAGAAAGTTTGGCATTTGAGAGAAACAACAATAAAGTCAATGCATATTTATTTATGTTGTAATAGTTTTGCAACTGATAAAGAATTTAATTTTAAAAATGATAATAAAACAATGAATATTTGTATGAAAGGTGAATATTAACATAAACAATTCACAAAAGAAGAAATATGAAATTATCATTAGTGATCAAAAATGAAAATTTAAAAAGCCAAAAATGAGTTTTGCTAAACGTATTGGCAGCAACACAATTGATTGTACTTGATCTTGATAAAGATGTGTACAAGGATGGTTTTTATCAACCCTGTCATATACAAAGAAGTTCCTCTTATTTATTTAAATAATTCTAGGAATTTATCCTTAGGAAATAATTGGGTAATTCCACAAAGATATATGTCTAGGGAGTATACTATATCATTTAAAAATAATTTTGAAGTACTAATAAATGGCTGGGTACAGTGGATCACACCTGTAATCCCTGCACTTTGGAAGGTTGAGAGTGGGCAGATTGGTTTAGCCTCGCCGTTCAAGACAATCCTGGGCAACATAGTAAAATGCTGTCTCTACAAAAAATACAGAATAAATTAGCCAGGTGTGGTGGCGCATGCCTGTAGTCCCGCTACTCTGGAGACTGTGGCGGGAGGATCACTTGAGCCCCAGAGTTTCAGGCTGCAGTGAGCCATAATTGCACCACTGTACTTCAGCCTGGGTGACAGGTGACAGAATGAGGCCCTGTCCCACACACACACACACAAATTAGTAAGTAACAAATATTTATTAAAAAGAACATAAATACTGTTTTATACCAAAAACTATAATACTTTGCAGCTAATAAAACAAAATATGTACTTTTAACTAATTGCATAAGGAAAAGCTTCAATGTCTTTTTGGGGGAAAGCAAGTTAAGAGTATGTTGAATTTAACAGTTTAATGGTAACATGTTATATATATGTAACATGCTGCCATTTATATATATATATACACACACGTATACACACACAGCCTTTTGTAGATCTGAGTTCTGCATGTGGAGATTCAACCTATTATTGATAAAAATATATTTTAAAAAATTTGCATCTGTACTAAACATGTACCAACATTTTTTTCTTGTCATTATTCTCTGAACGATACAGTATAACAACGATTTACATAGAATTTACATCGCATTAGGTATTTTAAGTAATCTAGAGATGATTTAAAGTATACAGGAAGATGTGCATAGGTTATATGCAAACAATATACCTTTTATTTTGGGAACTTCAGCATCCTTAGATTTTGGCATGCATGAGAGGGCAGGGGAGTCCTGGAGCCAATCTTTCATGAATATCGGGGGTCAACTGTATGTGTGTGTGTAAACATATATATATATAGATAGATAGATAGATATATTTCATTCGTATTATATATTTTATACAAATAAAAAGGTGTATATATATTATATGAATAAAAATGGTTTTAAAGAGCATTTGCTAAGAATTTCAGTATTGTACTTCGGTGGTGGAATTAGAGACCAAAGAAAGTTTCTTTTGTATGCTTTATTTTTGTTTTTGTTTCTTGCAATGTAAATAAAAGAAAATCACTCAAATTGTGAACTATTTCTTTTACACAAGAGGTCCTCAGCCTTACATTGACTGTCAATTTACTTTATATTCAGTTGTTTACATCATTAAGTAATCAGATATTTTAAGACTTCTGTATTAGTTCATTCTCACACTGCTGTAAAGAAATACCTGAGACTGGGCAATTTATTTTTAAAAAGAGGTTTAACTGGCTCACAGTTCAGCAGGCTTTACAGGAAGCAGGGCTGGGGAGGCCTCAGTAAACTTACAACCATAGTAGAAGGCAAAAGGGAAGCAGGCACTCCTTACATGGCCAGAGCAGGAGGAAGAGAGACAACTGGAAAGTGCTGCACACTTTTAAACAACCAGGTCTTGTGAGAACTCACTCACTGTCAAGAGAGAAGAGAGGGGGAAGTTCACACCCATGATTTAATCACCTCTCACCATGCCCCTCCACCAACATTGGGGATTACAATTCGACAAGAGATTTGGGCAGGGACCCAAATCCAAACCATATCAACTTCTAAAATAATGTTTAATTGATTGTCTAATTTCCCAATACTTATTCAGATTATTTTAATGAATATTTAGAAATATTGTTTCACAAATATGTATGTACTTATCTATAATCTCTTCCCCACTTCTCCCTTGTGTATTTCTTAATTTTGCATATTTTAACTTTGCATGAATCAGAAGCATCTGTATTCTTACGTAATTTGCAGTATTTGTTGAAGATGACTTTTGTGAACTAAATTTAATTTACTTTTATTGCTACATAATTGTTCATTGTATAACTATACAACACAAGCTAGTCCTCATTTTCTTATAAGTAGGCATCATGATTATGTGTTTTTATATGCTACAAAAATGTTTTTTTGAAACTTCTATTGGACTTTTTCTATTACATAGTGCAAGAATTGCTCTGGAGCAGTGTATTTCAAATCATAAATCACAACTCTTCATTGGCATGAAATCAACCCAATGAGTTATGAATAGAATTTTTAAACATAATTGATAGAATACAAAATGACAGAGTGCCATTCACAAAATAAGGCTACATAAATTTTAATTACATTTTTCTTATTTTTTTAGCGTATGTGCTTCAATCAAATGAAGTTTGAAAACCACTCCTCACATTATATTTGTGAGTAGATTTTCTGGTCCATAAGGTTTGCACATCAACCTTACTAGACAGTGATCATTTCTTGAACATTGTTATGCCAGTTAATATGTATACCAGAAACCCATAATAAGATTTGTTTAAATTTTTCCATTGTAATGACTTTTAAAATGTATTCCTCACCAATTGTTAATGAGGTATTCTTCTTATGTTTATTGTCTATTTCTGTTTGATTTTCTTAAAAATAAATCCCCATGCCTTTACTGTCTCTTGGGCTATTTCTCAATTATCTGTGGAATATAAAAATATATACTCTTGATATTCATTATTTAGCAGTTATTTGTGTCATTGGCTTGTATTTGTCCTCCATGTATGTTGCTTTTTCATACAATTATACTCAATTTTAATGTAAAGCTGCAAATTCTATTTCTAGGAGATTCTTTCCAAAACTAAAGTGAATTTCTCCTAAAGATTGAATGTCTTGTATTTAGGTCTGTAATTTTCTTTAAGGAGTTTTAATATATGCTATAAGGTAAAAATAAACTTCCATATTGATAATTAAAATCCAAGATCACTTATTGAATGTTTCATCTCTTTTTCACCTATTTGCAATGCCAATTCTGATCAATGAATTTTCAACACATAAGGGGTTCTGTTTCTTAGCTGATTGTTGTATTGATCTGTTTTTCTACTCCAGATCCAATAGCATGTGGACTGAAAGTAGTAAGTCTTAATATCTGTCATTCAAGTCTTTATACTGCTGCTAATTTTCCTTCTGTATCTTGGCTCTTCCTGACTCTTTTTTCTTACACACACACACACACACACACACACACACACACACACACGTGCGCATGCGCACACCATTTTAATTTTGATTAGAATTCTATTGAATTTATGATTAATTTGGGGTAACCGACTATGCTGTTTCACTATCCATAATTTTTTAGCCCTTTTTTTCATTGCCTTTCAGTAAAGTATACTTTTCAACATTATGTCCTTACGCCTCTTTGAATAATTTGGCCCCTAGTTATCTTGTGTTTAATTTTCATTGTAAATGCTAACTTTCTAAAAATATATTTTCTTTTTGATGCTGTGATTTAAAATAGCTAACTTGCTAAATGATGTTATTAATTCTAGCATTTAATTTTTAGATTTTTCTCATTATTGATGAATAATTTCAAGCTCTTTTCCTTTCTTTTCAAGGTTTATATATTTATTACTTTCTAAAGCTAATTAAATCACTATAACCCAAAGGTACAGGATTTTGAAAAAAGTGATTATAGTGCATATCATGATTACAAAAGAAATGATCCTTATTTTTACTCATTAGATCAGGCATTCACCATAGATTTAGTGTAGCTCTCCTATGTTAGAATTACAGTTATATTTTTAGTTTGCTAAAAGCTATTATCATAAGAGATTTTAAATTTTATCAAATGTTTTTTCTTTCCATTGAAATGATCATGTAATTTTGCTACTTCAATTTGAATTTATTAAATGATTTCAAATGTTAAACAGCATCCCTAAAAAATTGAACTTGATAATAAGTCATTGAAATTTTTACACATCACTAAATTCAGAAACATCAATATATATAGGCTTTTGCATTTAATTTAATAGTTGAGATTGGTTTATAATTTTTTTCTCATATTGTATATATTGAAATTTTCTATTTTTTAAAACCATTTGAATAAGAAGGAGAAGTACTTGTTGCTTGAATATTTAGTGAAATTTTCAAAACAGTGCTTTAGGAAAATTTTGGATTCACAATTCCATGTACTTTATGCTTATGGGGCCGTTTCTATTTTCAATCTCTTTTTGACTCCGTTTTAATCAGTGATATACTTCCATAAACAAAGCCTGGTCAATTGCCTTTAAATTTATTGACATATGTGTTTTCAAATATATTTATCTCCATTAATATCCCTGCACCATCTGCACTAGTTTATCTCCATTCCAATACTTTTACTTGATCAATTTTGCAAACTCTTTAAATTAGTTACTTTATTTCAAAGAATGGTTTTTTTGTTACTCTATTACACTTTGTATTCTATTTCATTAATTGCTGACTTTATACTCATTATTTCTTTCCAAACTTTCATTTTTAAAATATTTTACTAGTTTATTGGGCATGTAACTCTGGGATACATTGCTCAATAATGTGCTACTTATTTCTGTAAGAGTTCAGGTTACAAACTAGCTTCTAAATTATTGCTATAGCTTTATCCCTCAAGTTTTGATATGTTATTAAAGTTCTATACTATTAGTAGAAGTGTATAATTTAGCGTAATTTCTTGATTCCGTAGTAATTCAAAAGTGTTTTAAATATTTTCCAGCAATTTTTTCCGCAGATTTCTTACTTAATTCCAGTTTTTAAAAATTGAATGTGTTCTGAAAGATATTATCTATTTGACATTTTGAAATTAGTATCCATTGTGTAGCACAAGTAATTTTTAAAAGTGCTTAATTATATATTATCTGTTGTGTGTATGTGAGTGCACAATGTTTTACTTATGTCCAATATATAAAAGTGTTAATATTTTTTAGTATTTTAAATTTTTACTCGTGATTTTTATAATCTCTTACTTGCTGAGAACTATTTGCTAAAATCTCCCATTTTTGTTGCATTCATTAATTTCTCCTTGCAGTTAAGTAAAAGGTGATATAGCATAATTGAAAACATTTTATCATGTACATTGCATAACATACAAACATTACAATATTTATAAGCATTATAATACTTACATATTTCTAGCTTGTTTAAAGTTATATTATTATGGAGTCAATTTTATCCTCTCTAGTAATACTTTTTGCCCCAATGTCTATTTGCCAAATATTAATATTTAGAAAATAATTCTTTCTTCTGTTATTTTTTTAGCAACTTCTTTTCTTCCTTTTTCTTTCAACCTTTCTATTTCTCATGTTTAATTGTATCTGTCATATACAACACACACCTGGAATGTTTTTAAGTCTAATATGACAATCTGTTCCTTCAAATAGTGTGTTTATTCCTGGTACATTTATTAAATAGACTGATACACTTGGATATGTTTCTATAACTTAATTTTATACTTTCCATGTGTCCTGCTTTTTCTAGGTTACTTCTCTGTTTCTTTTTTCTTGATGTATTTTATATTTTTCTTCCTTTTTTACATTTCATTCTCTCTATCAGTTTTAAATTCTGTACACCCATTCCATAATTTAATGTGCGTCTTAGAAATAATAACATAGGTAATCATCTCAGCAAGTCTAAAATAATTTGTGTATTGTCTTCTCCTTAAAATGATTTTACTGGCTGGGCGTTGTGGCTCACACATGTAATCCCAGCACTCTGGGAGGCCGAGGCGGGCGGATCACAAGGTCAGGGGATCGAGACCAGCCTGGCTGACATGGTGAAACCCCTTCTCTACTAAAAATACAAAAATTAGCCTGGCGTGGTGGTGCCCGCCTGTAGTCCCAGCTACTCGGGAGGCTGAGGCAGGAGAATCGCTTGAACCTGGGGGCAGAGGTTGCAGTGAGCCAAGATCGAGCCACTGCACTCCAGTCTGGGCAACAGAGCAAGACTTCATCTCAAAAAAAAAAAAAAAAGAAAAGAAAAGATTTTACTTTGCTCACCCACCTATCTGTGTCCAGTATTTCAGTTCTTTATTAACTCCACAAACTTCATCCTATTGTTGATTTATAAGGTTGATGTTTTCTCTTTTTTAACCTACGTTAACTAATTTTTTGCTCTCTCTTCCTTGTTATGATTCAGACCTTCCCTTCCCTATTACCCTAAGTACATTCCTTATCATTTTTGAGTGAATTTCTCTTGTTTCTTTGATCTGTTATTAAAATGCCTTTATCTTGAATTTATGCTTCAATGATATTTTTGACAAGTATACAATTCTAAGTTGACTGTTATTAAGTTATGACAAAGACAATATTCCAATCAATTCTAGATTCTATTTTTAGTAATGAGGAATCAGCTCTCAGTCTAACTATTGTTTCTTTGCAAAGAATACCTATTTTCTCGCCAGGGCTATTCTCAGATCTTTGGTACTCTGTTTTGCAACTCTGATGGTTCTACTGGATGGCATTTAATTTTTCCAACTGGAGATTTATTTTGAATGGGTGGAATTTACATCTTTCATCACTTATCTCTTTTAATATTGTCCCCGCCCAAACCTCCTTTTTAAAATCTTTTTACAACTAGGTTGCCTTATGTATCTCTTAGCCTCTCTTTTACGCATTCTACCATTTTATCCCTCCACACTTCTTTCAGAATCATTTTATATAAAATTTCTATTTCATTTACTGTCTTTCTTCACCAATTTCATATCAACTACTTAACTTACTCATTGTGTGATTCATTAATTATTATATTTTTTCTCTGCTGTCATTTTTATAATATATTTTTACTTAGTCTTGCTTTTGACACTTTTTATTCTAGTAGGTGCATTCATCTACTTATTCTGTAATTTGAATCTGAGAATTTCAATATCTGCAATACTTTCCACCTCAATCTACTTTCTGCCCCTCACCTTCACCCTCTTTTATACATTACGCTTTTTTCCCCTCTCAGGTTTTGTGATTTTTAAAAAATTGTTAAGCATAATCAAAAAAGTTTATCTGTGAAAATCTTTGAGGCCTGAATTGTTGTTGCTTAGCTTCAGAGAGGATTTGTATTTATTTCTTCCCCTAGCCTGGACATTCTAGAAACCAAGAACACAAATATAAATTTCTAAAGTGAGTACTTGGGGACCACTCAAGAAAGAGCCCAGGTAAAAAAGATACATTTGCTTGTTATTGCTATGTAAGGTTTGTTGTTTTCTTAATGTATCTTAAAGGTAAACTGATGACACAGTCCTTTGGTAGTGGGCTCCCCTACAATGCTGGGCAGAGCCTGGCCTCTGTGCACTCTCTCCTGCTTTCCCCAAGGCCATCAGAATAAAAAACTCAAGTTCATGTGGGATTAGCAGAGAAACCGGCTGCCAGGACTCTTTGGGTCACTTTTCTAGATTCTTGTTCTCAATTCCTTTTTGGACGCACTCTGAATACTTTTTTTATTGTCATGTCAACTCAGTGAGTGTGTGTGTATGTCTGTGTGTGTGTGTGTGTGTGTGTGTATATATATATGGCTTGCGAGTCTGTCATACTGTTGAAAAGACTGTCCATATTATTCTGCAATTGACTTTTTTCTCATATGGGACAAATGCCAAATACAAAGCTGGGCATCATTTGCTAACAGTAAATTTTATTGAGATATTGCCTATTTTTCAGGAAATGTGTTGATATTTTATTTCATCATTGCAAAAACAACCAAAGGGAAACAGTCATTGATGGAAGAGAAAATGTTTGCTATGTTCAAAGAGAGAGGAAAAATATCATAATATTATTGCGTTAATATAATATTAGCTTAAACAGCATAAATTGTTAAGGGCAAGTTTTGTATCCATTTATTTTATAGTCTATAGATATGCATGTAGTAACACACATATATTTCAAATTTTATTTATTAAAAGGGAGATAATGTATTTGCAGAGTGTTAATATTAAAACACACACACATGCAAGCACACACACATTTCAAAACTTCATATAATTTCAAAAAAGCCTAAATTACACAGAAGTTTCATTAGTGGCAAATTTACCCCAGCTTTATTTACGCACATGGTATATACATTTACACCCAGGGCCATAGCCACTGGCATATCTAAATTACTTTATATACTACTTATTACAGTTTAGAATGGAATTTTCCCATATTGTCAGAGCTAATAAAATCTCAACATCAAGTCCTTTCAGTCTTATGACAGGTACCGCAGACTCATACCCCAAAGTGGTTTTCTTCTCTGACTCTGACAGCTTCAAGGGAAATAAAGAGGCTCTGTGCCATTCACTGTCATTTTTTTTTTCCAAAAATTGAATTTTCTTTTAAAGATCATTTTCTTTCTAAATCCTTCATAAATGAAACAGAACAAAATGTTATGTCTTTGTTGCTGTGGTGTATAAAAGATATTACAGTATTCCCCCCATCTCACTATTACATAAATGAAATAGTGAAACCTTGTACCTAAGTGAGAAATGGGAAGAAAAAGGTGCTATGTGAAAATATATAATAACATTTATATGAAAATTCTTCAAGAGTCAGTTATTAGAACCCTCCAAGTCCATCACTAATAAAATGAGAATTAATCAGTTAACTGAAATTAATAACCATTGACATTTGTGAGACTTCCTCTAGTTTCAGGCTTTTCAGTTGATAGGGCTCTGGTGCGTCACTCAAACTCCAGTACATATTAGGCTGCTAGTGGAGGTGAGGGTGAGTTGATTGAATAATACATTTTTTCCTCCACCCCTGTTTCCCAGATTGAACTGAACCTGGGTCATGTGGACCAGAGGAGATTCATCCTGAATCTACTATTAGTCTTTGTCATGCCAGCTTTCAGTCCTTTGTAGACAGGACTGAGGGACTAGGCAGTGAGTTAAGCAGCCATTCATCTCCCTATAGTCAGTTCACTCTTTGTGTGTTGTTTCCTGTCAGCACTCTGTTGTGAATACAAGTGGTGAAAACATTCAAGTCCTTCACCCAATGTATCTAAAAGAGAAAGAAGTGAGTTATTTGACTTAAGGCAGCATTCTGTTGCCTCTGCTCTGACCTAGATATATTACTACTGGTAAGGCAGGCAAAAGTTAACCCTAACCATGCTCAGTGCAGATGTTTCTTCCCTTACAACCTATAATTCATATTTTCTGTTCTAGAGTAAGCTTCTCAACCCTGCCAGGTGCAAGTAGGTGGTATTTGGAGTAGACGTGAAATTTTTGTTAAAAATGATTATTAACATCGACAAGTTAAAAATAAAATGTGGGAGAAAGCAAAAGAGGTGAATGACATAAAAATGAAGGAAGGAGCACAATTTAAATACATGCGGAAAGAGAGATAATGGATAAGAATTTAAAGAGGAAAGGGGGTAGGTTGTACTTATATGTAAGAAAGTATTCAAAAATGAGAACAATTTTGAAGAACAAAGAGGTAATAGCCAGTTATTCTTCATTTTTCCCACTTTTTCATCTCCCGACATCTAATCCATTTTCTAAAGATGAGCCAGGGCAATCTTTAAATAGAAACAAGACATTTTCACTTCCTTGTTTAGAAGCTTTTATTTGTACCCCCCGGAACTTAGTAAAACATATGGAGTCCTTACCGGGGTCTTCTTGTCTCTGCCCTACACTCTGGAGTTGTTCTAGACCTTCTCTTCTGGCCCCTCTCTGTCCCTCTAACATGCCAAATCCTTTTCCTCCAGGACTTTGTACCAGATGCTCCCCCTGCCATAAATGTTTCCCTCATGACTCTTCACAAGTGTCCCATTCTACTCATGGCATTGGAGAGGCCGCCTCTGACTAGCTTATCCAAAGTATGTTATCTCTTCACTCAGTTTATTCTCTTCATAACATGTATCACAATCTTCAAAGTTACTCTCCTCTCATTTGTCTACAAGTTTTCTGCATGTCCCATGAGAAGACGAGCTCGATGAGGCTTACTGAATGCCTACTGTGCAATACGCAGCTCAGAGCAAGAGACAGAGAGATGAATAACATCCACCAAGGGGTTTATGTCTTCTGATGTGAACTGGCTGGTTAAGGAGAGGTAGAAAACTCTACCCAGGAATTGCTTAAGAAAAAATATGTGCTAAGGCTGTAAAAGCAGTAACTAGACAATATTGTCACAGGTGCATCTAACAATTTTTGTTTGTACTTTTCCTATTTTAGTCATTGTTCTACTGACTTAACTTTTTATTATTTAAACTTTTCTTAATAAGGAAATAGCTTATATCTCCTGTGACTCTGACATTTTGATTTTGTAAATACGTATTTTTCAGGAATGAAAGGTATTCTAATTTCTAATCATTGAAATAGTAGATATTAGGACAGTTTTGGAACATTCTGAAATTCTATTTGAACTACAAATTTTGTATTGGCAATACCCAGCTTGCTAATTCTATCTGTTAAGCTGCTTATGTGTATATACCATAACCTCTTTCTACTATCACATTAATCCAAAAAAGCCATGCACAAATTTGCTTGATTTTTTTCAGTAAGCTCTTTATAAGCGTAAGTCAACATTTATTAATATGTTTTCATTGTCAACACAATATCCAGTCACCTGGGATTGCCTCAAGATTCATATCCAGTAATTTTATATTGTGACTATAATTGAAAGAACAAGTTTCATAACTATATACCTCCCAAAACAGAATAATGTCTTTAAATTTGCAAGCAAATTTTGAGCCTGATATCAAAAGCCAGACTGAAAAACAATTAAATGTGGTTATTTTTTGCTTGCAGTGTACCTTCCATTTTGTTTATCATAATGTATGCATGTTTTATAAGCTCTTCCCCGAAACCTAAGAACAAATCTTACTTTATGTATGTCATGCTATTATTTTAAATTCTTTATGAGCAGAAAGACTCAAGAGAAAAGGAAAGTTTATGTCTGTTCTATATGCCAATAAAATACTAACATCAGTACTACATAGTTTATAGAACTTGCATGAAAACGAATAGATTGATCAATAGACATTGATTTTCAACTTTGATTTTATTTGCCACTTGGGAGTCATGACAAATGTGTGTATTTCACAACACTCTTCACTGCATTGCTGCTTATCCTTTTGGTTTCATCTAGCAGCTATTAATCTTCTCTTATGCCTTAAAAACTTTGAGAAAAAATAAGAATTCTAAACAGGTCATAATATCCCCACAAGTAGCTATTAATGGACATATGAACGCTTGAGTGCACACCCAAGAGTCATCTTTAATGCAAATTCTCAGTCAATGATATTACCAGCATCTGTTTCAATGATGTTTTTTGATATAAATTTTAGAATCTAAATATCAACATGCTAGGTATCTGGAGAGTTGGTTGTAAAGGGGAAATTTTATGTTTTTTAAACATTCTGTTCAAATAAACACTTCGGAACTCAGCTACTTATTGAAATTTCAGAGTCTGAATAAGAGAGCTCCTTCCCGCCATCTTCTCAAGAGGCATTTACCTAGGTATGACTTTTGATTCAGCAAACATTGTCCTGCCACTAATATTTTCTATACTCTTTTACTTCTGATTGAAAAAGAACAGAACTTAGAGCAGGCTTTAGGTAAAATAAATAAATAAATAAAATATTATAAAAGCATAGGTAGCTAAGGACTTAACTGATATCATTATCAATTAGCTTCAACAAAAGACAAATTATTAAGTACAGGTGAGATTTTTTTTTTAAGTATCTTTGTATAATGCAACAATAAATTTCTTTTGAGTGTTAAAACTGGTTATAACTTACATATTAGTGAAGAAATGCATACAGGATAGTTAGAAACCTATATGATGACTCATTTTCCTTCTCACACCCAGAGGAAACTTAAATATAACTCTCCTACCTGTCTAAGATGGATTAGAAATGAATGTATTTTCTGATTTATACTAAATCAATAAATATATTTAAAAGCATCTCAAGGTCACAAGCTTTTGACCAAATCATAAGATTATAGAATAATAGGACTTTTTCTTTGAAAACACCAGTAGAAATCACTGTATCCAAAACCCTAATTTTATTGTTAAGGTTACAGAGACTCATACTAAATGTTTAGATGGGTGTCAACTAAGTAAACCTGATATTAATCTCATTCAAGTCTTTTTAATTTTGAAGCTGTGGCGTAGATCACTTAGTCTTCATACTGTTTAGCAATATCCTAAGGAAAGTAGACACTTAATATTTTTATGGAATAAACTTCTTCTATTCCAACACAATGTTGCATCTGAATGTTTTCCCTAAAATATAGAAAGCTACAATTAATAAGGTATTAAAATTACAAGTCATGGACATCTGGGGGTGGATCTTCCTATAAATCAAAATTATCTATCTTTTAAGAAATACTTTATTAAAGTGTTTGGATGCTTTTTTTTATAATGAAAAGATATACTTATTTTTTTCTTATCATTTGATTGCTGATATCATTGTATGTAAATTACACACAGACTCCAGAAAGTATTTTCATTTTACTAAGGCAAGTCTTATTACAATTTAGTTTAGGATATAATATGTTCTTCTATAATTTCTAGAAGGCTTAGGTTCAAATATGGAGTTAAAGAAGAAAGCTAATTCACTTAACTTAAGAAAATTATACCACCTTTGCATTCTAGTCTCTTAACTATAGCATTGTCAAAAATAGCTTACCTTAAAAAAAGCCTACCCGTAGGAAGAAAATCTATAGAAATCCTAAGGGAGCAATAAAATTATATCCATGGATTTGAACTTCAAGGAAAACATTAACTCAGAAGTGATTATCTTCTGTTTCTCTTTGCATTTGAATTCTTTCTTCTGAGAAAGCGTTAAGAACATAAATGGTTGAGAGCAAGAAGACCAGGGGATTCAGATGAAATCAAGTAGCAAGCAAATACAGATTTTTTTAAAGATCTTTTACAATAACATTGCCTTGAGAAAAGTAAGTTGAGAGTTAGTTGGTCTAGCATGTCTACTAGTAGATCACACACTTTAAGTAAGAGAGACAAATATAGGTGGCTACTTATCAGAGAGTGTTGAATGTAGTGAAACATTTAATATGTAATATTTCTAAATTTTGCTGTATTAAGATTGTAGAAGAATTTCAGCAATCAAGAAGTAAAATTCCATCTCTAACTTGGAAATCCTAAAAGTCAATAAATGCATGAAAATTTGACTTCTATTTCTGGTATAGGAATCCTTTGGAAGGCTACCGATGAGAGAGAAGGGGAATCTTTCAGAAACTAAACCTTGCTCACAGATGAGGTCTGGTGCCCGAGGGGCATCATGTCCAGAGTTACTGATGTACTTGTGAATATTTTTTCTATCATAAGAACTTATATTTTGGACATTGTAGAAACTAAACAACTGTTTAATGAATTTAATGCCATTGTTTTTGTTTGTTTGATGGGAGGGAACTCCTGAATGTTTCTGAAGGTGGAAATTGATGATAAAACAACAATCCTACCCCCTTGAGAGAAACTATGGAAAAAATGAACTCATGGACAACTTATAATACTAATATTTTTGTGTAGACGGCATACCAGTAAATAAGGCTCTGCTTTTGGAGCACAGTCATTTAGTTACTTACTCATGAATATTGGTTTTGAGGGCTGGGCTGTGCCATGGATTGAGCCTCAGTTGTATTACTTAGTTTTTAATAAGAATTCTGATGCAAGTCATGGCCAAATGTGCAAGGCACCCTTTCAAACAACCATCACATCAGACACTTGGGACAGCTGACCCATTCGTAATTGAGCATATAATTCTATATCTTGTCTGCAATATAGATCCTACGATGGCTGCATGCAGAAAACTTTCTCAGATGGCTTGCCTACAGGCTCTTAGGTGCAATCTGTATTGTCCATCTCTTGAAACAAAATATTCTGTAGGTGAAAAAGAAAACAAACAATCCTATCCTTCATTCCACTTATTAACTTATAACCATTCAGTAGATGAATCATAAACAGACTTAGGAGTGAAATCCTTCACTACAGCATTTTTCTCAAGCAAGGAAATCTAGCCTACATATTTTGTGTATTATTGTATTAGAATTAAGCAGAGTAATAGTGATTCAAATAAGACCTATCATGGAAAGTGCTTTTTGTTTAAGATGAAAGTAAAATCAAAATAAGAAAATACAAAACATCATGGCTACATGGCATGCAGTAGGCCATTCGAGATTTCTGATACCAACCTTCCTGTTATGCATGTAGCATACCTCCTCCCCTCATTTTTCTCTGTCTTTACAGTTCTGTATATTATATTTATTTATTTATTTATTTATTTATCTATTTATTTTTTATTGGAGACCGGGTTTCACCATGTTGGCCAGGCTGGTCTCAACCTCCTGACCTCAAGTGATCCACTCACCATGGCCTCCCAAAGTGCTGGGATTCCAGGCGTGAGCCACCGAACGCAGCCTATTTTTAAATGTTTGTTATATTGTTTTATATGTGTTAAAATCGCTATAGCATAAACCAAGAAATAAAATGACACTAAAGGGCTCAACTATTTCCTGAATAACTTTGAGCATGAAAACTATTAATAGCTACAAAAGGTTACGATACAGGTGTTATATGCTGGATAATGTGCATGTTTAAATCTATATTAATTCTATTTTTAACTTCTTTCTTCTGAATGTTTGCTGAATACTGTTTATGTTAAAGTGACAGAATTTTCACATAATTTTCTTAAGAACTCACAAATAAAGCCATATACCTCTTTGTGAATTTTTGCTTAGAAGGGTCTCCAACTGAAAAAAATTCTGCCAGTTCGAAGCAAGAATATCAATGGATTCTTTCAAGAGAGTGAAGAACCATAAAAGTAGGTAGAGAGGCTGTTGAATCAGGTTCCTTTTTCAAAGGTAGGAAAACCTGCCAAGCTACAGCAGAAGAACCCTGGCCATCTAAAGGAGCAGTGGAATGAAGAACTTCCTCAAAGTAATCGTAAAGATTCTAACTGTGGTGATGACACAACTGGCATTACCCAAAAATGAAAATATAAAGGCCACTTGGCTTTAACGTGTCCCATACTGTCAATGTTACAGAAGAATTTTCTTCCTATACATCTTGCATGTTATAGAAAATTAAAATTCACTGGGCATCAAGGGGGAAAATGCACCATATTTCAAGAGAAGAATGTTTGGGGAGAACTGGCAATATTGCAAGGTTAATGGTTTCCTAGTATTGCATAGGCTAATTTTTCTTTTTTTTCAAATAAAGGGTGAAGATCAAATGGTACTTGTGAAGAAATAGCATGCGACACCTGTAAGGTGGAGAGTTCTACAATGAATACAGTCAACAATGAGTCAAGCTTCACTCACAATACAGAGAGCTTGCTACAGGTTCCATCTCTGCTTAACCATCCATGACAGTTCTTTCCAAATTCATACGACTCTCTAGGTTTATACATAAATGTAGCTATTATTAATGATATTACATAATGAAGTAAATATAGATTCTAATTTATCCTGAAGTGACTGTAGATTATTAATTCTCCTGGTATTGACTCCTGACTTTTAAATTTTTTTATTTTTAATTTTCCACTCCCATCAATCACTAATTTTCTCGATTCTTCACATTATTTTAAAACCTTATTGTATTATATGAGATAACATTCTTATAAAGTGATTATACATTTTCTTATAATGCATACATGACTTATATATTTATTTATTTATTTATTTATTTATTTATTTATTTATTTATTTTCTGAGATGGAATCTTGCTCTGTCGTCCAGTCTGGAGTGCAGTGGCGCAATCCCGGCTCACTGCAAGCTCCGCCTCCCGGGTTTACACCATTCTCCTGCCTCCCAAGTAGCTTGGATTATAGATGCATGCCACAAAGCCCAGCTAATTTTTGTAGTTTTTTAGTAGAGACGTGGTTTCACCATGTTGGTCAGGCTGGTCTCAAACTCCTGACCTCAAGTGATCTGCCTGCCTTGGCCTCTCAAAATGTTGAAATCACAGGCATGAGCCACTGCGCCTGGCCCTTCACCTCTTTTTTCAAGAGCTCAGATCTTCTAAGGCAAGAGCAATATTGTTTGGTTACAAAAGATTAAACTTTTGTAGTCAACCAAACTCCCCATTATGTTCTTGATTCATTTAATTGTATTATTCATTCAACAACCACTATATGTATTATGGTAATGTGAGCTCCAAAGATGAGTCAGACATTCTTATTTGCATCCCCAAATAAGAATACAACATTCTTATTTGCATCCCCTCCCCATTTCCACCCACTCTTTGATTATCAATAGTTTCAGAAATTACCTTCAATGTCCCTCCTTTTCTTTTGTATTTTCTGAGGACACAATATGATGTTTTCTCCAGTTTTTTTCACAGTTAATAATGAGATATGTTATCAAACACACTGCACATGACTAGAAGTGTGTTTTCCATCATTTTTTCAATATTCTCATACATACAAGATAGATGAAATCAACTCTATTTTATAGAGGAAGAAACAGTCATTCATACAAGTAAAGTGATTTGTCGAAGACCGTACAGTGAGTTAAAAAAAACAAATCCAAGACACATACATATGATTGTGGGACTCTGAAGTTGATAGCTTCCTCATCGGAAGTCTACTTAGGACTTTATTATATGATTCCATATTCATCTTGTTACTAGTGAGTATATCATCACTTTTGTCTGTTTATTGTTTCAGGCATGTAAACTTGTATCCCATTTAGATTTTTAGGTTCTTAGTAGGTAGGTCATGTATCTAAGATTGTTTATCTGTATCCTGTATAATCTAACTTTGATCCTGATAAACAACAAATTTTCTATTAAATATTTATATTTTTATTAATTCAGCAGATATCTATTTTGACAATGAAGGATAATAACCCTAAATCTGTAAAACGTATTGTTCTATAGTCCATTTCTTTTCATCTTTCATCTCAATCTTTCAGTACTGAAGTAATTAAACACAGTTTGCATGATTTGGGGACTTCCACAGAGAAATTCTGTATTCTAATTAATTAATGAGATTGAAAATACATTCTGTGTCTGTTTCACTGGATGCATTTACTAGCACTCTAACAATTTTATAAATATAATTATATTTACATAAATAGTCAAAATCTTCATGAATTCACACATTTTGCTAGTATATACAGCAAGGAGTAATAAAAGTAGGTATAGTATTTATCTAATACCCAAGAATAGTATATCAAATTTTCTAATGAAATACTTTATTACAAGAAATAAACCTATTGATGGCTTATCAAAAAAAATCAGTATATTGATTAGCACTTGGCAAAATCATCAGTGCAGGAAGCAATAGTTAATGCCAATGTAACACCAAATTACCATTTATTACATACATTTGATCATGAGTGAGTAACATAAAATAAAGCAAATCCACTAGCTACCCCACTACTTCTTTTTTCCAACTGAAATTATTGGAATTAGATTTAATTGTTTTTTTTTTCCATTTTAAATATCTGTTTTTTTGGTGAAGGCAAAGAAAAAATGTTCAGGAGATTGAGATCAATGTCAACTTAAGATACCTCCCAACCACCACCTACTATTGTGAAATAGCAGCTTTCTATGCTAATAATTTATTTATCTTTATAAACCAGTAAACCTTATGAAAACCAAGATGTGAAACCTTGGTTAAAAAATGCTATCAATTTACATTTTAGTTGCTACTTCTGCAGCCTACACACCCATAAGCCATGGATTTTCAAAGGTGTTTTAGCTTTTATTTCTTCCTCTACTTTCATTAGATAGGATGATAGCCCTAGCTTTGCAAAATAGGAAATTCTAATGCTTCTTTCACGGTGATTGGAGTTAATAATATTTGTGCTATTCATTTCACTTCTATTTCCCAACCCATGAATCTAAACATTGGTTTTAAGAGAAAGAGTGTGTCTTATCTTCACTTTAGTCACAATTCAGTTTTCACTTTTAAAATTAAGTTATAATGGAATGTGCAGGTTATATTTATTCAACATTGCTTTTAATTCACACTTACACAGATGATTTTTTTCTGGAAACTCCAAAGCAATATCTTTATAGTATCATACTGTGTAAAAATCTGGACTAGTGCTTCCTAGATGTCCATGCACACAATATTATATCATAATTTCATGGGTGTTGGGGCATTGCACAGAAATGCTACACAAAGAAATGGCAGGGTCTATAATGTTGGCATTCAAGTGTGGGAGAAAAGTTGAATCAAGAGTCACAACTTCAAACAAGAGGCAGAGGCTATAGAAATTCTGTATTCAGTAATTGTTGTCAGGGGTAGGAGGTGAGCAGAATATGAGATATTTCACACTTAACATTCCCTTGGGCTGGAGACTGGGGAATGACTAAGCAGGCATTGGAAAAGACCCAGGAAATGTTAAATTTCTACAGCATGAACCTTTACAAGTTATTGAAAAGAAATGTGCAAGTTTCAAAAACTTAAAAAAAAGAAAAAATCCAACTGTTCCTAAACATCTTTGGTGTGTTTTGAAGCCTACAGGTAAAAAGTGGCCTTTGTTATGGAAATAACTAGGTTTATACACACACAACACATGGCAGAACGGCGAGAAACAACCCAAGTATCTGAAAGAAAACCTGTCAGCATTAGCCACAAAAATGCATCTAATTTACAGATTCACGGACAGATTGTTGTTTAATAATTACTGAGCCTTTTTATCATTAAAAAATCATTTTAACTATTTTTCCATGTTTATTCATTAGCAAATAATTAAAACACTAAAATTGGGGCTCTTCCTGCTAGTCATTGGACACAAGCAGAACTCCATTTACTTCGCTACTTTTCATTTGCCTATGTAACCATTCTTTACTTGACCAATTTTTCTGGAAGACTCTTTGATCAGAAGGTGTGAAACTGTTTCACCTAGAAGCTGATTCCATAATTCTATTTCAACTGCTTGGTGGTAGCTGAATAAAGTAAGGAATGAGACTGAATAAGAGAACAAAGATTTTTGATTTCACAGAAATCTCCAGTTTTCAGAATAAAGGCCTAGAAACATAAGGGAAAAGAGTAATTTCTGTGTACGTATATCACATGTGCATACAAAAAACAAACTTCTTAAATCACATGCTCTTTTATAGTCAAAGATGTATACTTTTCTAAAAATCTATTGTTTCGTGGAGTCAATAGTCCTTTGGAATAACTTTTTATCTATGAGTTAAGAATTGTTAAGGAATACACAGCTGTTTCATACAGACTTACATAATTGGAAAAATAAGTAAGAAAAATTTCTGAGATGTAATTCTCAAATATTAATAAAATAGCAATAGTAATTCTTATTAAAAATTCAATGTCATTTCATCGCACTCATGTCAAACAGTGAATTGCTTTCCCTAAAGCCAAATTCTTACCCCAGAAATAGTTAAGTTTTAACTGAGGCAAGTTTCCCTAGTTCCCTTTCAAGTCTGACTCTGAAGTACAGATAATAGAGAAGGAGAATTCATCCACCCAGCAGTATCTGAAGTAGTAGAATTTCTTACTCCACAGCTAAGCACATGAGTCCAGAAGATATTTTTCTTGGGTACTTGTATTGTGAAGCGTGATCTTGCAGGTTCAGCTGGAAGGTTTCATTTGGTGTTGCTAGAGATTGGACATAAAGATGTGCTGTTAGCCTTGAACTAATATCTACTCTATGATGTAATCATAGAGGCTTTTATTATTCTCCTAGTGTGTTAGCAAATTAGAGGCTTAACGTATATTTTTCTTCTTCATTTGAATATGTTTTCTTCTGAGGTGCAAATGTGAAGAACAGAATATCAATATAAACTATTTCTAAAAGTGAATCAATTAAATATATGTCTTGCTATGATATATGTCCATTGTTCATCCCATGATAGGTTTTTAAATATCTTGTGTCATTTTTACATAATTTGTCTTGGTTTCCAACAAGTTTAGATTATAATAGCCCTTTTATGGGAAGAATGGTACTGTTAACTTGCAGGCACAAATGAATGCTTCACAAAGTAATTTATTACTGTATCTGAGAATAATTTCTAGAGACTAACTGATTATATTAGAAACACTATAGAATTTCCTCTTTTGGCATAAAAGAAAATGATCCATATCTTACAAAAATGTTCTTGGCCTCATCTGCATCAAATTCATACGAAGTATGCATTCCTTAATTACAACAACCTGAGAGGAAAACCAGATCAACAGCTAAAGCAGAAGAAAAAAAAATAGCTTCTAGGACACCTCCAATTAAGCCAGTGAACCAGTGCTTTCTACTTTGAACAGATGTTACATACCTTTTCCAAGTACTGAACAGGTTTTTGTACCCACTTGGTCTATTTATATTGTACTTGGCTTGCCTTCAAACTTCTATTAAATGATAGTTTTTGAACCAAAAAGGGACATTTGATTATGGCAACACCATGAGCCACATTAGTATGCACGTTACTTTGTTCATTAAAAAACAGGCTCCTTACTAATGTAGGAAACTGGTATTTCAACCTGGAGACCATAAATAATTTTTTGTCTAAGTTTTCTATTCAATAATGCTGAATTATCCACAGATAGATATTTTCTGAGGATTAGTCATGCCAAATCCTACTTTTATATTATTAGTATGGCTTCACTTACTGTGTGACATGAAGCTCACTTTTGGCATGAAGGCTACCAAATTTTTAACCCTGACTAGGTATTGGTAAAAAAGAGGTCTTCATTCTTTACCTACCCAAGCAAGAAAGCAACAAAAATGCTAGCCACAAAATTCATCTACACACCTGCCCAGGAATTTTCAAGCTAGTGGAACCATAAAATTTACAGAGGTACACTTATTCAGGATTTTACTTATATTTGCTCTCCTGAAGGCTGATGCATGTGGTAAAAGTGTTATCAAAAATATAGAAGCCTGGGCCACATAGGGAGACCTCATCTCTACAAATAATTTAAAAAATTAGCTAGGCGTGGTGGCATGTCGCTGTGGTCCCAGATATTCTGGACGCTGAGGTAAGAGGATTGCTTGAGCCGGACAGTCAAGGCTGCACAATGAACTATGATCATGCCACTGCACTCCAGCCTGGGCAACAGACTGAGACCCCATCTCAAAACAGAAAAAAGAGAGTCAGTGTGTTTCTTCAGTCAACAGGGTCAATGTAGCCTTATTAGTTTCTTCCAATAATGCTGAAGACTCAGTTTATCAGGCTACAAATAGTCTGTTGGGTGCTATCCTCTGGTTTTCTCTGCTATGACTCCGCTCTAGCATCACTAATATATAACTTGACTATATTGTTATACAGGGCCAACTCTAGGTGCCAGCTTACATGGTTTAAAGTGAGAAAATCACACTTCAAAGATGTGCATTTCCAAATATCTACTCTTCCTTTGATCGGCCTGATTAGGATTTTGAAAATAAAATTTAGGGTTATAAATCTAACTGGAACCTGTCCGGAAGTACCTCTCACATCACTGCCCAAGCAACTTAGGGTACTTACTACTGGCATCTCACATCCTGCAAAAAAAAGTGATACAGTTTCTCTCCCATGCATGAAAGAACATGGCAGCATTTTCTCATGGGAATGGGAGACTAGACAATGCTTCAAGGGTCAGGAGAGCTCTCTAGGGTTTGGGATCATTGGAATATGACATTCTTGGGGAGAAAAAAAGAGTTAGGTGGAGAAAGCAAGGGAAAAGTAAGTCAAACTTCAACTTCCCAGTTTTTCACAGTTTCCACCAAGCAGATTTAAAGAGAAATTGGTTAATATGACAGGAATATAGGAAGAAAAACATTAACAGAAACTGTAGTATTCTAGCCTTTTCGCTCTAAGAGTTTCCAAATGAACCACTTCGTTAGTGAAAAATCTAAAAGAAGGGTCTTGGCTGGGTGCAGTGGCTCATGCCCATAATCCCAACAGTTAGGGAGGCTGAGTCAGGAGGATTTCTTGAGCCCAGGAGTTCAAGATCAGCCTGGGTAACATGGTATAACCCTGTCTCTACAAAAAATACAAAAAAATTAGCCAAGCATGCTGGTGCACACCTGTAGTCCCAGGTACTTGGGAGGCTGACGTGAGAGAATCACATGAGCCTGGGAAATTGAGGCTGCAGTGAGCCATGATCATACCACTGCACTGCAGCCTGCATGATGGAAATGAGAATGAGACCCTGTCTCAAAAATAAATAAGTAAATGCACAGATAGATATACATACATACATAAAGAAGGGTCTTTTTACTTCCTGGTTTTACCAAAAAGAGAATGTACCATTAGTGTCAACTCTTCCATGAATGTGCATTCACTGCTCTAGATTATTTTAGTATTGTTCTTGAAATGTCCCCTAAATATTTACATATATTTGTCAGCAATTCAAATCTTATGTCACAGATGAGAGCAATGCTGTAATCTTAGTTTCATCTACCTTGTCTGCCAATAGACTTTTAAGAAACTGAAGTCATATCATCTCTTGATATGAGATACACTAGCCTATTTATCCCAAAGGGACTCCACCTTCAGAGTATATAGAAATAAACAGAAGATATGTTAAAAGTAGATTCTTGTAAGTTAATGAAGCCAAAAACTTTAACCTGTAGTCCAGGAATGTAAATTTTAAAAAGTCCCGTGGTGTTTATAACATTTGAAAACCCCTACATTGAAAAGAGAAAAAACTATAGTCTATAAATAATCTTTAATGTGTTTCCAAATTTTATGACTAAAAGAATATTAACTGAATTTTCTAAATGCTGTCTAATCTTGAGTAACTATTAGTGAAAACTGGCTCTGGAATCATAGGTTATAGAGAGATGACATAGTAAATCTGATGTTTATAATTCGTGTGACTGCTACTAGTTAACCTGAACCAATATTATAACAAGAGAAAAAAAATTAGTAAAATAATTAAAATAATTCTTGCATTTTATCTCCAATCATAATCGTTTGTTAACTGTCTTAGTTAAGTAAATATACAACACAAATTGTTTTGCAGAATTTTATGTGAAATAAAATAGTCTAAATAAATCCCTAATAAACTATATATCTATCTAGCATAGTGCCTAAAGTTAATATTTGTTGAATCAGTTAATAACAATTAATTGGCTTATAACTATTTCTCATTTATAGATACTTGAGTAATTTCAATATTTATGTTTGTAAAGTAGTAAAGACAACAATAGAAAATAAACTAAAACTCATTTGTCTATATGAAAGCTAACAAAACATTTAATTAAAATCTGTTTATTTTATGGCTTAAACTAAAATTTTTGACAGCACCCAGGTCTTTCTATAAATTTAAAATTATACTTATTGAAAAACAGAAATATTCTTATTTTACCATGAGCTCAAATTACCGTATTAAGAGAGGGACTGATTTAAAATCAAACAAGTGGCTGACATTAACAAAAATGCTAGCCACATATAACTAAACGTTATAACGGATGGATGATCTGAAGATTTTTTCCTACTGTACATACGCAATTTTCCACCTTTATCACTCAAGAACATAGTTATCATTCATAAGTCTTTTCAATAATTTAATACAGCATATACACAGGCAATCTTGCTAAGATGGAGATTCTAATTCATAAGTCTATGAATGAGCCTGAGATTCTGAATTTCTGGCAAACACACAGGTGATACTGATGCTGCTGCTCTGCAGATCACATTTTGAGCACAAGGATTTAAGACACCTGGAAAAGGTATTGAATATGGATGCCAGCAATTTAGATACACATTCCGGATCCCTGGTGATCCAATTGTATTATCAGATGCAATTTATTCATCTATTCTGGACATTTGTGTTGCTATGTATAAAATAAGGAAATTGGGGTATGTTGCCAAGGTTTCTTGAAGTTCTAAACTTAGATGTGTATACCATTCTATTTCATTCTCTAAACATCCCATTGATTTATTTTGTGTCTTGGTTTCTCTACTCATTTTAATAGTAACATACAAAAAGGAAATAGGTAGATGAATTTGTGCCAAGAACTCTGGAAGGACTTTCTCTCTATAAAGTCCTTTGCCCATTTCTTCAAGAGCCATACAGAGCCTCTGCTGTCTAGACAAGACACCTCAGACTCCCGCTGCTTCCAACCTGGCTCCAAATGGCTTCAGTCTCAGAGAGGTGCTTGGCGGGCCCACTGGCTTCCAGCTTCCCTGTGCAGCTGTTCACAGTTGATAACGAACAGAGTCAATAATCTTTTATTTTTTTACAACACTCGGTTTCCACCAAGCACAATTCACTTTTTGGTTGTTGACTACGGAAAAAAAGGCACGTACCAGGTTATGTATTGTAACTTCATTTGCCAAGCTTCAAAATTGTTGTAGTAACCTTGACAAAACAGTAGTGACTTGAAAGACTAGGACATATATGCCATCAAAGGTACTCTATTAGTATGAGTGTATGCTATTTATGCTATTGGAAAGCAGTTATAGTTTTCACACCTATACCTATATTTTTCTAAAATATTATTTAAAGTCACCCTCACAAAAAATATCCTTAACTCTAGGGAAGCAGCCCCCATTAAATATTTCTATGTTGTCTTCTTCTCCAACAAACTTATTAAATGAAAAACATCACTCTATAATATATTACTATAAACAGTTCTATCAGTTATTACTTTCCATTAAATAATGATAAAGCTGATAACTTTTAGTATAACAATGTAATTAGATTTTTCTGAAATCAAGCTTTTTTTGAAAACAAATTTCATTAACTCACAACATACAAATGTGAATTAAGGATTTTAGTTTTATGAACTGTGTGTTTTTTCAGCTCATTCTTAATAATTATTCTTATAATGGAGTGAACAAGTGACAGCTGAAATATACTGAACACAGTTCAAAAGTAAGCAGGAATGGATAAAGCACAATTTTCATCCTCTTAACTATCATGTTATAACATCTAGTTGATATTCAAATTTGACTAACCACACAGTATCAGAATTTCTTTGACAATTGTTTTTATATAAAGCAGTGATAGATATAATCCTTGGTTTTAATACTAATCTGCAATTGAACTTTTAGTCGTTAATAGTTGGAAATTTAAAATTAACTTAAAAATCAGCATTAGAACACCAGTAAACAGGAAAGTGACTATCATATGTTAAATCTGTAATTTCACATATAAATACAAATTTTCAATTAATCCACAGTAGAACTGTCAACAAGAATGTCCTGGGATACTTTTCTATGTGTCTGCAATCAAGGGTGCTCAGTAAAATTCTGCTGGACTAGACCCATATTATGAGTGAAAGCTGGGCCGGTTGTGGTGGTTCATGCCTATAATCCAAGCACTTTGGGAGGTTGAAGCAAGAGGATTGCTTGAGGCCAGGAGTTCAAAGCTTCAGTGAGCCATGATTGCACCACTGCACTCCAGCTTGGGCAACAGAATGAGGCCCTGTCTCTAAAAATAATACTACTAATGAAATAAAAGTGTAAGACACTGTTAAATGGCAAGGTGTAGTTGAATAGCCACTTGCAGGCAGAACTGGAGAAATTCTTTATGAATCTACTAGGAATTCAAACCAAATGGCATTACTAAACCATTCTGGGGAAAAACAGAGAAGCTAGCAGGTTACTCTGATGTGCATTTCTCAAGAGATTCCCACTAAAGACTTAAGCAAGAACTTCAACATCCAATTTGGATGACTTGTATTTCCTTCTCTTACCTAATTGCTGTAACTAGGACTTTCAGTCATATGTTGAATAAAAGTGGTGAAAGTGTATATAATTGTCCTGTTCCTGATCTGTTTGTTTGCTTGTTTGTTTTGAGACAGAGTCTCGCTCTGTCACCCAGGCTGGAGTGCAGTGGCACCATCTTAGCTCACTGCAACCTCTGCCTCCTGGGTTCAAGTGATTCTCTGCCTTAGCCTCCCAAGTAGCTGGGACTACAGGAGCCCACCACCACGCCTGGCTATTTTTTTTATTTTTTAGTAGAGATGGGGTTTTACTATGTTTGCCAGGCTGGTCTTGAACTCCTGACCTCAGGTGATCTGCCCACCTCGGCCTCCCAAGGTGCTGGGATTACAGGCATGAGCCACCATGCCTGGCCTTGTTCCTGATCTTAAAGAAAAAGCTGCTAGCTTTTCCCCATTCAGTATGATGTCAGCTGTAGGTTTGCCATATATGGCTTTTATTGTGTTAAGTTAAATACTTCCTATGTCTACTTTGTTGAGACTCTTTCTTGTAGATGCTTCCTAGGGTGTTTGTTGAGTGTGGCGCATAGGCTGTGGTTCTGGGTGGACTCAGTAGCATGGTCTTCATTGCAGTTTCTTCAGCTGTGATTTTCATCAGTGAGGTCTGCGATTACCCAAGTGGCCTAGGTTACAGGAATTTGTGAAGGTGATGGCATGGTTTCGCTGGAGGCGAAGGTGCCACATTGATTGTTGGACTGGGCATGTATTGGTGTGCAGGACCCACAGGCTGTCGCGTGTGCTCTCCTGGGATGTGGAGGTCACCAGCCAACTGGCTGTAGGGTTGGGTGCAGGTATGTGGTGGTATATCCAGGAGGCTGGCCACTGCCACATTGGCTGTTAGGCATGTTCAGGGCAGGTGCAAAGGGACTAGCGGGGGTGGGGTGGCTAGTTCACTTCTGAATCAGCTTTCAGGCCAAGTGCAGGTGCATTCAGTGGGGCTGACACCTCAGTGACAGATTTTCTGGGGACACGGGGCAGACATTGGCCCGGCTGTTGGGCCAGGTGTGAGTGCAAGTGCAGGGGGACCAGACAGCTCTGTCTCGCGTTTTCCAGGGAGCTGGGGCTGCTGCTGGATTCGCTGTTGGCCTGGGTGTTGGTTTGCACAGGCACCATGGGACTGGGTGGCTGCTGCAGTCTCTCCAGGAAGGCAGGGCCCCTTTCAGGCCAGGGGTGGGTGCGTGTGAATGCCTCCAGCAGGGCAGCCAGGGCATGGGGCTGGGCAGCTGTGCAGCACTCTCTGCAATGAGGTGCGGTCTGACCAGATTGGCTGCCAAGCCAGGAGCGAGCACGTACAGTGGGCTGGCTAGCTGCTCGAGGCCACGCCGTTGTGCAGGTCCATGTGGGTACTCTCCAGTGCACTTCCTCAGTCACTCCAGGTAAAATACAGTTGTGTATTTGTTGCTTTGGGTTTTTGTGTTGATGGCGGGGTGGGGGTCTGGGGCGTGCCAGGCAAGTCTAGTTGGCCCTTGTGCTCACATCACCAAGATATTCTTGAGGGAGTCTTAATGTTTAAACGATTGTAAGACCTTTTATGTATAAAATAAAATGGAGGCTCACGTCTAAAATCCCAGCACTTTGGTAGGCTGAGGCACTAAGATCACCTGAGGCCAGGAATTCAAGACCAGACTGGGCAATACAGAGAGATCCCATCTCTACAAAAAATAAATGTAAAAAATTAGCTGGGCATGGTGGCGTGGGCCTCTAGTCCCAGCTACTTGGGAGGTTGAGATGGGAGGATGGCTTGAGCCTGGGAGGTGGGGGCTGCAGTGAGTCCTGATTGCACCACTACACTCCAGCCTGGGTGACAGAGCAGAGACTTTATCTCAAAAATAATAATAATAACAGTAAAATGAAGTGGCAAATGATATTCTGTGATAGTAAATTTTTCATAAAAATATGTGATTATGAAATGTAGAATATATTAATGATGCATTCTATTGTGGTATAATTTCTTATATTATAGCCATGTGTCACTTAATGGGAATACATTCTGGGAAATGTGTCATTAGGTGATTTCGTTTTTCTGTGAACATCACAGTGTGTACTTACAATAACCCAGATGGTATAGATGTGCAGCCTGCTACACACCTAGGCTCTGTGGTATAGCGTATTGCTCCTAGCCTACAAGCCTGTAGCATGTTACTGTACTCAATACTGTAGGCAACTGGAGCACAGTGCTATTTGCCTGTCTAAACCTATCTAAACATAGAAAGGGGAAAGTAAAATACGGTATTATAATCTTATGGGACCACTGTTGCATATGTGGTCTGTCATTGACCAAAATGTTGTCATAAGGTGCATGACTTCCTTTGTACAATTTAAATATGAAAGAGAAAGTTAACAGGATATGGGAAAGCTAGTTGTCATACATAAGCAATGAACATGATTCATGTATTTTTGATAGCCTTCCAGTCTTAAAATTTTCTAGCTGTTTCTTAATTTTATTTCCTAGGCGGAAAGCCAGGGATCGTGGTTAAAACCACTCTTTCTGTGTTCTAGCCTCCAGGCACTGGAGTGACAGCACAGTGGCTCCACTGCATCCAAGGGACTCCATCGTTACTGTTAAGTGATGAGAAGAAAAATTTTAAACTCCCTGACCTCAAACTCTCCATCTTTTAAGAAGAAATAGTAATAATAGTGACTATATTGTTGTCATGAGGATTCCATGAGTTAATAAATAAAATTATTTTACAACACTACTTATTTTGCACTAAACACTTCTCACATATATAATATTTTATAGATATCACCCATGGTTTTATTCTCCAATAACAATTTGAAGATATAATTTGAAAAAACATAGTTAAAATAATTTTATGGCACTTAAGAGTAGATTCTTCATTCTTTCAGTTTTTCAACAAATATTTATTGAGAGGCTACTGAGTCATTTTTTAATACTGGGAATACAATCATGAACTAAAAGCTCTAGTGAGTGGTAATTTTTCTGAAATAAAGAAACATATGTAATGAATAGATAGGTAATGACGAGTGGCGTCCAAAGTTAATGCAAGGAACTAAAGAAAGGTAAAGAAAGAACTTTGTGTGACTGTGGCATTTGAGCTGAGATCTGAATGACATGAGAGAGACAACCATGCAAAGATCAGCTGCAGGGGCTGTGCAGTGGAATACACAAGCAAAGGATCAGTTGGAGATGCTGGGTGGTATTCCAAGCAAAGGGAATCACAAATTTTAATGTCCTTGAGACAGGAATGTGATTTTCACATTCCCCACCAAGAAGACCCATGTGGCTGGAGCAGAACAAGAGAAAGGACAAAACAGAGAGTGGTAGGAAATGAGGACTAAGGGGTGCCAAGGCTAGAATCCTGCACAGCCTAATGACATAATGTAGGAACTTTGGTTGGCATGTGTATAGGGTATGAGAGAACAGAGAAACCATAGAAGACACCAAGATAGTTACTCTAATTATAATATAATCAAAGTATATCAGATAATAGTAAAATGATATTGAAAAACACAAAATCTATAGTATTTTTAATCATAGACTCAGTTCTGTAAAGGGAGGGAAATTTTAAATTCAAAACAATTCCTACCTCAATCTACAGAATATTATTGTTAAAATGTAGCAAGCTGACTCTTCTTCTAAAAAACAAAAAAAGAAAAGTAAAGCACCAACAATATAATTTCAAATAATTGAGATACATTGAAGAAGGCATCTTATCAGTTAAAACACCTTATTATAAATGTATATTTCTTAAAACAACATGGAATTTTCTTAATGGAACAGAATGAAGATACTAGACACTTTTCCTATTTCAGTGGAAATGTCAGCACTGTTTCATGAATTGTGCTGAAACAGGTAGCTGTTCCTTATGTACAAAGAAAAAAATCACCACCCCTTAACACTCAACAGAAAAAAAAAATTACGTATAGGTTAAAATAAACTAAACATTCTAAAAGAAATATGAGGACCATTTTAACAACATCAACAAAGGAGATCTTTAAGGGCGGATTAAAAACATCAAAATGTCATAAACAAACAAAAATTAAACATACAAAAAAAGTAGAAACTATGTGCAAAAGCTAAAACTAACGAAGAGTTAGTATCCAGAAAATAAAAATAATTTGCTAATCAGGAAGGAAAACATATATCTCAACAGAAATATAAGCAAAGATACAGACATGAAATTCACAGAGCAAGAAACCAAAAGGACAAGAAGTGCATTAAATAATGTTTGGAGTACTGTGTCGCAAAGTAAATACAAATTATGAAGAAAATGATATCCTGCATATCCAACAGATAGTAATGCTTTTATTGTAAGTTTTTTAAATAACAAATGCTAGTGAAGAGACAGGAAATGGGAACTCATTTATATTCATGGAAGCCAGGGAATGTGTTCTGGATTCCTAGCAAAGTTGAAGGTGTACATACCCCAAAATCTAAAAATTCCATAAGTAGCAGTTGGAATTCTAACACATTAATACACAAAGAGACATGTACAGAGACACATTAGAGAAACAGTAGAAAAGACAAGTTTTCTGTACCTAATGAATAAATTAATGTGGAGAGGACATACAATAGCCTTCTGAATTGGAATCTACATGAAACAACATGGAAATGTAAAAAAGTATACATATATGTTCAGTGAAAAATTGCATTGCCAAATAACAAGCACATCATCATACTATATGTCATTTGAAAATTGAAATGGCAATATAGATAACTGATGAAATAAGTATGTTTGATAAAAGTATATAAAAATAAGTAGATATTATTTGTAGCAATTTAAGCATATAATTTAATTGAGGAATTGAGGAGGGATGAGAAGGTTGAGATAAATGTAATGTTTTATGTCTTTCGATAAAGGAATGATGTGAAGTATATAAGGCATAGGGTTAACATTTTTTAATCTTAGTTATGTGCACATGTGTGTCAGTAATAATATTTTTGTAAAATTTCAGATGCCTCATAATTAAAATTTGAAAATTTAAATAATGAATTTAAAAAAGTATTTTTGGCCACATAAATGCTGGAAGTGTATTTTAAAAAAGCTATATAAGAAGTACTTTTATATTTCTGTTCATCTAATTATTTATGATGATCACATCTCTAAAAGAAATATTTATTTTTAAGTAAAAGTAGCTCAGAGTTTTTCCCCTAGTTACTTATTATCATCAATACAAAGAAAAACAAATGCTTCTTTCACATTAATTTTTTAAATAGATGTCTTCTGTGTTGACAACTGAAGCTTCAAATTAAAGATTGCTAGAAAAGGGATTTTCCCTCATCATAATCCCAGAAAACAATTCTAAAATGGAGATGTAGTCACTTAAAATGGTATAAATGAAATATATCAAAATAAAAATTATTCAAAGTCTAAGTAAGGTTGCTTCTTTAATTCATTCTGTATACAAGCCTGAAATCTCAGCGGGATGTCTTAGACACCTAGTTTTTTCCCCAAATTCTAAGTGTAATGAATCACCACTCTGATTTGTTCTTACGGTTCCCTGAGGTTTTCCACTCTCTTCTCCTTCCTAGTTTCTACTTCCTTTGTCTTAATTCAGGCCATTATCTTTGGCTGGATCACTGAATTATCTTCCTAACCACAGTTATTGCCTCTAGTTTTTACAAAAGAATCCCTTTTCATATTTTAATCGGAATTTCTACCTAAAAAGCATATCTCAGGCACTGCGACATCCTTAGGTAAAATCCTTCTAGGCATTTGAGTTCTTGAGCATCCTGTCTGGCTCTCCAGTACCTGATTCCTGGCTTCTGCCTGAGCCCCTGCTCACCCTTTACCAGGAGCTCTATGCATATGCTCCTGTTTGTGCATCAATACATTTGCTCCAGCATTCTTCTCTGCCTTGTTTTTCTTTTGCTGAGCTAAAGCTTAGTTTTCCTGCGCATTTCATTCACATATCTTTGGTGTCTTCTAGGAAACCATCCCTAACCCACTAGGCTTGGATAAGTGCCCACGGAGTTTTCCAGCTTCTAAGATACAATGTGTGCTGGAGAGACAACAGGTGGAGCTCATTATTTCCACCTCCTGGTGTTCATTCTTTTGTGTAATCGTCTCCTCCCAAGTGTGGGTGCAACCTGACTGGTTGTTACAAGCCACCTAATTTGTTATAGTTGATACAACAGCCACAGGAAATTTATACAGTGTCCCCATCCAATTAACCAGAGTCTGTAGAGATGGGTGCCACTCTGTCTTCTAGTCATGTTCTGATAAACAAGGAGAATTGGACTTTTTGAGATCCAAATCTCACTTCAAGCCAACAGAATACCTTCCCTGTGACAGGCAAGTGCTATGCTTTGGTGGCTCAAAGATGAATAGCACCTGATCGTGCTTTTCCAGAACTCAGAGTCAAAAAGAAAAGGGCAGATACATAGATAATTATATCACAATTTGCTGTGTGGCCCAAAAGTCTCTACATGATCTTATCCCTTTTATATAAATACTCTAAATAGTCCATCATTCCACCCAGGTCTCATTGCTCTTCCTTGAATGTGTCAAACACTCTCCCACCACAAAGTTTTTGCATTTTGCCTGTAACTAGCTCCCTCACCTCATAACGTTTTTGCACAAATGTCACTTTTTTAGCAAATCTCTCATGCTCCTGTGAAACTGCACTTACTCCTCTCTGGTCCTTTGGAAATTTTTATGTTCCTTCCCTGATTTATTTATTTTTTATAGTAGTCATCACCACTGGACAAACTCTGTGTGTGTGTGTTTGTGTGTGTGTGTGTGTGTGTGTGTGTGTGTATGTGTGTGGTGTATTTTTTTTAACCAATTTATGTGTTTAGTTCTTTTATTCCCAGAGGCCAGAGCAGGGACCATTTTGCCTATTTTTTCTACTGCTACATCCTGAGCATCTACAATCATTTCTGGCTCAGAGATATTCAGTAAGTAAGAGTTATTTTCAACCAATAATTTTGTTGTATTTACTTTAGAAAAAAATCCTAGTTAAATAAACTTCTTCAAGTACCTTATAGTAATATCCTGTTTCTGTGATTGGATAAACTAGATAAGCATTCATTAAAGTAAAGTTGAATAAGCTAATTCTTAAGTTATTGTTATTTTTGAAAATTTTATAAAAACAAGAGCAAGAAGAACTTCAAACACACACACACACACACACACACACACACACACACACACAGCAATACTTTTTGTGTGTCCTGGTAGCTAAAAGGAGAAGAGTTGCAAATGGCTACTGAGATATAATTCCAGTAAGCCTTTTTAAAAAATGTCAGGGTCCACACCTGTAATCCCAGCACTTTGGGAGGCCAAGGCGGGTGGATCACAAGGTCAGGAGATCGAGACCATCCTGGCTAACACGGTGAAACCCTGTCTCTACTAAAAATACAAAAAAAAAAAAAAATTAGCCGGGAGTGGTGCCGGGCACCTGTAGTCCCTGCTACTCTGGAGGCTGAGACAACAGAATGGCGTGAACCCAGGAGGCTGAGCTTGCAGTGAGCCGAGATCACATCACTGCACTGCAGCCTGGGTGACAAAGCGAGACTCCGTCTCAAAAAAAAAAAAAAAAACAAAGTCAGGGTCAACAGAAATCCAGCTCAGTGGTTATGGTATTGAAGTGAAACTCAGCCTCGTCTATAGTCAGCAACACCATAACAGGCACATTTCACTGACCCAGTGCCACAGTACATTCTTTAAAACTGCAAGTCAACCCTGTCTCTAACGAGTAGTCAAGAAAAAGAATTATTATGAAGAACTCTCCATAAATTGAAACAAAACAAAGAGAACAAAACTGCTTTAAAGACTGTTTCTATCAATATTTTGAACTTGGTGTTTCTCCATATTTATTTAGTAGTTGACCTACAGTCTCTCTACTTCCTTCCTATCCTCTCTCTATATAAATATTATTTATATTTGTGGTAATTTCTCCTGGCTTTTTATGCTTTTTGGTCTTAGATATTTTTACACAACAATTTATGTAATTTTAGCAATGAAGTAATTTGGGGTTTTGGAGTAAGTAAATACAATTATGTATCTTGAGACAATAAACAATAATAAAACATTGAATGTGGTTTCATCATTCGTCTTGATAAATATAAAACAAAGCATAATATGTTATTTATTAGCATTTAAAAGGAGGTCTATATTAAATAGTAAGGTATAATGTAATCAGCAGTTAATAAAAATAAATTTCAAATCAGGAAAATAAATACTAAAGTTATAAAAACAATATTAAATAAACAATTCTATTGAGTTTGTTTCCATGGTCCCAGTCTAAGAATATGCAGAAGGAGGTGTAGTGAGTCCCTTAAACTACCTCAAATTATTCCGCAATATTCCAAAAAAGAGAATTCAGAGAAAAACTCAGAATGAATAATTGAACATATAACTCAGCTAATGCATCAGTTTAAAAGGAGCAATGTAAAAAAAAAAATACACACAATAAATAAAAATATGTGTCACTATTTCATGAATCCCTTATCCAGTACATTTAGTGATAATGTTCTTATTAGTACCAGATTGTGCAGAATGCATTTTTAAAAGGTGAAATACATTGTTATCAAGTTATAGCAGCAATGATTCACTTTCTGGAGGTTGTTATAAATGATGAATTATTTTTATAAAAATATACCATATGTTTGTCACAAAGTTAGCTGTAATTGAATTTAAAATGGATATTCTTAGTATTAGGTATGTTATCAGTAAGGGAAAGGCAGCGTATTAGCCTAACTACCTTTTATTTAGAAATGGGAATTTCTTAAAGTCATCATTAAGAAGCTTATTGGCCCAGCCCCATGAAAGGAAACAAAAGAAAAACCAGTGTGAATAAATATGCCACACAAAATTGCTTTTCACATAAGACACAAACACACACACCACACACACACACACACACATACTATGAAACTATAATTTCTGTCATAGCCAAATTAATGGCAGGGATAGTAAATATTATAGAATTACAAAATTAGAAGCTTTTGGACAACCATAAAAATGATGCAGAATTTTAACCCAGCTTTTCTTTGAAGAAAAATAATCATAACATAATATATATTTTATTTTATTTCCCCTTTGTGTTCTCTAAGCAAATATAGAGTTTGGAAACTTTAGAAAGATTTATTTTTTAAGATAAACCAGCAGGACTTTTTTTAAATGAAGGATTGCACTAGGTGAATTAGTAACAGCAGTTAAGATGTCCTTTAAAAACTACTTGTCAGGGGTATCTTAAAGCTCCTTTGAAAGTGAGAGCACCATCAACTTAATAAAATTAGAAATTGAAGAAATAATTTGCAATAAAAATTGTTCTCAGAATATTTGACAATCAATTGACGAATTTCATAGCTTTGTTTTGGCTGTAAATTTCTGCAGCTTTTCCCTAGAATACAATTGAAGATACAATAATCTTTTCATATGTTTCATTAACTAGAGTAATGATAATGCCACCTATGGCATAATATCTTGTGCTCTTTATAAGCCAAGTATACCTGTGACTGTGTGCTAATGCATACTGTGTATAGATATGCATTTATGTATCTATCTGTCTCTTCCATCCCTCTATCTACCCACACTGCATAGGTACAAGGTAGATAGACGGATAGAAGAGACAGATAGTTATGTGCATGTACATGTGTGTTAATTGATCAATACACTTTGTATTTTTATCCTAAAAGCAAAACAAAAACATGGTCGACACATAGTCAGTAAGTATTTACTTTGGTCATCTGGTATTGATAAAATCATAGTAATTCTTTTCTGCTCCGAATGAGATATTGGCTTTGATTACTGGTACATAATTTATTAATTACAAATTGTTGTCAATTTGTAACTAAAAAGGCATTAAAAAATAGACATGAAAGCCTGAAAGCATGACTCATCAGTTTTCATACATTGGTATCCTATTATTTCTAATTACTAGATAACATTAGAAAGATACATGCCAGTCATGACATTTTAGACATGACACAGATGAAAATACACAATACCTTAAATTATTGTATGAGATAGATTTTACAATGCGCATACAATACAACTGAAGGAGTCAAAAGTAAATATTGGTACATGTGATTTTTATTTTGGAATTCATTCAAGATTGTATGTCTACCATAGTAATATGTTTATAAAGATATGGATAGAGATGCTTTTCATATGTGTACACTGTTTTATACCAGTTTCTATTAAGTGGGTGTTATTTTTATGAATATTCTTTCTTTGAAAATGGTGTCAGGAAATTAGAGTATATGACTGTGTTTGTGTGTATGTATTTGTATCGATCATTAAGGAGTTATACATTGATTTCTATTTGTTTGTATTTTTATTGTTGTTTTCTGGAGTTGATGTACTACATTGTAAAATACTTTTTCAGTGTTAATGATGTTCATCATATGATGTACTTTTACATGTGTTGCATTCCTGAAATAAACTCTTCTTGTTTATATTATTTTACTCTTTTGATATATTCCTGGATAAATTCTATAACTAGTTAGTTAGGACTCCTACACTTATTATTGACATGAAATACAGAGCATAATATTAAACACATTTCCCTGCCATCCCTAAACTGTTTCTTTTTCTTTTTCTTTTTTTTTTAAATTATACTTTAAGTTTTAGGGTACATGTGCACAACATGCAGGTTTGTTACATATGTATACATGTGCCACGTTGGTGTGCTTGCACCCATTAACTCGTCATTTAACATTAGGTATATCTCCTAATGCTATCCCTCCCCTCTCCCCCTACCCCAAAACAGGCCCCGGTGTGTGATGTTCCCCTTCCTGTGTCCATGTGTTCTCATTTTGCAATTCCCACCTAAGAGTGAGAACAAGCGGTGTTTGGTTTTTTTGTCCTTGCGACAGTTTGCTGAGAATGATGGTTTCCAGCTTCATCATTTTTTATGGCTGCATAGTATTCCATGGCGTATATGTGCCACATTTTCTTAATCCAGTCTATCATTGTTAGACATTTGGGTTGGTTCCAAGTCTTTGCTATTGTGAATAGTGCCGCAATAAACGTACGTGTGCATGTGTCTTTATAGCAGCTTGATTTATAATCCTTTCAGTATACACCCAGTAATGGGATTGCTGGGTCAAATGGTATTTCTAGTTCTAGATCCCTGAGGAATTGCCACACTGACTTCCACGATGGTTGAACTAGTTTACAGTCCCAGAGGGAAACAGGAGAGCAGAAGGAAAGGCCTTCGTAGTGTTGGGTAGAGGTGGTTGCTTCTCTGCTGAGCGCCCTACCAAGAGTAATAACTACTTCTTTATCCTTTCTTTCTTTTTTTTTGTTGAGAATACATTACCATTCTGATTTTTTTATGGAAGATGATTTCATCCATATTTGCTTTGTATAATGCAAATGATGCTGAATTCTTCCTTTCAGGTGCCTATAAGTATCCTGCCACTAAGAGGAAGTGGTGGTCAATGTGTGCTTCCTGATCTAATATCACCATCATCTGACTAATTGTTTGAAATGCAAACTATTGGGACCCGCTCTAGCTCTGGTACTGGGGCTCTATAATCCGTCTTCTAACAAGTCCTTAGGGTAACTCTGACCCATACATAATGAAAGTTGAGATCATTTGGGGGATGAGCATGTGTCAGAAAATCATAGAGAGTCAACCCTGAAATCTCTGAAGGAACTAAAATGAAAGACATTTTTTTCTGCTTGTGTGGATAATGTTTTATGTCTCTAAACCAGGAGCTGCTAATTGGCTATCTTTATCTCATTTAAGAAGGCTGCTTGGAAATAAAACCAAACAGAATGAAACCACACAGGGCTTAAGGAAGATGAAGAAGACTGACTTTTATTCATCTGTGGTAAAAACACTTAACATGATATTTGCCATCTTAACAAAATTTTAAGTGTACAATATATTATTGTTGACGATAGATACAATGTTGTACACCAGACATCTAGAGCTTCTTCCTCTTGCTTGACTGCAACTTTATGGCCTTTGATTAGTACAGTAACTTTCTGTTTCCCCCTCCCCACAGCCCCTGGTACTACTATTCTACTCTGTTTCTATAGATTTGACTATTTCAGATACACACTATAACTAGAATCATGCAGTAATTGTCTTTCTGTGACGGGCTTATTTCATTTAGCATATGTCCTCAAGTTTCAACTGTCATGTCTCATATCACGAAATTTCCTTCTTTTTTAAGGCTAAATATATTCCATGATTTGTATCTAACATATTTTCTTTATTCCTCTGGATGGATATTTAGGTTGTTTCCACATCTCGGCTGTTGCGAATACTGCTGCCATGAACATTAGAAGTGCTAATATCCCGTGAACATCCTGATTTCAATTATTTTGGATAAATACCCAGAAGTAAGATTGCTGGATCATATGGTAATTTTATTTTAAAATTTTTTGAGGAACCTCCATATTGTTTTCCTTAGTGGCTGCACCATTTTGCATTCCTACCAACACCGTGCAGAGGTTTTAAATATTCCGGGAGAAAGATCTCGGTAACACTGTTTAACCATCTGATATCACTTAGTGTCTAAAGAATTACCACTACTCTTTTGCGTTATGAGATTTTTTCTTAAGACAATTTGAGTTGGATTTCTCTCAGTCAGAACATGACACATCATATTACTGTATCTCTTGCTTATAAATTTGATTCATTTTTATTTTATTTATACATATCAGAGATTTAATGAGACAAAAGTCAGAGTACATGTCAGACTTATATCTTAACGCACCTACATTTTTGATACTTTCATCATTTGATTCATTTTTATTCTCATGTATATTTTGTTTTATCCCAAAGGGCCAACTTAACGCCCGTAAGTTGAAACTTAAAGAAACAAGACTATTGTCTGAGAATTGTTCTATGAAATCAGCACAACAAAACGAAGATATGCAAGCTCCTATTAAAGAGATCAGTGAATCCCAGGCAATGAGTACTGTTCTATGACTTGACAGAATTTGTTACATATGTTAAGAAATAACATATCCCTACCATTAAAAAATGTTTGGATGCTTTTGGTGATACAAAAAATAGCTATCATAGAAGCAAATATTGACAGGACTTGGGCAAGTACTCTCTGAGAAGGTGTCAACTCTTCTGTCAGGTGGTAGGTGTGTCTCTATTATGAGTATAGTTGAATATCTGGATATAATGTCATTAGTATATTAAAACCATGCCAGTAATTCCACTTGTATTGGTTGTTTCTACATCTAAGTGTATAAGCAGCCTTCTGATTATAATTTGTAAGTTCAATAAATAAATAAAACATGCTAGTAAACTTAGAAATATGAAAGCCCCAGAAATCGTTTTGGGACTCCCAGACCTTTCATCAGTCTTAAAATGAAGAAAACATGAGTTTGCTCCAGATAGAAAGCTGTTTGTTGGTGGAAGTGGGGAGGGGTGATTAGTAATATTTTGGAAGAGAAATAAGTAGTAGCTGTTTCACAGTCTCCAAACCCAACTTTGCTTAGGTGTCATTGCTAGACCCACATGAAATATTAACACTCTTCAAGCTGATAAATGGCCCTGAGCTAACATGAAACTCATCTGATTTACTTAGTCTTATTAAGATGACGGTTCTATTCAAAGGCTTCTTATGGAGCCTTAGCTATATCTGAAAGTTGGGTTCAAATCCTTGGCAAATTAGCAGAATATTTAAGTCAGCAGGGAGCAACCTGCCAAGCTCACCTTCCTTAATTTTTTTTTTTGTTTGGTTTGCTTCTGGAACCCCACACTGTGGTTTTGGGAAAGGGACAATAGATATGTCTGGAATAAGGGTGAAACATATATGCCCACTCTTTTAATATCTGACGAATTTGCAACTAAGTTATTCACATAATCACACTTAGGAAATTACTTCTATGGTTCTAAGAGTGACAGACTCATCCTGGGAAGTTTGAGCCAGAAATGTGAATCATAAAAATGTACAAACCCTGATGGCCCTGAAGAGATACACGGGGTAGAAATTCTGTTGTATTTATTTTTTCTCACTTCCCACATTCATCATCTGTCTTCATCAATACCATTACTGACATCCCTAAACTCTCCCTGCGTGGGTGGTGCAGAAAGGTGATTTTCTTCTATTCCTTTACCCAAGCTTTAGTGGAGGGTTCTTTTGGAGATTCTGAAAGGGTCAAGATATAGAGAGACTATGTAGCTGCCCCTGGGTCAATAACAAAGTGCCTTTACACCAAGAAAATGAGAAACAGAATTGTAAATCCAGAACATATTATAATTCCCTGCATTTTAAAATAAAAATGAAACTTTTTCCCCTAAAGTAATGTTCAAGTAAGAAGTCTGGAAATAGAAATGCATTCAAAATACATATGAAGAAGCGCTGAATAGATTAACTCACTTCACACTTTGACTTGGGGCTTAAGTTCTGGGTCTGAAATATTAAAGGAAGCCAGTTGTACAAACATAGCAAAGATTTAATGAGATAAAAGTCAAAGTACATGTCAGACTTATGTCTGAACGCACCTACATTTTTGATACTTTCATCATTCAAGGAAAATGATTTATTCCAATGCATTTCCAGCAGTATATATGAAAGAATACATATAAGCCTTTGAAGTTACTATTTTCCACAAATACCATTTCCAACATGAAGCTGTGAAAGCCTTTGCACTATGTCATGACATATATTGTGATTATAACAAAAAATATGGCAGCTTCTATACAAAGTGGAGGAGACAAAAAATACAACTAAGTCTGCAAAGTATTTGCTTTTTTTTTCAGCATCTCTTTTCTAGATATTTTAGATCCCAAAACTAAGTAATTAGTTTATATGTTAAACGTTGTATACATGTATCACAATATCATATCTATCTCAACAAATCTACAATGTAACTATAATCAATAATTAATTTTTAATCAAAAAGAATGATATCTCAAACGTAGAATATGAATAAGAAATGCTTATGATAGTGCTTGTTAATGCCTCTTCATGTATGTTTCTTTGTCTAGCATATTTATGTTCTAAAAATGGTAATAATTTTCTAAAAGAAGAAAATCTTCATTTCCTTTGCATATGTATTTCTCCCTACAATTCACTATTTTATTCATCAGTTACAATATAAACATTGGGTTTCGAGAATTAAGGTGTTTACAGATACAAAAGTTATGTGAAAAGTCAGAAGTCCAAGTGTTGGGAAAAAGCAGAAACTGAGGTTCACAGCACCTCTCCTCAATAATCTGTGATAAATGAGGCTTTCTGACCCTTAAAATTTCAGCTGTGAAAAAATAATTTACTTGTTACTTTTTTTGACACTAAACTAGCAAAAAATGAAATACTACATGTAAATGCTTTTTTGTTTTAACAATACTTTATTCACAAATGTTTTAACAAATTCTTGTGGTACACATGCAGAAATACTAAAATAATACATTTGGGAAAGCAGTGTAATGAAAAATGTTATTTGCTAGCACTTGAGTATCAGATAAATAATTCAGTTTTCATTGTGATGATTATTTACAAATTAAGATCAAAACTAAAAGATAAAAAATATTTTATTTAGAATCACTATCACTCCCTTTAGTATTTTTAGTATCATATAGTCAGAGAGAGGTTCAGAACATTTCTGAGGTTGCATTCAGCCCCTACGTACAGGAAGCATCATCGTCAGTTATTCCAAGAAGGCATATAATGAATGAGGGTAATCAGAAGGGATTAACTACAGACAATATGTATACATCCATGCATTTATTTACATAGGCCTAATTAGAAATTCTAGGTAATGCCTGGCAGAAGTAAAGCTGGAGTCTTTTGTCTTCCAATGCTCATTAATTACATAAAATGATGCTGTGCCATTCAATAAATTACAGTAAAGGGTAAGAAGATATATGAACATACATTTTTATAGGAAATTTATTTTAAAACAATTCAATTATAAGTTATAGCCCATGTTTTTAATTTTTTCGAACTTTAAAAATCTGTATCGATATCCTGTCCATATTCCCTTTATAACAAATAAGTTTTATATATATACATGTCCAGAAAAATAGATACAGAAATATTTATATATAAACTGATATCTATTATACCAACATATTAAATATAACTGAAAATGATTCTTCTGAGTATGCCCAGTTTTCAGATTACCAGCTTAAAATAAAAGATCCTATCAAACTGTGTAAAAAAATACTCTAAAATATTGAATCAAAAATTTGTCCTAAGTCTCTAAAATCACTATTCATAGTTTTTTTTTTTTTATCATTTTTACTTTCTGGAAGTTAATATATTAAGTGTTATTTTATTCATAAATATGTACATTTTTGGCCGGCCATGGTGGCTTATGCCTGTAATCCCAGCAATTTGGGAGGACAAGACGGGCAGATTGCCTGAGGTTAGGAGTTTGAGACCAGCCTGGCCAACATGGTGAAACCCCATCTCTACTAAAAATACAAAAATTGGGCATGGTAGCCCGTGTCTATAATCCCAGGCTGAGGCAGGAGGATAGCTTGAACCCATGAGGTGGAGGTTGCAGTGAGCCGAGATCACACCACTGCACTCCAGCCTGGGCGACAGAACAAGACTCCATCTCAAAAAAAAAAAAAAAAAAAAGTACATTTTCCTTTTAATATTAAATAAATTTTCAGTATCTTACATTTTAACCTGTAAATGCACTGAAGTTGGTTTTGTTTTTCCTTTCTTGTTGAAAATAACCACTTTCTTGTCGGGATAACCACTGTCAACCAGTGGAATATAGGTCTCTTTCTTTTTAAGTAGATATTTCACAGGTAGTTAGTATAAAACCCCAAAGGGAACTTTCCTGGGCAAACAACCCAACTAGCAACGGCTAGGGGTGTTTTATTACTTACCTCTATATTCCTATGTCATGTGTGGGGGACCTTTACAGTCCTCTGCTCTATAGTGTTTTGATGATTTTGTTAGTGTTTTATTTCCTTTTGTTCTGTCATTTCCATTTCATTTTATAGCCTTTATAACAATAGCAAGAGAAATAATCCAGAATTGAGTACTTTTAACCATGTTAATAACTCCAGTAGCTTTAGTTAAAATGCATTTTTACATTTCAATTTTGGATTTTTTCAGTTAAAAAAGAGCTGAGCCATTTATTCAGGAATATAATTCCTGAGTATTGTGTTGAAAAGGAAGTGTTGATGAGGGTATGTATCTCATCATTAACTTTTTATTGTGCTAAATCCATACTTTTTTCAAACATAATATGTAGTACTGCTTCATTAGTTGAATCATATAAACTAGAAATGTAAAGTTTTCATTACCACCTAATTTCTCTGAAAAGACACTGTTTCAACGATAGCAACAGCTAATATGTGTGTGGAAGGTAAAATTCATCAATTTCCTTTGATATAATTTGACATTTTCTCCTATCCTTTTTCTGTAATGTGCAGTTTTTACCCTTTTTTCTGATTATTAAAAACAAATATAGATTTATATGAAAAATGGTTTGCTTTGAATATTTCTGAAGAAATGCTCATTAGAATAAAAATTGTTTAGTGTGGCATTTATTACTTGTGTAACCATTTTAGCCATAAGTGTCAAAACACGTTTGTAAAATAAAGGGAATCCAGCTGTGGGTGGCAATAATATTCATACAGTTTTGCATTACAGCCCACTGCCATATCTACAAGACACAGCCACTTAGTATGTTATGAAAATAATTGCAATACATATTTACAAGATTATTCTACTATCCATGTTGTCTTGATCAGGTCCAGCCATAAATGCCTCTTTCCAGTATTTAGCTGAGATGCTGTGATTAATTACACTTTTCTTTCTTTTCTTTATGCAACTGAGCAGTTCCAGTTCCATCTAAGAAAATGCATCTGGTTCCCCAACAGCTACTTTACTTCTGAACCTTACTTTGTACCAATTCATGGTTTCTGATCAGAAGATTGGGAAAATGTAAGTAAAAATAGAACTACCATATGATCCAGCAATCCCTCTGCTGAGTATTTACCCAAAAGAAAGGAAATCAGTACATCAAAGAGATACCTGCACCCACATGTTTATTGCAGCACTATTCACAATAATCATGTGAATAACCTAAGCGTCCATCAATAGATGAACGGGTAAAGGAAACGTGGTACATTTATAAAAGGAGATATTATTCAATCACAAAAAAAGAATAAATTTCTGTTATTTGCAGCAACACGAATGAAACTGGAGATCATTATGTTAAGTGAAGGAAGCCTGGCACAGAAACACAAATACCGCATGTTTTCACTCAGAGGTGGAAACTGAAAAAGTGGATCTCATGGTGGTAAAGGGTAGAGTGGTGGTTACTAGAGGCTGGGAAGGGTGGAGGAAGGAGAGGGGTGAAGAAAAGTTGGGGACCAGGTAAAAGAACCAGTTAGAAGGATTAAGCTAGTATTCAATAATATAGCAGGGAGACTATAGTTAGCTATAATTTATTGTATATTTCAAAAATGTCTAGAAGAAAATAATTGAAATGTTCCCAACACAAAGAAAAGATACATGTTTGTGGTGATGCATATCCCAGTTACCCTGATTTTATCATCACATATTGTATACATGTATCAACATATCACATCTACCCCCAAAATATGTACAACTATTGTATATCAATAGAAAAGAATAAGAAAATATGATGACACATGAATACAAGTCAAATATCATCCCCTTCCTTACTGTAGAATAGACTTTAAAGATCTTTCAAATTAAAAGAAATGGCAAAATGTCACACTCCTACTGCAGCAAAAATAACAAGAGAATCTGACAAATATAATTTTACTGTTATGCCAAAAAGACATATTATAATTCAGAGTACCTGTAGAACCACAGTCTATAAATATAAAGGATCTACTTTAGCATCTTAGCAGAAAATCATTGATTATTTTCTTTAATTTCCTTTAGTGATTGTCCTATTAATAAACATTATATGATGAGCTTAGTTTTTCATAGTTTAATGAAAAAGATATGCTTGAACTCAGTATTTTTAAGATTAAGCAGAAGAATTCTAAGTAGATGGGATTATCTCATCAACAAATGGATATATCAAGAACCTATTATTAGATGATTAAAAAACATTGATTAAATTTAAAGGAGACATTCATTTTCTCCAATTACCAATAATTAAAAATGTATGGATGTTTTAAGTCAATCATCAATTTCTGTTCTTAGGAAAACAGCAAAATATCCAAATTGGAATGCTCCAATTAATTTTGGATCATGAATACACCATTTAATATTATCCATAAATAAATATAATAAATTTAAATAGGATGCCCCAATTTATTTATTATTATATACCACAGCAAAATGAAATTTGCATAGACTTTGATAATATGGACAGTTGGGAATTCTGTTTCAAATGCCTCTCATCTACACTTTCCTTATCCTCTTTCCCTGACTGATATCCCTGGATGTCAAAACAACTTTGTGCACTGGAATCAGCACACGTATATCAGACTCTATGTGCTTAACTTAATGCTTTTCTGACTTTCTCGTCAGAGTTTTCCTACAGGGGTTGCATTTCTTCAGGATGAGGACTGAAGGGAATCTTAGTTCATGATACTCCAAGAAAGCTTAGCGGAGGGGCTGGGCGCAGTGGCTCACGCCTGTAATCCCAGCACTTTGGGAGGCCGAGGCAGGTGGATCACTTGAGCTCAGGACCAGCCTGAGCAACATGCTTGAAATCTCATTTCTACAAAAATACAAAAATTAGCTGGTTGTAGTGATGCTTGCCTGTAGTCCCAGCTACTTGGGAGGCTGAAGTGGGAGGCTTGACAGAGCCTGGGAGGTAGAGGCTGCAGTGGGCCCGGATCGTGCCAATGCACTCCAGCCTGGGTGACAGAGTGAGACTCTGTCTCTATAAAAAAGAAAATAAATTTTTAAAAAAGATACAGGTGGTGTGATATATTGTTTACTCCTTCTCAGGACCAACAGCATTTTATCTGAATGGCATTGTTCACTAATGATAGAAAAACTATAACAGAGGTATTAGTGACTCTTAAAATTGTACCTTTACTCTTTGAATTACTGGAATATATTAGGAATAATTTGTTAAGGAATATCAATAACTAAAGAACTAGAAGAATGTCCAAGTGCAAATTTTGAATAACTAAAAGTGGCTATAGCATTGACATAAAAAAATCATTGAATAGTTTTAGTACAAATTCTGCATGTTTATATGCCATTAACATGGTATATAAATATTATGAGTACCAACCTGTTGATTAAGAAAAAAATATCATTCTCACAAAACATGATTATATTATCTAAATGTTACTTTGAAGTGGCTATAATTAATTGAGTTATATTACAAGTTTGGATTGTTAACCATAAGAAGTATAAGTCTGATAATGTTTGTTCCAGCTTGTATTCTTTCAAAATCTATAAAATGGCGAACAGGGTAAGATGGTTAATACTTATACAGACATCTCTTTCCACTGTAACATAAACTGATTTTTTTTTTTAAGAATGTAGACTTCTGTCATTTATAACTTGGGTCTTTAGCATTTAATTTTATAGGGTGCTTTAATGATTAAAAAAAAAGACATTTCCAAATTTTACAAATAATTCCAAATTTTAAAACCCACGTCAAAAGAATAAGGATAATTTATATATTATACAGTTGTTATTGGTTTTGGGTCTTTTTTTTATCACCAGTTTTTCTTTCAATCTGTTTGCCTGATTCTACTTTGCCATTGTGTGACATGTTTCTCCCCTGTGGTACAAAACCTACTTTCAAAACATTGAAAAATCTGCGCATATGGGTAAAAAATTAGCGCAATTCAGATTATTAAAAAGATGAAGGTAAAAAATGTAAAGGGGAGAAGGATAAACAACGGTTTAACAACAGTTTTTTAAAGTGTTTTGCTCTGTTTTGTTTTTGGTTGGAGCAAAGCAGTAGATTACTAAAAAGCTTTATGCTAGCTAAGTGTTTCTAGAAAAGAAATATACTATTTTAAAAGGGAAAGGACAATTGACTTATAATAAAGCTTGCAGAATACATTATTCATGTATTCATATTTATTATATTGATATATTAAAAATCTTCACAATTATTGTTCATATTCCAAAAATCAAAGCCATTGCCAGTATTTCAAAATCATATCCAAATATAGAAAATAGTCACGTTGTTTGTCTTTGATGCTTTGACTATTATTTTAATCTACAGCAAACTGCAGTCTGCCTAAATACTGAACACTTACAAGATATTGATATGGTTTACAATGCAGTCATACACTCATTATGGTTTTTAACAAATAGAAAAGCATTTTAATATAATACAAGGAGTTATAAATGCTTACATGTTAAGATCCTTCAAAGGAGATTTGTTTCTAATTGCTAGACTTCCTATTCTTCTTCATTTTCAAAAGTCTATGGCAAACTTTCGAGTCAAATATTTGTAAAATAACATTGGCAAGCTTCCTATTCATGGATTTTTCTACCGTCCTCAGTTACATTAGACCTTTGGCTTGTACAAAATGCTTAACAATAATTTATTTTCTGTGTCCTATAACATTATGTGCAAGAGCTTAGCAACTAAGCTTATAATGTTTACTTTTAAGATTGGATGAGGTCATGAAAATAGAAGTAAGATGATCTTTCATAGATCACATTTCAAGGTGAAAGCCAGCATCAGATGATAGAATATTTGATCACAAGACCATACTGCTGAGTTTCTCTCTTTTATAACCCTGGATCATCTATGGCTTAAATAATATACAGTAGTTTCAAAGTATAATTTCTACCCTGTATAAATGTCTTAAAAATATGATCATCATCACTGTGGTTGCACAAAATAGTTAATGATTTCAGAAAAAGTTTTGGTCCTTAGCTTTCACCTCATTTTCTTTTTTTTTTTTCTTTTTTCTTTTTATTTATTTATTTATTTATTATTATACTTTAAGTTTTAGGGTACATGTGCACAATGTGCAGGTTAGTTACATATGTATACATGTGTCATGCTGGTGCGCTGCACCCACTAACTCGTCATCTAGCATTAGGTATATCTCCCAATGCTATCCCTCCTCCCTCCCCCCACCCCACAACAGTCCCCAGAGTGTGATGTTCCCCTTCCTGTGTCCATGTGTTCTCATTGTTCAATTCCCACCTATGAGTGAGAATATGTGGTGTTTGGTTTTTTGTTCTTGCAATAGTTTACGGAGAATGATGATTTCCAATTTCATCCATGTCCCTACAAAGGACATGAACTCATCATTTTTTATGGCTGCATAGTATTCCATGGTGTATATGTGCCACATTTTCCTAATCCAGTCTATCGTTGTTGGACATTTGGGTTGGTTCCAAGTCTTTGATATTGTGAATAGTGCCGCAATAAACATACGTGTTCATGTGTCTTTATAGCAGCATGATTTATAGTCCTTTGGGTATATACCCAGTAATGGGATGGCTGGGTCAAATGGTATTTCTAGTTCTAGATCCCTGAGGAATCGCCACACTGACTTCCACAATGGTTGAACTAGTTTACAGTCCCACCAACAGTGTAAAAGTGTTCCTATTTCTCCACATCCTCTCCAGCACTTGTTTCCTGCCTTTTTAATGATTGCCATTCTAACTGGTGTGAGATGGTATCTCACTGTGGTTTTGATTTGCATTTCTCTGATGGCCAGTGATGGTGAGCATTTTTTCGTGTGTTTTTTGGCTGCATAAATGTCTTCTTTTGAGAAGTGTCTGTTCATGTCCTTCTCCCACTTTTTGATGGGTTTGTTTGTTTTTTTTCTTGTAAATTTGTTTGAGTTCATTATAGATTCTGGATATTAGCCCTTTGTCAGATGAGTAGTTTGTGAAAATTTTCTCCCATTTTGTAGGTTGCCTGTTCACTCTGATGGTAGTTTCTTTTGCTGTGCAGAAGCTCTTTAGTTTAATTAGATCCCATTTGTCAGTTTTGGCTTTGGTTGCCATTGCTTTTGATGTTTTAGACATGAAGTCCTTGCCCATGCCTATGTCCTGAATGGTAATGCCTAGGTTTTCTTCTAGGGTTTTTATGGTTTTAGGTCTAACGTTTAAGTCTTTAATCCATCTTGAATTAATTTTTGTATAAGGTGTAAGGAAGGGATCCAGTTTCAGCTTTCTACATATGGCTAGCCAGTTTTCCCAGCACCATTTATTAAATAGGGAATCCTTTTCCCATTGCTTGTTTTTCTCAGGTTTGTCAAAGATCAGATAGTTGTAGATATGTGGCGTTATTTCTGAGGGCTCTGTTCTGTTCCATTGATCTATATCTCTGTTTTGGTAACAGTACCATGCTGTTTTGGTTACTGTAGCCTTGTAGTATAGTTTGAAGTCAGGTAGTGTGATGCCTCTGGCTTTGTTCTTTTGGCTTAGGATTGACTTGGCGATGTGGGCTCTTTTTTGGTTCCATATGAACTTTAAAGTAGTTTTTTCCAATTCTATGAAGAAAGTCATTGGTAGCTTGATGGGGATGGCATTGAATCTGTAAATTACCTTGGACAGTATGGCCATTTTCACGATATTGATTCTTCCTACCCATGAGCATGGAATATTCTTCCATTTGTTTGTATCCTCTTTTGTTTCATTGAGCAGTGGTTTGTAGTTCTCCTTGAAGAGGTCCTTCACATCCCTTGTAAGTTGGATTCCTAGGTATTTTATTCTCTTTGAAGCAATTGTGAATGGGAGTTCACTCATGATTTGGCTCTCTGTTAGTCTGTTGTTGGTGTATAAGAATGCTTGTGATTTTCGTACGTTGATTTTGTATCTGAGACTTTGCTGAAGTTGCTTATCAGCTTAAGGAGATTTTGGGCTGAGACAATGGGGTTTTCTAGATACACAATCATGTCATCTGCAAACTGGGACAATTTGACTTCCTCTTTTCCTAATTGAATACCCTTTATTTCCTTCTCCTGCCTAATTGCCCTGGCCAGAACTTCCAACACTATGTTGAATAGGAGTGGTGAGAGAGGGCATCCCTGTCTTGTGCCAGTTTTCAAAAGGAATGCTTCCAGTTTTTGCCCATTCAGTATGATATTGGCTGTGGGTTTGTCATAGATAGCTCTTATTATTTTGAAATACGTCCCATCAATACCTAATTTATTAAGAGTTTTTAGCATGAAGGGTTGTTGAATTTTGCCAAAGGGCTTTTCTGCATCTATTGAGGTAATCATGTGGTTTTTGTCTTTGGTTCTGTTTATATGCTGGATTACATTTATTGATTTGTGTATATTGAACCAGCCTTGCATCCCAGGGATGAAGCCCACTTGATGATGGTGGATAAGCTTTTTGATGTGCTGCTGGATTCGGTTTGCCAGTATTTTATTCAGGATTTTTGCATCAATGTTCATCAAGGATATTGGTCTAAAATTCTCTTTTTTGGTTGTGTCTCTGCCAGGCTTTGGTATTGGGATGATGCTGGCCTCATAAAATGAGTTAGGAAGGATTCCCTCTTTTTCTATTGATTGGAATAGTTTCAGAACGAATGGCACCAGTTCCTCCTTGTACCTCTGGTAGAATTTGGCTGTGAATCCATCTGGACCTGGACTCTTTTTGGTTGGTAAGCTATTGATTATTGCCACAATTTCAGAGCCTGTTATTGGTCTATTCAGAGATTCAACTTCTTCCTGGTTTAGTCTTGGGAGAGTGTATGTGTCGAGGAATTTATCCATTTCTTCTAGATTTTCTAGTTTATTTGCGTAGAGGTGTTTGTAGTATTCTCTGATGGTAGTTTGTATTTCTGTGGGATCGGTGGTGATATTCCCTTTATCATTTTTTATTGCGTCTATTTGATTCTTCTCTCTTTTTTTCTTTATTAGTCTTGCTAGTGGTCTATCAATTTTGTTGATCCTTTCAAAAAACCAGCTCCTGGATTCATTAATTTTTTGAAGGGTTTTTTGTGTCTCTATTTCCTTCAGTTCTGCTCTGATTTTAGTTATTTCTTGCCTTCTGCTAGCTTATGAATGTGTTTGCTCTTGCTTTTCTAGTTCTTTTAAATGTGATGTTAGGGTGTCAATTTTAGATCTTTCCTGCTTTCTCTTGTGGGCATTTAGTGCTATAAATTTCCCTCTACACACTGCTTTGAATGTGTCCCAGAGATTCTGGTATGTTGTGTCTTTGTTCTCGTTGGTTTCAAAGAACATCTTTATTTCTGCCTTCATTTCATTATGTACCCAGTAGTCATTCAGGAGCAGGTTGTTCAGTTTCCATGTAGTTGAGCGGTTTTGAGTGAGATTCTTAATCCTGAGTTCTAGTTTGATTGCACTGTGGTCTGAGAGATAGTGTGTTATAATTTCTGTTCTTTTATATTTGCTGAGGAGAGCTTTACTTCCAAGTATGTGGTCAATTTTGGAATAGGTGTGGTGTGGTGCTGAAAAAAACATATATTCTGTTGAATTGGGGTGGAGAGTTCTGTAGATGTCTATTAGGTCCACTTGGTGCAGAGCTGAGTTCAATTCCTGGGTATCCTTGTTGACTTTCTGTCTCGTTGATCTGTCTAACGTTGACAGTGGGGTGTTAAAGTCTCCCATTATTAATGTGTGGGAGTCTAAGTCTCTTTGTAGGTCACTCAGGACTTGCTTTATGAATCTGGGTGCTCCTGTATTGGGTGCATATATATTTAGGATAGTTAGCTCTTCTTGTTGAATTGATCCCTTTACCATTATATAATGGCCTTCTTTGTCTTTTGATCTTTGTTGGTTTAAAGTCTGTTTTATCAGAGACTAGGATTGCAACCCCTGCCTTTTTTAGTTTTCCATTTGCTTGGTAGATCTTCCTCCATCCTTTTATTTTGAGCCTATGTGTGTCTCTGCATGTGAGATGGGTTTCCTGAATACAGCACACTGATGGGTCTTGACTCTTTATCCAATTTGCCAGTCTGTGTCTTTTAATTGGAGCATTTAGTCCATTTACATTTAAAGTTAATATAGTTATGTGTGAATTTGATCCTGTCATTATGATGTTAGCTGGTTATTTTGCTCATTAGTTGATGCAGTTTCTTCCTAGTCTTGATGGTCTTTACATTTTGGCATGATTTTGCAGTGGCTCGTATCGGTTGTTCCTTTCCATGTTTAGCGCTTCCTTCAGGAGCTGTTTTAGGGCAGGCCTGGTGGTGACAAAATCTCTCAGCATTTGCTTGTCTGTAAAGTATTTTATTTCTCCTTCACTTATGAAGCTTAGTTTGGCTGGATATGAAATTCTGGGTTGAAAATTCTTTTATTTAAGAATGTTGAATATTGGCCCCCACTCTCTTCTGGCATGTAGAGTTTCTGCTGAGAGATCTGCTGTTAGTCTGATGGGCTTCCCTTTGAGGGTAACCCGACCTTTCTCTCTGGCTGCCCTTAACATTTTTTCCTTCATTTCAACTTTGGTGAATCTGATAATTATGTGTCTTGGAGTTGCTCTTCTCAGGGAGTATCTTTGTGGCATTCTCTGTATTTCCTGAATCTGAATGTTGGCCTGCCTTGCTAGATTGGGGAAGTTCTCCTGGATAATATCCTGCAGAGTGTTTTCCAACTTGGTTCCATTCTCCCCGTCACTTTCATGTACACCAATCAGACGCAGATTTGGTCTTTTCACATAGTCCCATATTTCTTGGAGGCTTTACTCGTTTCTTTTTATTCTTTTTTCTCCGAACTTCCCTTCTCTCTTTGTTTCATTCATTTCATCTTCCATCGCTGATACCCTTTCTTCCAGTTGATCGCATCGGCTCCTGAGGCTTCTGCATTCTTCATGTAGTTCTCGAGCCTTGGTTTTCAGCTCCATCAGCTCCTTTAAGCACTTCTCTGTATTGGTTACTCTAGTTATACATTCTTCTAAATTTTTTTCAAAGTTTTCAACTTCTTTGCCTTTGGTTTGAATGTCCTCCTGTAGCTTGGAGTAATTTGATCGTCTGAAGCCTTCTTCTCTCAGCTCGTCAAAGTCATTCTCCGTCCAGCTTTGTTCTGTTGCTGGTGAGGAACTACGTTCCTTTGGAGGAGGAGAGGCGCTCTGCTTTTTAGAGTTTCCAGTTTTTCTGCTCTGTTTTTTCCCCATCTTTGTGGTTTTATCTACTTTTGGTCTTTGATGATGGTGATGTACAGATGGGTTTTTGGTGTGGATGTCCTTTCTGTTTGTTAGTTTTCCTTCTAACAGAGAGGACCCTCAGCTGCAGGTCTGTTGGAGTACCTGGCCGTGTGAGGTGTCAGTCTGCCCCTGCTGGGGGGTGCCTGCCAGTTAGGCTGCTCAGGGGTCAGGGGTCAGGGACCCACTTGAGGAGGCAGTCTGCCCGTTCTCAGATCTCCAGCTGCGTGCTGGGAGAACCACTGCTCTCTTCAAAGCTGTCAGACGGGGACATTTAAGTCTGCAGAAGTTACTGCTGTCTTTTTGTTTGTCTGTGCCCTGCCCCCAGAGGTGGAGCCTCCAGAGGCAGGCAGGCCTCCTTGAGCTGTGGTGGGCTCCACCCAGTTTGAGCTTCAGGGCTGCTTTGTTTACCTAATCAAGCCTGGACAATGGCGGGCGCCCCTCCCCCAGCCTCGCTGCCGCCTTGCAGTTTGATCTCAGACTGCTGTGCTAGCAATCAGCGAGACTCCGTGGGCGTGGGACCCTCCGAGCCACGTGAGGGATTTAATCTCCTGGTGTGCCGTTTTTTAAGCCCTTCGGCAAAGCGCAGTATTTGGGTGGGAGTGACCCGATTTTCCAGGTGCCGTCCATCACCCCTTTCTTTGACTAGGAAAAGGAACTCCCTGACCCCTTGTGCTTTCCGAGTGAGGCAATGCCTCGCCCTGCTTCAGCTCGCGCACGGTGCGCGCACCCACTGACCTGCGCCCACTGTCTGGCACTCCCTAGTGAGATGAACCCGGTACCTCAGATGGAAATGCAGAAATCACCTGTCTTCTGTGTCGCTCACGCTGGGAGCTGCAGACCGGAGCTGTTCCTATTAGGCCATCTTGGCTCCTCCCCTCTCACCTCTCATTTTCAAAGGGATATCAATCTCTTTAAGTTCTTAAGTACTTCCACTTGAGTTAGAATATGAGCTTCCATTTGATGTTTTTAGACTCCTTCTTCGTCTTTGACTGCATGAATAGCTGTAATGATTGTAATGAAGAATGACATAATAGAGTTTATCTTCCTAAATAGTTTCTCCTCCCTACTGTGGTAAAATATATAATTCAGAACAATACCAGTAACTATATTGACCTTCTTGATAGGGTACTAGAAGCAATTATTTCAAAACTATCATATTTACTATATGTTAAGTATCCTTTCCATTTTCTGTCCCTCCAAGATAAACCAATTAATGTCCACGTCTAGATTAGCCACACTGTCTATTCATATCTTTCCTTTTTCAATGTTAGTGAATAGAAGTCCTACAAGAGAGAAAATTCTGAACCCTGAAAATTCATATCCTGAATTTTTCATATCATATTCACTTCGCTTCTTTCAATGACCAGCCTCCCTACCCTCTCACTGATAACTTCTCTACTCCCTTGCTGTACTGGCTATTGCCAGTTTGTTTCTTTCATTAATCTCTTTCCATACATCATCTGTCCTGATTCCTGTGTCCCTTCAAAACATCAATTGTTGATTCTCCTTGCTTTCAGAGTCAACCTCCTTGATGAAGTCACTGAATGTCCTCGCCTGTCATCAAATTGTCAATGGTGCCTCTAGTCTCATTCATGAAATGAATCTGCTCTTGAAGATGATGAAATCAGCATTCATCCTCCTCCTTGATTTTTACTGCACTTCCAAATTTGCAGACACCTGAATTTCTAATATTAACATTTCTTGCACTCTGTGATAATATACTTTCCCACCTCTCTCTTTTTTTACAACCTCCTGAATATGGAAGATTTATCACTTTGTTTATCATTCTCTTTGTCTTACTTCACACAACTCATCCCTCCTAAGGCTTCAATTAGATTCTTACCTATGGGAACTAAATCTCCAGCCAAGAGCTGTCAGGCTTGAGCTGTGTATTTCTTGTTGCTTATATAACACTGCTTCTTGAAGTTCACAAACTTAAATAAAATTGAACTAGCAACATTCCCACTTATCTCTCTAAATGTTATATAGCAATACAATCTTAAAGACTATCAGAATGATGAGCTGTATGCATGTTTTAGTTTTGCTCTCTTTTATGTCCAAAATCCAGTTATTTATCTGGATTTGTTTCCCTCAGATTAATTTGTATAATTAATTAATTATAAAATTAACTATAATATTAGAATATTATCAACTTTGTGTGAGACAATATTAATTTTTTCTCCCATATGATTATGTCAAATCACTCTTCTCTGCTAGTTAGAAGATATCTTGATTAATATATTGGATGAATTTTACAACTTCCTAAACACTTTTAAAAATCCAGTTTAGAATTGTAAAACAAATTCAAATTCAGACAGCCTCTCTTCACCATCACTCTTCACATCTGCAGCTCCAGGGATCTGAAACTGTCTGTTTATTCTGTTCTCCTCCCATTCTAGCAGGTAGAAAAATAAAGAAAACATGAACATGGTCTGGTCCTGAGATGCCTCCTGCCCACCTCCATGCAATTGCTCTGATTACATGAGGAAGGGGAGTGGGGGAGGAGGAAAGAAAAATATTTCCTTACTTTACTTCCCTCAGTTGTAATTGTTTCCCTGCTGTTTCATGGCTTCTCTGGCCAGCTTCTCAGGGTGCAGATGCTCCCTGGTGGTAGGTGTCTAGTTGCTACTGGAAAGGTTCATGTATGTTCTTCAGAAGGCCTTTGTGGGGGCTTCTAATGCCCAGCTACCGCATATGGAAAATGGTTCAATCATTTTCTTACCCCCTCTGTTGTTGTACTCTATAGTCTCTTGTCACCAAGATTTTATTCTGTATCTTGCCTTCCCAATCTTCTTAAATATAGTCTGGAGGTAGAGGGTGGGCAGGGATTTGCTGGTTAAGCAGTATCAACATTTCCGTCTTTTAGTAGGCCTAGTATGATCACTGCTACTCCAAATCTTTGTTGTTCTCTTGGCCCCAACTTTAAATCAGGGTAATTCAGCACCCTGCAATAGTGTCTCAGATTAGCTCTATTTGTCTTCCTTTATTATCAGTCTTCCTGGCCTGTTTTGGACATTTTGTGCTCTGAAATCCTGCTCCATAGTTTTGCCCTCATCATTATTAAATTCAATTATTTTCCATTGCCTCCTTAATCAAATCCATGTTTCTGAAAGATATTCTAATATTTTAGTTATTAGTCTGTTTTTGATGCTATAATTTATAAAATTCTTGTGGAATAGTCTAACCTTAAGAGGTTCTTCCTATATTTTGAACCTCCTATGTTTTTTGTAATTTCAAAACCAACATCAATCTCAATTGATTGTTTTCTTGTTTCATTTACCCAAGGACATATTTATCATTAATAATTAAATAATTATTTTCACATATAAGTCCTATATCCTTGATCAGATTATGAAATTCTCAGGAAAAGCCATGTGTTTTCTAATGTTTTAAAATAGCGCTGGCTCACACATGTAATCCCAGCTCTTTGGGAAGCCGAGGTGGGTGGATCACGAGGTCAGGAGATTGACACCATCCTGGTTAACATGGTGAAACCCCATCTCTACTAAAAAAAAAAAAAAAATACAAAAAATTAGCCGAGTGTGGTGGCACACACCTGTAGTCCCAGCTACTTGGGAAGCTGAGGCAGGAAAATCGCTTGAACCTGGGAGGCAGAGGTTGTAGTGAGCCGAGCTCACACCACTGCACTCCAGCCTGGGCAACAGAGTGAGACTCTGTCTCAAAAATAAATAAATAAATAAAATATCACTAAGTATGAGACTTGTGGGATGATTTCAAATATGTGAAAGTTTTAGCGTGAATTGTGTATTCATGAAAAAATTGATGACTGCTGAGAACATTTTTCTACTTAAACCCAAGACGATGAACCCCATCTTTTTTATAATACAATTTTCTATAGTAAATATGACATGATATAAATATCTGTTTAGAGGAAGAAAATATTCATTTTATTCAATAATTATTGTTTTGGTGACACTATACTCCATAACCCTCATTTAGTTTAATAAGATCATATAAATATTTGATATATTCAGAATAGAAGTCAAAGAATAAAATGATCCTCCCATCTTAAGCATTCATATTACAAAAAGAGGTCTTGACTTACCAAATGACAGACACATAGAGGGAAGTAGGGTGTGGAAGGGAATGACTTTTGTAATCAAGTATGATAAGAAATTGTTGAAACAATTACATGGAAAATGATATGCTTTTAGTTAATTGTGTTAAGAAAGACCTGCAATAAGTGAAATGGTTTTTAGCACGAATTCTCCATATTTTTATAATGGGCTGCTTTTGGGTTTGTCAATATAAAGAGGTCCAAATATTAGCAGATGACACTCAAACAATAGGGTTTTCCAATTTAGATTCCTAGCAATTAGTCTTTGTTCTATGTGTATAGCATACATAAATATGTGATTTAACTGTGATAAATTCTAAATGGTGAATTTCAGGAAAGCATATGTCTGAGTTATATTCTCTCAAAATGGAGTCTGTAACATAAATTTTGCCATCTATTTTAATATCTGTAATACTAGACCGTGATACATTAAATAAACGATTTTCCTGCTGCTAGGAAAATGGCAAGAGCCCTGACATCTCTACTTTTATTAGTTTTCTAATTTTATTTCTAGACTCAGAGCTGATTTGATAAAAAGTTGGGTTTCTGGTTCACCAATATAGAATAAACTCTGTAAACACACAAAGCCATAATGTAACAGGAAGACTGAAATACTTTGAATGAGAATAAAAATATATTTTTTAAACGCTACTAGTCATTAGGGGTAACCACCTTGGGAGCCTTTGCCATAGGGTAACACAAACAGTAACTTTTCAGTGCTAATTACATTTTAATTCAAGTTCTGAACATTTGAAATCTGCTGGAAAATGTTTTCATCTTTAAATGATTTAAAAATTAATTTGTATAGATATTAATACTAAATTTTTATTTAGTATTAATAAATACTAAATAAAAGTAATACTAAAAGTACAATTTCCATTGGCAAAATGATCAGAAATCAAAATGATAAAATGCCCCTGAATGTATTCACTAAATATATGCTGTTTAACTACAAAACAAAAACAGAAAAAAGAAATCTATATTGAAACTCAATTGCTTGCTTCTTTAATACCAAGACTATGCTCATGCAAATAGCTTATTGTTCCCCATAGTTTATTTTGATACAATTTATATACAAAAATATTCACTAGGCTAACATTCTGACGCATTTTGGCAGTTGTACATTATCATGTAACTATGAACACAAAGTATCAAACATTTCTAGAACCCCACAAAAATAAAATTAAAAAAAACTACAACCTACAACACCTTTTATATTTTGCACTCAATCCCAACTCCCAGATCCAGGCAACTGATAGGTTTGTTTCTGTACCTATAATTTTTTCTTTTCTAGAATATCAAAAATATGGACAAGTGGAGTGTTTTCATCATTCTTCTGGCTTCCTTACATAGGTTGATACTTTTGTGATTCATACAAGTTGTTTATATACCAGTACTTTGATACTTTTTACTGCTGATTAGTATATGATAATATAAATATAAAAATTTATTTATCATTCACTAGCTGATGGATATTTGTGTCTCTAGTGGTTAGTTATTATAGGTAATAGTTTTAAGGATATTCACATACATCTTTTTATAGGTATGTGTCTTCATTTCTCTTGGGTAGATACCTAGGAATAAGATTGTTGAATCGCATGCTAAGTGTATGATTAAATGTCAAACTACTTCAATGTGTGTGGCTGTATCATTTTGTGTTTCTATCAGAAATGTATGAGAATACATTTCCTCCATACCTTCTCCAGCACTTGGTATTATAAGTCTTTTTATTTTTAATAATTAATATGGGTATGTCATTGTAACTTTAAGATGCATTTCTATGATGAATAGTGATGGTAAGCAGCTTTTCTGATGTTTATTTGCCTTTCATATATCTTTTGTCAAATGTCACATTCAAAACTTTTACCCATTTTTAAATTGAGTTGTCTTACTGAATCATAAATATTGTTTATATATTTTGGAAACGATCCTTTGTTAGATATAGTTTTGAAAACATTTGTTCCTAGTCTTTGACTTTCCATTTATTTATTTATTTATTTTTGAGACAGAGTCTCACTCTGTCACCCAGGCTGGAGTGCAGTGGCACGATCTCGGCTCACTACAACCTCCGCCTCCTGAATTCAAGCAATTCTCTGCCTCAGCCTCCCGAGTAGCTGGGATTATAGGCGCCTGCCACTATGTCTGGCTAATTTTTTTGCATTTTTAGTAGAAAAGCGGTTTCACCGGGAGGCGGAGCTTGCAGTGAGCCGAAATTGCGCCACTGCACTCCAGCCTGGGCGACAGAGTGAGACTCCGTCTCGAAAAAAGAAAAAAGAAAAGGGGTTTCACCATCTTGACCAGGCTGGTCTTGTACTCCTGACCTCGTGATCCACATGCCTCGGCCTCCCAAAGTGCTGGGATTGCAGGCGCGAGCCACAGCGCCCAGCCACCTTTTATTTTTTTAAATGGTGAATTGTCAAAGAATAATAGATTTTAATTTGGATAAAGTCCATTTAACCATTTCTTTCCCTCTGTTGTGTGTGTTTGTATCTATGCTCTTCAAGAAATCTTGTCTAACACAATGCCACAAATATTTTCCACTGTCTTCTCATTGACAATTTATATTCTAGCACTTTGATTCTACAATCTTTTATTTAAAGATTGTCAATTTTTGTGTAATGAATAAGATAAAGATAGAGGTTCCTTATTTTACATATGAATGCCAATCTTCTATCACCATTTGTTGAAAAGACTATCCATTCCACAATGAATTAACTTGTCACCCCTGACAAGAGTCAATGATCCTTTGGTTTTAATAACTTATTTTTATTGTTCTTCTGTTCTCAATTTCTAGATTTTTTCTTTTGTCTCTAACTTACACTTTATTTTCTATTCTTTTTCTGATTTATTTAGATAAAAATGAGGTCTGTACATTTTCATTGTGATTTTCAGTTAATTAATATTTAATATAATTTATTGTAATTGGATTGCGGTCTATTATTGATCTATTATTTTATTATTTGTTTCATAATTGTTCCCATTTGGCTTTTGTTTTTCCTTCCTTGGCTTTTCTTAGTTTGTACAAATTTTAGAATTAAATTTTAATTTTTCAATTGGCTTTAAACTATACTTCTCTGTGTTAATTTCCTATTGGTTGTATAATAGATTACAGTCTACATACTTAATTTTCACAGTTGATGCAGACTGAATGTTTTTGTCCCCCTCAAATTCATACAATAAAATCTTAATCCCCAGGTCATGGTATTAGGAGGTGGGGCCTTTGGGAGGTGATTAGGCCATGTGGGCAGAGTCATAATGAATGGGATTAGTGTTACGAAAGAGGCCAACAGAAAGACCTCTTATCCTTTCCACCACAGGAAGGCACAGTGAGAACGTGCTGTCTGTGAATTGGAAAGTTGGCTTTTACCAGACAACAAATCTGCCAACATGTTGAACTGGAACTTCCTAGGCTCCAGAACCGTGAGAAATAAATTGTTGTCATTTATAAGCCATCTAGTTACAGTAGGATGGACAGACTATGACAACTGTCTACTTAGAATTAATGTACTATCATTTTGTATAAAATACAGAAATCTAGGCACCATGTAGGTCAATTTATTCCCAGTCATGACTGAGGCTATTGTTGTCATGTGTATTAGACTTATATGTGTTATAAATGTTTACAAGACAATGATTACAGTTTTACTTTAAACAGTAATATGCAGTATTAAGAAATTAAGGAAAGAATAAAATAAATAATTAAAACAGAATGTTATGCTTACCCAGATATTTTTCATTTTAAGTATTCTTCATTAAATCTGTAATATAAATCTTTATTCAAATTTTAGAAAATTTCAACCATTACGTTTTAAATATATTTATGCCTTTCCCTCTTTTTCCCTGATGGACAACCAATGACACTTATGTTAGGTTATTTAGTATCTAACAATATTTGGAGGCTCTGTTTATTTACTTTTCAGCATTTCTGTTGATCTATTTTGAGGTTTACTGACTTGTTCCTCTGCTGACTCCATTCTGCTGTTAATTCTATTTAGTCATTTTGTTTTCTGTTTTTTTTTTCACTATTGCATTTTTAAAAATCAAGATACATTTGGTCTTTTTAATCATTATTATTTCTTTGCTCATATTTCCCATCTTTCATTAAGTGGAGAAGTATTTTCTTTTATGTAATTGAGTATGGTCAAAATAGTGACTTTAAATTTCTTTCCTACTAATTTCAGTGTCTAAGTCATCTATTGCAGAAATGGCTTCACTTTCTTTCTTTCTTTTTAATTTTGAGAATAAGCTCTTTATTCATGCTTCTCTTATGTCACATAAGACTGCATTTTATCATAGACGTCATGAATATTAAGCCGTGGAGACTGGATACTCTCTTCTTCCATGAGTAATTTTCAGTTAGTTAGTTTTGTCTTGTCTTAGTCTTGGACAGCAACTCGGTCCTCACCTGAGATCCTTTGCCTTAGCTAAACTGCTCTGACTCTGCTTTATGCATACACGACTCAGAGGTCTATCACAGATGCAGGCAGATTAAATTTGGGGATGCCATCTCTAGATATTCCTCTTCTAGATACTCCCCTCCCCCTACTCCAGAAAACAGAGTTGCCATGACTCGATATTTTGATTTCCCAGACCAGAGAATTGGAGCTTTTTTCACGCAAGGGATTCTGCTCATCTATGACTGCTAACAGTCCCTACTCCCAGGCTAGAAAGAGTGAACGCAAATATAACTCCTCTTCTGAACATGGACACCACAGAAGACTTTGTATTAATATTTTTAATTCTAGTAGCTGCTTCAAGATATTGTGTCCAGATTTTACAGTTGTCACTTATAAAGATGTCTAGTTGGAGCTCATGTAGACATTACAGTCCCCAAATTCATCACTACTTAAAACAATAATTAAAATTAAATCATATATGGTCTCTTCTAAGTGTTCTGTCTGACTTTTAATATTCCAGGTCACTTCTTCCACCACCACACATTTTTGTTGTGTTTTGTTTTCCATTTCTATTATGATGTCATTTAGTCATGTGATTTCTCTAGAATATCCATCTTATTCCATGCCTTGTATCTTTGGCTTTTAATTTATGTATTTTATTTTATCCTTGAATTTCCATGAAAAAAAAAAGTCAGTCTTTGCCAGACATGTCTCAAATAAGCACACAAGTCCCTTGGAACTCTTTCAGCTCATGGTGTGACAATAGGCCCCTTCAAAAATGCACTTGAAGCTATTTTGGGGCGATTCAGTATCAACTTTGTCACTTGAATCATTTAACTTTGATTTCATCATATTTAAAAGAAACAGTTGGGCCAGGTTGGGTGGCTTCTGCCAGTAATCCCAGCACTTTGGGAGGCCAAGGTGGGAGGATTGCTTGAGGCCTGGACAAAAGAGCAAGATTCCATCTTTTCAAAAAATTTCAAACATTAAAGAAAATATTTATGTTTTCTTTCTCTACAGTTACTTTTTCACTTTCATTTTAATTATATTGTAAAAAGAATTAACTACTTACTATGCCTATCTAGAGTAGTCTTGTGCAATTACTAAAAGGGCTGCACTTCTATTGCTGTACATATTCTAATATTAATTATTAATCATAATGGCATCAACATGCACTGGCTATCCCTCACCTTATTCCCACCTGGGGAGTGAGCCCTATCTTGACTAAGACCTCTGCCTTGCTCTACATGGGTTGTTTGTCAATTTCTCTAGAGTGACACTAAATCAAGTGCAGCACATGGTAATGTAAATCACAGTCTAATTTAGTTGTCACTGTGTTGTGACACTTGGTTAAAAATGCTTTTTAATTGTGAGTATAAATTATACATGAACAATTCTTAGTGACAGTCTTAATACTACATCCGATTATTTTACCCAAGAGAGAATAGCAAGCATCATCAACATGAAGCAACTGCACGTCTAAACTTCTTAAATAGCAACTTGGGGAAAAATAATGATGATGATGTGTTCTGGTTTAGTTTCAACCCCAAGCTCTTTGGCTAGAGAGGGGTGGGTGGGTGGGCAAAGGAGGAAAGGAAGATCTTTGGGTATTTTGAGACTGAATTGTGGGACTATGGCTTACAAACACAGCCTTCTCTCTTGGCTATCCCACTCTATGGCCCTGAAAACATGATCTGAAATAGTTGTTTTTCAGTTTAGCAGTCTGTAGAAATGAACTACTTCATCATGGCATTGTATCTTAGTATCAGAGAACTAGTAAGTAGACTTAGAGGAAAAGTGATTTTTCTAAGTACCTGTTTAAACTTACGAGTTCTTAAATATTTTTAAATATATATTTCCTCATTTTTAAAGCATTTTGCTTCAATTAAGGGGATCCCAACTAGCTGTGGCATGTCTAATATTCAATAATATTACATAAATAAAAATGTTGATTCAGGAACACAGATATTGGGCATTTTCTATTTTCTACATCTATGTAAAATACGTGACAAAAAATTAACCTAATTGTATTCTGATGTCTCTATTCCTGAAACACAATATATTTTCTTACATATGAAGGTACCACACTGGTACTATTATTCATTTTACTGAGAAAGACAGACTCATGTTTGGATCTAGGTTTTATAGTCACTATGCCTCAGTTTATTCACTAAAAATAGGATAGTAATATCCATCTTACATAGTTGTTTTGAGGTTCTAAGGAGACAGCTTTTGCAAGCAGGTTGCATATGAGCTAGTATGTTATAAGTCAGAAGGAGTTCATATCCCTTCAGCAACAATTCCTGCCCCTTATGGATGTGGATTAATTCCTGAAGCAGTCTGCCGTCTTTGAAGTCAAACACATTTGAATTTCTGCTTAGGCACTGTAACTTAAATTCTGTTTGGGAGGAAAGACCTCAACATCAATAAACCGCACATTATCCATTTGTGAAACCGGGATAATAATTCCTACCTCATTTATTCATTTTTTTTTCATTCACTAAACACATACTACCTATTATTGTCAGATACTGCATGGGTTTCTGGGAAATGAGCAATGAACAGGGCAGATATGGTCCTTCCTGGGCCATACACTCCAGCAGGGTAAGTATTAAAAGTTGCAGCTAATTAAAAGTGCTTGATAGAAAACTTTCAATAAATGTTCTCTGTGGCTGAGCATGGGGGCTCATGCCTGAAATCTCAGCACTTTGAGAGGCCGAGGTTGTAGCATCACTTAAGACCAGGAGTTGGAGGCCAGCCTGGGTAACAGCAAGACCTCGTCTATACAAATTTTTTTAAAAAAATTATCCAGGTGTTGTGTCATAAAGTGTAGTGACAGCTACTTGGGAGGCTGAGGTGGGAGGATCATTTGAGCCCAGGAGTTCAAGGCTGCAGTGAGCTGTGATCACACCACTGCACTTCAGCCTAGATAACACAGAGAGGCTTTGTCTTAAAAAACGTTATTTGTAATTATTATATTATAAATGTTATTGTTACTATCATTATGAAGAGGAGGATGATGAGAAGAAAACATAACACCTGATTCATATTGTTCATTAGAATAATTTTGGCATTTGTAAGGGATATTTACTTTTCCTTTTCATTTCTCTTTTAATGGTAACTATTATACTTTTATCAAAGGAAAAGTAGCATACACATGTGTCCCTGTTTAGAGGAATTTGAACATGCCACCTTGAGAAGCTATTGTTGCTTGAACCATCTTTCCCCATCCTCTATATATGGGGGATACCACCACATACACAGGCTGAATAGCCCTTATTTGAAATGCTTAAAACCAGAAGGGTTGGATTTCAGATCTTTTTGGACTTTGGAATATTTGCATACACATAATGAAGTATCTTGGGGATAGGAATCAGGTCTAAACACAAAATTCATTCATGTTTCATATACACCTTACACAAATAGCCTGATGCATTTTAAATAATTGTGTGCATGAAACAAAGTTTTGACTGCATTTGACTGTTATCTGTCACATGAGGTTAGGTGTGGAATTTTCCACTTGTGGCATTATGTTGATACTTATAAAGTTTTGGATTTGTGAGCATTTCAGATTTTGGATTTTTGAATTACAGATGCTCAACCTGTAATAGCGTTGCCAGATTTAGCAAATAAATATATAGGATGTTCAGTAAAATTTGAATTTCAAAAAACAGTGAATATGTTTTAGTATGTTTCAAATGTTGTAGTGGGCATACTTATACTAAACAGTATTCGTAGTTTAACTGAAATTCAAATTTAACTCAGTGTTCTGTATTTTACCTGGCAACTTTAACCTACAGATACCATAAAAGCACTGTCAGGGAAATTCTCTGACACTTTTCCTAAACATTTGTAAGATTTTCCCAATGTCAAAAATACTCACTACAGCACAAAATGAACACAGATTATCTAGTTTTATCTTTGAACTGATGGTCGAAAGACTTTGAAATTTGCTCCAGTATGACACTACAGAAATCACTGGAATTTTTTTTAAACAGGACTAACATTGAGACAATGATTTCTTCAAACTCTCTTTTTTTCAATCTACCTGTTTCCCTAAACATGTATGCAGAAATTAGTACAACAACATACAAATAATTTTAAAATGCTTAATTAAGTCCATTCTTTCCTCAAGATTCTTCAAGGCTGCATAGCCAGGTGTGAGAATGAAACATGACAAAAGGATTGAAGAAACAGACTCCAAGAACGCTGGCTCCAACCACCCTGAAGGTGGCTGCCTTGGTTACCCTAGATATGTGCCTCCAGTGGTCTGAAAGAAAATGTTTTAGACTTTTGGTCTTAGAGAAAAACATCTGTTCTAGTTTCACAATGACTTCACTCTCTAAAGTAGCAAACATGAATTAGGTCAGTGGAATCATGAATCTTTGACCATGATGTTCCTATAACGTCAGGGTAGGAGTAAGTTCCTTTAAATCAGGGAATCACTTTTTACTGGTAATTGATAACAGAGAATGAAATAAGCAAGCCTGAGTAGGAGAAGGGCTTTGGGAACAAGAGTAGCTGGCTGGAAGGACCTGGAGTAACAGGACCAGAATGTGACCTTTATTGTAATGACGACAACATGAAGTTATTTAGCAGTAACAAGAACACAATAAGAAGGGATAAGGCTAATTAGCAAAACAAGAAATCTGTATTTAATCATCTTTAAAATTTTACCGGTAATGACTTGATATTGTATGGGACCTCCACCCCTAACCTTTCTCTAGAATCTGGAATTGCACAGCCTAACAGAGAGTTTGACTATATGTCATTGGTTATTTCAATGTTTAATTTCTATGACAAAAAATGTTACATACAAGGGTGATAATAAAAAGTAATCTTAAGTGTACCAGCTGGAAGTAACTACAAGTATAATGCTTATTGCCAAAGAAAATTATAATGCTTATTGCAATAAAATAATTTGAAGATCTTCATTAGAATTTATTTTAATATTGCCATCAGGTTATTATATGGCAATTTTCTCCATTATTTTATTCATCCCTCAGTTCATATCTTTCAAGAAGATAGGACATAACTTTTCTATAAACAGATAGGGAAATTAAAATATAGAGAGAGTACATGTCATTTACATAAAGCTTTAGAAATGAAGGTGTATAAAAATTATAGTGTCCATATTGATAATGTAAAGTTGACTATCACAAATATCCTTTGGGATTTTAAAAGAAACAAATGAAGGAAAGAATTTTCTGATTTTCTGATTTTCCTCTAGAGCTAGTATATCTGAAGAGAAGAAAATTAGAAGAATGTAATATATGGTTTTATAAAAACCACTTGACTTTGCAGGTCTTGGAAATGATGATATATACATATAGAGAAAGCCTGGAAAAATAGACCTCAGCTGTTAAAAGTGATTGCTTTTGGTATAGACATGGAAATGGAGTAGGACAAGGGATGTAAGTACACAGAAACTTTAACTATTCCTTTAGAATATTTCTGCCTTTCTATAATTTTAAAATAACAGTCATACATTATTTTGAAATTAATTTTAAATGAATTAAAGTCTTTCTCCTGGACTTTCCACTGGCATTAACAGTTGGGTACTATATGCTAGCTGTCAAAATATTGGAAAGCTTTTAGTACATTTATTCTTCCACATTGCCAAGTGTGGTAGAATATTTGCAAAACATACCGTATGTGAGTCTTAGAAAATGACTTGACTTTTACATCACACCTGTTCACTGCAACTGCTCTGCTATAAACTTCATAGTGATAACTTATTCGAAAGCATCTTTGGCAATGCAAGTGAGATTTTTTTCACCTTGTTAATATGTCAATATTGCATCTATGTTACAAGAAAGTTTGTCATCTTTTTCTCCATTGCGACTCATTTTTTCTCATCACTTTAGGTACCCAAATATAAGGACAGTCAAACCTAAATCATTAAAATAAGGCAACATACGAATAATGTGATTCTTCAGTATGATGGGCATCCAGAAAAAGTAACTGAGTAATCTTCAGAAATGTAAATCTTATTTAATGAGCTGATTTTCTTATAGACTCAGCCTAGATTGATTTGATATATGTCATTAACTTCATGAAAGTTCAAACCTTTCAGGTTCTTTGCTATCCTTTTAAGTTTGTATGGCTAACATAAGCACACAATTTTCTGGAAAATAATGATATGAATCCAAAGATGAAAAATTGATGATTATACAACCAGGTCAATGAAAGACTGAAGCAATGCTTACTATGACTTGTTTATCAGCAAAATATATTCCATTTATTTTAATATTAACTTGACGATGTTAAATATTTTCCTGACTTCAAATTATTTTATTGAACAGAGAAATTGTCATTCTGTTTTCAGCTATAAAAAAATCATGCCTCCTATTATGTCAAAGACTATATCTTTTTTTATGATGTTTCTTGGGTTGCTTTTTAACTGAGTACCCTACTGACATCTATTAAAATTTAACAGCTGCTAAATACTAGAGACCCCAGCAAGTTGTGATTTTCTTTCTCTTTTCTTTTCTTTTTTCTTTAAGGATCATATGAAGTAGCAAGGCTTTGAAGTGTGGATCAAGAAGGAAATTCTTTGTTTTGAATTTCAGACTGCACACTTATTTTTTGGCAAAGAACTATACAACAAATCATAGAACGTGTTTGGTCTACAGAGTAAAACACTGGCATGTTTTAATTCAAATAGACTCCTAGCCAAGGTAGTAAAAATTATATCATGGTCATTTTTCTAGATACATATGCACTTCTTTAGTAGGTATTCTGTCTGTATTCAGGAGAAGCATTATTTGCTTAAATTTTTGTGGCTGCTATGTTTTCTGGCATCCATGTTTTCCTCTTTCAAAGGAAAGGCTGGATTTCTTTAGGACACTGCATAAATTCTTTTTTCTCTGTCAAGTTTGAAGAAAAGTGGGGTTTGACCAATGTGGGTAGGGCTTGTTTAGATTTTGCCAATTGGTATTTCCTTTACATCTGTCCCATCAGAATATTCCCTGACAGACTTGAGGATTCAGTCAACCTAGTTTCTGTTTGACAAGCATTCCCAAAAAGAGTCTAACTGAGGAGTCCTTCTCTTCCTCTCGATTTGATTATGTCAGGATATGAGTTATCAAAACTGCTACAACCATTTTACGTCAATAAGGGCTCCTATCAAACTAAGCAAAAAGGTGGAGAGAAACATAGTTTTTAAGATTTGATCTAGTAAGCCTCAGCAGAAGCTATCACTGTTGCTGAACTTTAAAGTTATGTAAGTAAATTATCCCCCAACATAATATATTTGTGCTTTTTTTAACATTGAAGCTTATGTTTAGTATAATCACCTGTTATATAATTTTAGAAGCACATAGGGGGAAAAGTTATTAAATTCTCACTGACGTTTAGGTTCAAAAGATATAATCATAAAATTGCATTGCAGTAATGTCAACAAGCATTACAAAACTGACAAAAACAATCTGCAATAAGTATTGCTTTGTCAAACAACTTTGATTAATTCAGAACATAGTCTAGTTAGCAAAACAAAAAGCAAAAGAATAAACAAAAAGACTAAACATTCAATTCTACAAAGTACTCTTTATTAGTGGATCTATTTCCCCAGAAATACATGTCATACACCAATCTATCAGCTATAGGTATACTATGACCTTATTTGAGTAAAATGTAGTCATAAGTAAATTACGTTTATTTTTTGTTTGTTTGTTTGACAATGAGAAAAACCCTAGTGGGAGGAAGAACAAGTAACCTTCCAGAAAAGAATTATATGTTACTGTTTTTTTTCAAATGGCTTCTGCTGCATGTTAAGAAGAAATTGCATACCTTTCAAGATAAAGCAACATCACCAGAAGACAGCTTATAGGAAAGTGGTATTTGAAACAATTTTACCAAAGATCTGTTTAGAAAAATATTATGCATAAATTCCATTGACAGTCACCCACAGCTCCTGTCTCCATCATTCATTTATCTCATTGTCCCTTCTTTTATAATTATCTTACCACTGTGTTAGCACAACTGACTTTTACCCTAGTTTCCCACAGGAGCCTCTTCAAGTAGTATTCCTTGCAAACATACAATCCAGTAATCTTATGTTCTTCAAAAGTTCTCCTTTTTATTCTATACTTCTCTCTGCTTCCAAGGTGATCTTTGTAGTCTACTTGTAAAATCATGTCCCTTCACCACCTAAAATCTTTAATGATTTCCATTACCTATAGCATCAATCTAAAATCTTTGCCCTTTATGATCGTATCCCAACTGCTATGGTTTGAATGTTTTGTTTCCTCCAAAACCCTTGTTGAAACTTAAACCCCAACGCAAATGTTGGGAGGTGGGGTTTAGGTGGTGCTGAGGTCATGAGAGTTCCTCCCTCACAAAGGGATTAATGTTATAAAGGGCTTCATCTGGAGAGTTTGCTCTCTTGCCTGTCTGCCATTTGTCATGTGATAATGCAGCAAAAAGGCCCTTACCAGATGCAGGCAACTTTACTTTGAAATGCTCAGTCTACAAAATTGTGAAAAAATAAATTTATGTTCATTATGAATTACCTAGTCTGTGGTATTCTGTCACAGCAGCACAAAAGAGACTAAGATTCCAATCTACTTCTTCACTTCCATCCATGCCAATCTTTATCTTGAATTTTATGTTCCAATCATGTTGAACTACTTATAGCTCCTTCCACTCATCATGCTCACATACTTCTATGGCTTTTCCATTTCCTGGATTATTATATTCTCTCCACCTCTTCATACTCTATTTACCTGTTTCAGGAAACATTTGTCTACCTGATAAATTTGTATCCACATCTCAACTTTAAAACTGATGATATTAATATGTCTCCAATAAACCATCACAAACTTCCTTGACTGGAGTTTCCCTGCACAAGCTCTTTTCTCTTGATTGCCACCATATGACACGTGTCCTTCACCTTCTGCCATGATTTTGAGGCCACCACAGCCACGTGGAACTGGAAGTGCATTAAACCTCTCTCTTTTGTAAATTGCCCAGTCTCAGGTATGCCTTTATCAGTGTGAAAATGGACTAATACACTTATGTATTAACATAAGAAATATGAAATCCTTTTTTACTCATAAACTAAAATGCACTGATTTTTATATAATCAATACAGGTGTGAGAAAATTATACATCTTCTCAGTCTTTTGTCTGTAGTAAGTTTTACAAAATGTCAAATTTACAATGAAAAAATGAAGAAAATAAATTAGCTCTTTTGTCATTATGATTCAATTATGACTGAATTGACTGGTTACTTTGATATAATGGCAGCACAGGTAACAGTATAATTTATCATGTTCTAAAATTGTTGGAAATGCTTTTTTTGAGTTTGCCTTTAAAATATTTTTGTTCACTATAAATTGAATTATATTTTTATTTGTTTGATTTTTATTAAGTTTCTTATTTTCTACCTTAAAATACCTAAAGAACAAATTTATGATGGTATTTTTTTAATTATGTAGATATTTTATCCTTTAGCAACTTTATGTGGTTAAAAAGAGATGGTTTAATGAAAGAATCTCTACAATTTTTTCTGGTTCTAACAGCCTTATTCTACTTGTCTACATCTCTTTATTATTGTCAGTTTATAGTTAATTTCCACAGAAGTGAATTTGGTTTCTACAATATGTTATATGCACTCCAAAGATTGACTGAGGACTTCTCAGAAGAATATAAAATGATATTTAAAATCAATACTAATATAAAGGTACTTACAATTTTAATTTAATTTTATTTTATTATTTGTTTTGAGACAGGTTCTCATACTGTGACTCAGGCTGGAGTGTAGTGGTGCAATCATGCCTTACTGCAGCCTCGACCTCCCAGGCTCAAGCAATCCTCCCACCTCAGCCCCACAGTAGCTGGGAACACAGGTGTGTGCCACTGTGCTAGGTTAATATTTTTATTTTTTGCGGAGACAGGGTCTCACTGTGTTTCCCAGACTGCTCCCAAACTCCAAGGCTCAAGCAATCCTCCTGCTTTGGCCTCCCAAAGCACTGAGATTACAGGCATGAGCCACCATGCCTAGCCTATAATTTTCATCTGCACAACAAATGAAATGAGAAATTTTGCATTAAAATACTTATGGGAAATTTAGCCCAGTGAGCATTTGCAGCCAATGAAGAGTCCCCCAAATGAATTTGTATAAACATAAATATCAAGATTAACTCTGTAGACAAAAATATTTTCCTACTCTTTTGTATTGGTTTGTGAGAAATACATATCAACAAAGTATGATGGAAAAATAGAGGGACTAGTGAAGGGCAAATGACATGAAATTAACACATGAAAACAAAGAAAAAATAAGAACCTAAAGAGGTAACGTGAATAATGATAGCTGAGACAGTGACTAAGAGCTACATTAGCATTCCCAATCTTTGGTTAGGAGACTTCATGCGAGACCATGTAATTATACACAAGGGTCCCCAAATCCCCAAATCTGTATTTTAATTTTACACTAAATAACACATTCTTTTTCTTTTCTTTTCTTTTTTTTTGAGGTAGAGTCTCACTCTGTTGCCCAGGCTGGAGTGCAGCAGCACAATCTCAGCTCACTGCAACCTCCGCCTCCTGGGTTCAAGCAATTCTCCTGCCTCAGCCTTCCGAGTAGCTGGGATTACAGACACCCACCACCACACTCAGCTAATTTTTTGTATTTTTAGTAGAGATAGAGTTTCACCATGTTGGCCAGGCTGGTCTTGAACTCCTGACCTCAGATGATCAGCCTGCCTCAGCCTCCCAAAGTGCTAGGATTACATGCATGAGCCACTGTGCCCAGCCTAAACAACACATTCTTGCACAGATAAATTCTTTTATTGTTAAATACATTAGCTGTCTTTTGTCATTAACAGTTATTTCCTAGTTACCACAAATGACCCAAAATGTTCTTTGTTGTCTGCAACTGTGTGTGTCTACATGTATATACATGTATATCATATTTTTATATATAATTTGAAATGAATATGTATATCTTCAACAGACTGACTCCAACAGACAACTACATATATAGTTATATATACTATATATGTATATATCTTAAATTTAAGTAATTTGTCTGCATTATTTATGTACTGCAAAGCTTTGAGCATGACACTAAGCTTCTTGTGCCTGTTTTCTCTAAGATGATAATAACAGTATCTAATATTATCTACTACATTAGATTATTTTGAAGAACAAATGAGTTAATGCATGTAAAGAACTTAAAAGGAGGCCTGAAACATAGTCGGTAATAAATACTACTTTTCTTTATTCTTCCTATTAAAAAATGTTGAGTCTAAGCATGAGATCTTTCAATGCTTTAGGAAAAATATTTGGCCATAGATAATAGCAAAGCTAAATGACATGAAAGAAAAAAGGCAAAGATTTGGTAATTCAGGAGGTCACTGTGGCCTCAGACAGGTTTCAGTTGAGAGGCAAGGAGGAATTCATCTGTCAAAGAAATAACTGTAAATAAAGCTAACTGCAACTTTTCGAGAGAGAAAATAGTTTGTAAAATATGTTACTATAACAGAAATATGGATTCTATGTAAATATAAATGGGTTTATAAATGTTTACACATTTTTGTGAGAGATTGAACATTGATGACTTCTAAGAAAAGCACATATATGTCTGGGAGCGGTGGCTCACGCCTGTAATCCCAGCACTTTGGGAGGCCGAGGCAGGCAGATCACAAGGTTAGGAGATTGAGACCACCCTGACCAACACGGAGAAACCCCATCTCTACTAAAAATACAAAAAATTAGCCAGGTGTGGTGGCAGGCGCCTGTAGTCCCAGCTACTCGGGAGGCTGAGGCAGGAGAATGGCGTGAACCCGGGAGGCGGAGCTTGCAGTGAGCTGAGATAGCGCCACTGCAGTCCAGCCTGGGCGACAGAGCGAGACTCTATCTCAAAAAAAAAAAAGAAAAGAAAAGCACATATATAAGAACATGTATAATTTAGATCCTCAGACAAACCTATTTTCAGTCTTGTGTTTCAGAAAAAAAAGAACTGACGTCAAAATAATATGCCTAAGCACATACCACCAAGTGGAAGAAGAAGACTTAACTTCAATTACTCTCTTATCAGCAGGCAAATCGCACAAATAAATGAAGCAGGCTGATGCATGGGGAGACAAGCAGGGAGCACATCAATGAACTGAAAAAGACATGTTCCCTGTCCAAAAGTAATGTATTTTATTTTACTTTTATTTTTACTTTTGTTTTGAGATGGAGTCTTGCTCTGTCGCTCAGGCTGGAGTGTAGTGGCAGGATCTCGGCTCACTGCAACCTCCTCCTCCCAGGTTCAAGCAATTCTCCTGCCTCAGCTTCCTGAGCAGCTGGGATTACAGGGTGCGCCACCATGAGCAGCTAATTTTTTTGTATTTTTAGTAGAGACGAGGTTTCACCATGTTTGTCAGGCTACTCTTGAACTCCTGACCTCAGGTAATATACCTGCCTTGGCCTCCCAGAGTGCTGGGATTACAGGTGTGAGCCACTGTGCCCAGCCACCAATGTATTTTAAAAGCTTATCAAAGTACAAGAGAATTTAAAACACACCTGGAGTTAAATCAGCCTCTAAGATGGACAGTTGATATCTGAGAACTGATCCCAAAGCTGATACTTTCTATTTTAGTTGTAATTGCATTACCAATTTACTGTTAAGATAAATGTCACATACTATTCCTGGAAAGTCCTTCTACAACGGACTAACTACCCGAAACATAGTTGTGATGGTTAGTATTGAGTGTCAACTTGATTGGCTTAAAGGATGCAAAGTATTGTTCCTGGGTGGCTGTGAGGGTGTTGCCAAAGAAGATGTAATCAACTGCCAGCGTGGCTAGAATCAAGCAGGCAGAAGAAGCTGGAAGGACTAGACTTACTGAGTCTTCCGACCTTCATCATTCTCCCGTGTTGGATGCTTCCTGCCCTCAAACGTCAGACTCTAAGCTCTTCGGCTTTTGGACTCTTGGACTTACACCAGTAGTTTGCCCGGGGGTTCTCGGGCCTTTGGCCACAGACTGGAGGCTGCACTCTTGGCTTCCCTACTTAGGAGGTTTTGGGATTCATACTGATCCATCACTGGCTTCCTTGCTCCTCAACTTGCAGACTGCCTATCATGGGACTTTACCTTGTGAATGTGTGAGTCAATTCTGCTTATAAACTACCCTTCATATAAACCTGTATCTCATTTGTTCTGTTCCTCTAGAGAACCCTAATACAATAGTTTATTCACTATAGCATCTCCTATCCACATATTAGTTCTAGTTTTATAAAAAGTAAGTGTGGGGTCAGGCAAGTACACTGTAAATAATTGAAATGGAAGGATACAACGAAATGACAAAGATAGCTGTAGTCAGAATTCCATATTTATAGAATTTGAATAAATAGAAATAACATTGAATGTATTTACTGAAGCTCAGTGAAAGCACCCAAGAAAATAGATGTTCAATGTATTTCCAGAAAAGAGACAAAGAAAAGTAAAATAAAAGGAAGAAGAAGGAAAAGAACAGATGGTATCAAGAGAACTAGAGAGTGAAATAAGGGAAATTAGGGGAGATAATTCTCAAAGGTCAAATTTATATTGTCAGTTATTGTTAGGGATGTGTTAACCAAAGAAAGAAAGCAATTACTAAAAGCATTTGCATTCATTACTTTTTGCTCACATATGGATCTCATTGAATGTGATTACATATACTACTAAACAAACACATTTTAGATTTTTGCCTTAATTAAGATTCCTTTACAGCTACTCACTTCTAAGGTGAAACCATGAAGGTTTTTTGCCTCAGAAAAGGAAAAATTGGAAGAAGAGACCACTACTAAGTTTAGTAACATCAAACTTTCTTGGCTTCTTTAGCAAGAAACTAGGAAGAAGACAGTCCATAGAGAAAAAGTATTCCCTAAATCCCTTAAGCATCCACTTAATACATGTGATGGTTAATACTGAGTGTCAGCTTGATTGGATTGAAAGATACAAAGTATTGATCCTGGGTGTGTCTCTGAGGGTGTTGCCAAAAGAGACAACATTTGAGTCAGTGGGCTGGGGAGGGCAGATCCACCCTTAATCTGGTGGGCACAATCTAATCAGCTGCCAGAGATATAAAGCAGGCAGAAAAACATGAAAAAGAGAGAGACTGGCCTAGCCTCCCTGCCCCCATGATCCAATCACCTCCCACTGGGCCCCACTTCTAACACCAGGGATTGCAATTTGACATGAGATTTTGGTGGAGACACAGAGCCATACCATATCATGAGATTTAAAAACACAAGATTTCTCATGTTAAATTATCTATATAAAAAAGTCTATACTAACAAGCTAACTTCATTCTGTGAATAATTATTGTTTAGGCCAGTTGTTTAGAGAAGATGTTAATGAAATTAATGTATTGGATTCCGTCTTCTGATGGGCAGGTTTATTCCGCAGAAATCTCTACAGGCTCTTTGGCTTGCAAGGCTAGGGGCATCAGTGAGGAATGAAACTGAAAAGGGATAGAGATTGTTCACAACTGTTAAAAATTATGAAGATATTTGATCTGAAAATTCTTACATACTCGGTGGGAGCCATTTTGTACACACACAGAACTGCTTTGGCTTGTTCACATTGCTTACTTGAGATAGAAAAAAATGCCCAAGAGCCTTAGTTTCGAGCTTAGTACAGGGTACAATTGACAATCTGGTCCATATGGACTTAAAAATATATTGTAATAATGCTACTAATTTTGACAAAGTGACTTTCAACTATTGACAGTTTTTCTTTTTTTTAAGTAATAAATGTGTTATATTTTCCTTGGGCAGAGGGGGAAGCTCTCTCCATTTTTTATTAGTTACTTCTTACTATAAGCCTATATTTCCCTTTACTGAGTTCTGTAAATAACCTGCTCTATAGGGATTGACCTTTCATTTCTGCTTTGCCTTTTACAATTCTACTTTCGTCTGACTCTCTTCCCACCTTATATTTTGTCATCTTGTGAGTGTTGTTATTTTGTGCCTGCTTCAGCACAATTCTGGATTTGAACACACAATGTTTCTCACTGTTCCAGTTAATTGGCTTCCCTACCCTTTGGGTGATCTATTCTCCAGTGTCTTTTGTTAATTAACAGCCTTTCTTCCCAATCGTTTCTTAACATTTAACAATATAGTGAAGAGCAGAATAAGGAATAACAAACATCTGATTCATATGGTGGGAAGATAACCCTGTGATCGGCTTTCTCAGACTTCACACGCCTAATGCATGACTGTTTCAGGAAACATTACTGGCATTCCTTAGAGACCTACTTAGAGGATGCATCTGGTTATTTGTACAAAGTAACCTTGTTTTAGTACAGTAATAAACATAGCACAGCAGCAAGGCTACAAATCAGGCTGAACAAGAGGAGGTTCAGGAACACAAACACCAAAGACCAAGGGAAATGTTAATGAGAAGAACTCCTTGGATCTAAAATAAATGAAACATGGAAGACTTTCCTTTTTAGAATTTTACCTTAGATGTATGGCATCCACAATTTGAGGGTGGTTTTGGATGATGTTACTGATTACTTTCTATAACAGTAAGCTCTTAACAAATGGACCACCATTGAGATAGGCCTCAATAATGGTTGTTTATTAATACATAACAATTAATAAAGAATATATTAATATTTCTTCAGGATGAAAAGATACTTGCCCAAACAAAATATTTAACAAAATACTTGTTTGAAAAGAATGTGTTCCTCCAATCCAAGTTGAGATTTGAGATAAACTTTGTTGTCTTCTAGGCTGCCAAAGCTGGTGTACTTAGGCTCTATTATGTATTGTCATGAGCTGAAACAGGTAAAACTATTTCTAATATTTCTGGGAAAGCCCTGACATTGAAACTAAACTTTAAGACAGATAACTTTTCCCTATTACCTCAACAACTTGTGGGTTCTGTGAAGCACATTTTTTTAAACAAGAAATATGATTTATTAAAATTTGTTTCCTAGTGGATATTGGTTGTTTGTTTATTGAACAAACTGATGAATTGTCTAATCATATTCATGTGTACTAAAATAATAACTTGAGTTTATATTCCATTTTTATATTGTGATCGATATATTACAGAATTATTTTCAAGGCTACTGTAACACTAATTTGACTTTTTAATGCCGTCTTCTACTTTAGGTTTTAGAGCTATATATAGAATTTGCAGATTGTATAGAACGTGCAGGTTCTATAAAAATGTAGAAAAAAAGCACAATAGTAAGGATAAGAACCTGCTTCTATATGCCATTTTCACTTCTTAAAAGCTCTGTCATTTGGGGTAAACTTTTTCTTTCACTTCAGTTTTTCTATGGGAAAATTAACATAACATACCTATCTCAAAGCATCATTTTTAAGGACAAAAATTAGATAATATCTGCACAAGCTCATGGCTTAGTGCTTGCAAATAATAATTCTCAATAAGAATTAAATTTGTTAATCACATCCTATTCTGTGATTCTCTTCAATACGGTATTAGTTTGTTCTCGCACTACTATAAAAAATAACTGAGACTCAGAAAATTATAAAGAAAAGAGGTTTAATTGGCTCCTGGTTCTGCAAGCTGTACAGGAAGCATAGTGGCTTATGCTTCTGGGGAGGCCTCAGGAAACTTGTAATCCTGGCAGAAGGTGAAAGGGAAATAGACACGTTTTACATAGCTGGGGCAGAAGCAAGGTTGTGGGGAGGTGCCACACACTTTTAAACAAACAGATCTCACGAGAACTCACTATCACAGTAACAGTGCCAAGGAGAATGGTGTTAAACCATGAGAAACTGCCCCCAAGATCCAATCACCTCCCACTGGGCCCCACTTCTAACACCAGGGATTACAATTTGACATGAAATTTTTGTGGGGACACAGAGCCATACCATATCATGAACCATCGATCATTTCTTTATGTATCCAAGTCAACAATATTATAAAAACAACTAGAGACATAAGCAATAAAAAAATGCTTTTATATTTTAAAGATGTCTTGCGATATGAAAAAAATAATATACATGAAGGAAGATAAGGGTTTATGTATACGTATTATTGACACCAAATAGAAATGTACTATTTATGTTAGAATGAAGACTTTTATGCTCAAAGAACTCTGAAATTTGATAATAATAGATGAAAAAAAGCAATGAAACATGTACAGAGACAGGGTAGAAATTGCTAACTGATTTTAAAGTTCTGTAATTGTTGGCATCTTTACATGAATTAAAATATAACAAAACTGTCAAAACAAAAGTAGCTAAATAGAATAAAGCCTCATTACACAAGTCTATAAAGTTACTATTTGTCCTGGTTTACTCAGGGTAGATGCATATTGCCCCAACATAATCATAAGTAGTTTCTTCTTTCACTCTCAAAAGTTTCCTGGTTTGGATTATAAATTACACGGTTAACTATCCAGATATGACATATCTTGAAATCATAACCAAGAAACAAAAACACAAATGACTGATGCTATCTATTTAGCCTGTATTACACTTGTTAGTTCTACTCTGAACAGAAGTCTAGAATTATAAACAGTTCCACTGTATCTCATTGTTTCACATATGAAGTCATTTATAAACAGAATAATGTTTGATGTGATCAGTATTACATAAATACAAAATGATAGAGGCAATGGATTTGAGTGTTTCATTTTGCAACTGAGACAGATGAGTCTCATTTTGCTTGTTTATCTTGTCTTACAATGTCTAATTTGCAGTCATTTTATTAGTGCATTTTCAACATCAATCGATGTATGCAAAATTAACTTGGTTTTTAATCATTATTTTGTTATCATTTAAAATTAGTTCTGCCTGACTCATTATCCTTTGTTTTCTATAATAAAGAAGAAAGAGGTCAAGCAGTTCCGTTTCCGGAAAAGCATCACCAATATTAACATAGTACTTAAAAGGCAGCCAAACTTAGTTAAGACTTAGTGGGTTATCCTGATTTTTTTTTTTTTCACTTGAGTGATACATTAGGTAATTTTGAGTGCTCCTACTGTATGAAAGAAGGTAAAAAAGAAACAAAACAAAACACTTTTTAACTGTACCACAATGCTGAGGCTGGGGACAGGTATAATGAAGGGACTGCCTGCCACAGTTGGGCACTTTCTATGAAGGCCTGTCATGATCTCGGATTCATGCTTGACACCCTCTGAACCTCACTTAGCCCTATGTGGTAGCTGATTTATGGTTTAAAATGAAATATGTTCTGATATCCAGAGTCAATATTCTGCAGTAGTTCATTTCTACCAATGGCATTTAAGATAGGGCTGCTTCTTTGTGTAGAAAAAAGACTGAAAAGACTAAATTTACACATATTTTGAATCTCAGAGAAAGGGGTAATTCGTAGCCACACTTAATGTAGTTTCCAGAACATTTTGTGTCTGCAAGGAGTCTATGGACCTCTGAGAGAAATGGTGAAGGAAATTTGGAATGAATGAAAAGTAACTTCTGTGAACACTAATACTGAATTTTGAAAGTGGAGAAACAGAGACAGCTCCATCTTGGGTCTACAAATACATTTTAAGCCAATAAACATTCTCAGCCTAATGAGGGCGGTCGAGTAGCTCACTGGGATTAAGGAAACTAGGAGCAACAGAGCAAGCAGAAAAAATAATCAAAAGGCCTACAAGACTAGAGCATTCCAACATCAACTGTGAAGTGTAAGAGACTGGGGGCTATTTTGGAAGATCACCCAAACGTGGTTGAAATTTTGAATCAAATCAAATTATAATTACCATGCATAAGCCCTTGGTTGCCTCCGAAGGCTGAGTGGCCTGAGGAAATATGTAATTCACAAAAGTAATTCTCTGCTTGCTGAACAAAAATATGTTTATCAATTCCAGATGTGATTGAGGACAATTCTTATTCACAACTCAGAAGATGTATGCCATTTTTTCATTAAAATGACTATCTTAACTAAGGTTACTATCTAAGTTGACTTGGTGAGGCTGATTATCCTTCCAGTAGCAAATGGCTCTGCCCATTGTTACAAGTTAGCTTCCACCGTTCATGTGACTTTTTGAGGGTTAGACGGTTTGTTTCTGCAATTTCACTAACTTTGCTAACACGTTACTTCAACTCTTAAAACTAACCAAATATTTTACTAAATAAACAGTGATAATGCCAAAATGAGTCATAAAGTAATTATCAAGTTAATTCAGACTAATGTAGATGACATTTATCTTTTATTTGTAGTACTTATTATTTGAAAAGATTTGTATAGTTCTGTATTTCATTTTGCCTCCGTGTATCTTCAGTACAACTCTAGTAATAAACCATATTATAGTGTCGTTAATTAAGAATTGGTACGCAATTTGTTTTAAGACGTCTTTCTGTAACATCAAACTGAGATAATTAAAATATCAGAATCTGTTCCATAGCACATGATTCATCAGTAAATCTCAATGCCATTTCTACTTTTAAAATGAGTAACAGAGAAGCCACAGCCTTGCTAAGAATCCGTTTATTGAACAGAAAATCAAAAAGAATCTCAGAACCTTCTTATCTCACCTATATATTTACATTTGTGTCTACTAATCCTTATCTATTAAAAGTAGGGTAATATTATTTTCCTATTAAAATAACTAAACATAGTTTTAAACTATTTTCCTACTCTTGACTTGCCTCAATATTCAACCTCTATTGGATAATTCATTTTTGCCCAAATATACAACATGGTTTTTAACCCCAGGGTTTTAGTCTGTAATCTTATTGTTAGAGTAGGCAGATAGTTAGCCATGAGCAGGAAATAAAGCACCTGGGGGAGGAAGCTCTGGAAAATCCCATGCCCCAGAGACCACCCAAAATATTCATACTAGATATGAGCAGAAAGGAGGGAAAATTCCTATGCAGAAAGCAACACCCAAAATGCCCCTTATGGTGCCCAGTAATTGCCCATTCCACAGTTAAAATGTCAGAATGTCACTAGCTACATGCTGAGAAGAAGGGAAACGGGGCAAAATGGAATTCTAAGAGATACATAAGAACAATAAGCACAGATTTAACCACTATACAACCTTCCTGGGGTGGTGGTAATGAGCAACACTGCCCTGCTGTTAGGTAGGATTCGTATTGATCACCTGTGCTCACACATGTGCATCAACTGACAGTAAGGGGAAGTCCCACAGACCTGGGAGGGAACTAGGCAGGGACAAGGCAAAGACTTAAGACAGAATTAGGAAAGTAGAAAAAGACAAGGGAGGAGACTGGAGACAGAGGTGGGAACTTAAAGAAATAGTCCAGCAGAATAAAAACCCAACAGAGAACTTTCTGGGCTGCTCCCAGCCCGGTCAGTCCATTCCTCTCTTGGAGTCTACTCTTATTTCCTTAATAAGCCCTTTGCTTCTTTTACTAGTTGGTCTCTTGGCTGAATTATTTCCTCCAAGAAGACAAGAACCAAGGACCCCCACACTTCCTGGTAACATTATCATCATCAAAAAATAGTACCTATCGCTAAAGGCTCACATTACCTTCCCCGTGAACCCTTTCCTGTTTATCTTAAATGTGATTTCTCTCATTCCTTTGAACCCATCTACTGTTCTATGTAAAGCTATTTCATGGTGATAGTTTTTGTTGTTGTTGTTTTTTGTTTTGTTTTGTTTTTGCCTATAATACAGCTAAACGAATACATTTCTGCAGGGTGATTTTAAGGAACAGAGAGGAAATGTCCTCGTTGCCCTATAGATGTTTGATAATTATGCTTGCTCCATTCTCTTACTCCATTCTCACAAAAGTTTGTACATTGTTTGAGGTTAGGGTCTGTGATATTTAATGTTTTATTTCCTGAGGATCTAGCACAAGGCTTCTTACAGAATGAGAAAGTTTTTAAAATAGATTCTTGGGTTGGTTTGTTTCTGTGGAAATCACAGTATTTTAGGTCTCAGCTCCTTTCGTTCTAGGACAAAAACTCAATACTTCCGCTGCAAGTGTCTGTTCCTACAACTCCCTATGGCTGGACCAGGTGTCTCCATGATTTTACGGGACCCCATCTCCCAGCCATGGTTGATGATCAGGAATAAATACATAGCCCAATTCTGGCCAATGAAAATTTTTCCCTAGAATGACTTTTCCCTAGGAAATTTAAAAAATAGAACATGAGGCCAGATGCAGTCCCTCATGCCTGTAATCCCAGCATTTTAGGAGGCCGAGATGGACAGGTCATTTGAGGTCAGGAGTTCAAGACCAGCCTGGCCAACATTGTGAAACCCTGTCTCGACTAAAAATACAAAAATTAGCCTGGCATGGTGGGGCATGCCTGTAATCCCAGCTACTCAGGAGAATCACTTGAACCTGGGAGGCGGAGGTTGCCGTGAGCCAAGATTGCACCACTGCCCTCCAGCCTGGATGACAGAATGACTTTGTGTCAAAAACAGACAAACAAACAAAAAACAAAAAATGAGAGTCAGTCCTTGATTTGTTTTTGGTAACAATTGTGGAAGGTTTGTGTCAAATCTATTATTAACCATGTTTGTGCACATGAAGAACACAAGTCATCAGTGCAAAAGGAGGAAGTTAATAGACAGAAACTAAAAAACAGTGATTAAAAAGACATGAATAAAAAGAGAGAATTCTGCCGGCATTCAACACCTGGTTCCAGGTTTTCCTAAGCCTGGCTAAACACCTGACTTCCTGATCATATGTTAATTTCAGTTTCTTTCCCTCAAATTGAAAGATTTTTGACATTTCAATAACCTAATAGTAATGTCATGTCCCTCCTTCAACTCCACATTCAGCAGTTACCAAAGGCTATCTATATAGCCTTACCTAAGACTGGTAAAAGTATAGTTAAGTACAGTCTGAAATCTTGATATACCTATTGATCCATAGAATTAACAAAACACATCAGATACAATACAAGTTATATATGAGTAGAACCCATATATAACTTTTTTATAGGTAATTGAGATAATTACTTATAAAGAGAGTAGAAGTATTGATAAATCACTATTATAAAGTTTTTATAGACACTAAAAATCAATCCAAGAAGAAATACAGTTTTCAGAACTGCCTTTAAGGAGGCAACACAAGAAAAGGCTCATCAAATTACACCCTTGCCTTCCACACTAGGCAGGATTCTGAGCATGATGGGTATACAGAAATATACCCTCTGCTGCTTTTACTCCTAAATTTTCTCTTGATTTAAAGCAAATTATGCAGGATTAAAATCTCAAAACACAATTTTATTCTTATCTCCATTTAATTCACAAAATCTGTAACTTGTACATATGGCGTAGAAAAGATAAATGAACTTATAGTAGATTCAAGTTCGTTCAATCATCCTATATTGAACAAATACAACATAGTAAATATCAATGAATGCATTGGATTTACTCTAATGGATTGGTTCTGCCAAGGTCCAATATGTTGTTTCTTCTGGTGATGAAAAGAACAGATGATCATTTGTTTAAAATATAGAACAAAGGAAAATAAGCAAAACTGGCTGTATCCCTGAATTTTTCCTTGCATGGCCTAAAAATTTTTCTGTTTGCTGTAACCAATATTAAATGCTGGCCTTGAGCGCACACATATGCACATATAACTTGTTCCTATGATAGTAATAAGTATCTCAGGATTCACGATTTATGTGTAAATTTAATTCAATCATCTTCCCTCCCATAATTCATTTGTGTATCTATTAATAGACATTTACTGGATGTAAGCTCCATGTCAATCATCTTGCCAGATGTAGAGAGCGTTATGGGTTGAATTATGTCCCCCAAAAATGACATGTTGGAGTCCTAACATCCAGTACCTCAGAATGTGACCTTATTTGGAAATGGGACCTTTACAAAGGTATTCAAGTTAAAATGAAATCTTTCAGGTGGGCCCTAATTCAATATGACTGGTGTTCTTACAAAAAGGGGCAAATTTGGAAACAGACTGACACACACAGATGGAGAACAATATGCAAATACAAGAAACTACCAAAAACTAGAAGAGAGGCCTGGAACAGAACTTTCCCTAGCACCTCCAAAGGGAGTGTGGCTCTGCCAACACCTTGATTTCAGACTTGTGGCCTTCAGAACTGTGAGACAATAAATTTTGAATTGCTGAAGTCACTCAGTTTGTGTTACTTTGTTATGGCAGCCTAGATATTTAAGGTGTAAAAAGATGAATGAAGTCCCTTTCTTTATTGAATTAGAGCTTTATTGAGTATAGAACTTTAGGCATCTTACCTCAAATATTACTTTTCTTAGGAACGATTTTCATAGAAATTTTATAAAAACTGCCATTATTTAGAATAACATATGTATATAATATATAAAATCAATTTAATATAAGGCAATACATTTAAGTGATAAATACAGCTACCTGGCTTAGGCCATAGTTCAGCCACGGCTTCAGGCATGATTCAAGAAAAAGTCTTGTCAGGTGTGCCATGAATGATCTCATTTGGCAAGAAATAAAAAATGTTTCTCCAACACACTATGAAGCAACATATTAGCTTTGCTCTGTGCACAAAAGCAAAGATTCATTTAAATATATTTAGCAAAGTATATCTAACAAAGTTGCAAAAAAAAAAGCATCTAAACATACTTAAGAAAACACCTGGCTTGTAACTAAATCTGTTTTGCTAACCTAGTTATTTCAAAGTAATCTACAATTTACATTCAGAGTTCATGGACAACATCATTGTGGAGGGTGCAACACTGGATTATTTATAACACACAGCTTTCATAACTGCATTTATTTCTCTCTACTACTCTTTTAGCTTAATAAGAAAACAGGTAACTTGTAGAGCTCTTTTGAAGGCTCATGTTGACTACGTTGTTATTAAATTTTATGTATAATGTAATTGTTACAACAGATGACAAATCTAATAACCATTAGAACATAATATTTGAGTGATCTGAGTTAAAGAAACAGAATCATTGTAGTGTTTTTTTCGGGACCTAAATATAATTTATATAGGTGTCACTATTTTAATGGTAGTATGCACAGAGCCATTGCTTTCTTACATTCATTATACATTTTTGCTTAACTTCTTCCTATTTAGTAATTCCATACAAGGATGCGGGCAATATAACTAATGTCATGCTGAAGGTTAATGAGGGGCGAAGGGAGTGAAAGGCATTTTCTAGTTGGGGTGGGGGGAATGGTCAAAAGAAGCACTGAGGATTGAAGATTGACTATATTGTTTCTATTATAACAGTCCCCCCTTATCCACAGCTTCACTTTCTGCAGTGACCTGTAGTTGACTACAGTCTGAAAATGTTACAGAAAATATCTGAGATCACATTCACATAACTTTTATAATAGTATACTGTTTTAATTGTTCTATTAGTAGTAATTGTTAGTCTGTTACTATGTGTAATTTTTTAATACATTGAACTTTATTCTAGGCAGGTATGTATAGGAAAAACATGATAAATATAGGATTCTGTACTGTGTGCATTTTCAGGCATACCCATTGGGAGTATCATTACATACTCCCCACAAATAAGAAGGGACTACTGTATTTACCTGTACATATTTTAATGTAGTTGTTCACTATTTTATTATTACACATTAATATAATAATGCTAAAGTAAATTAGTTTTATTTTTAATTGTGTAATGATCTTCCTTCATCTTAAATTACTAGGGAAGAAATGGATGTACTCATTTATTAGAGCTTCTATAACAGATTACCACAATTTGAGAGGCTTAAACAACAGAAATTTACTATCTCAATAAACACAAGAAATCCATGACTGAAGTATCAGCAGGGTCATGCTGCTTCTGAAGGTGTAAAAGAAGATGTGTTCCAAGCCTCCCTCCTAGGCTCTAGAAGATCCTTGGCTTATAGCTGCATAACTGCAATCTCAGCATAGACCTCCCCTCCAGTATGTGTCTGTCTGCAAATTTCTCTATTATAAGGACACCAGTCTTACTTGATTAGTGACCCACCTTACTCCAATAGGACCTCATCCTAACTAATTACATCTACAATGATCCTACTTCCAATAAAGTCACATTCTGAGGCACCAGGGTTAGGAATTCAACATATGAATTCCTGAGGGACAAAATTCAACCTATACCAATGACCAAAAAAAAAATACACTTAACAGAAATTATTTTGATATTTATATCAATGGTTAAGATTTAGTTTTAGTTGTGAGAGGTAAAGCGCCCTAAGCCATAGTAGTTCAAGCTAGATAGGAGCTTATGTTTGTCCTACGTAAATAAATGCAGTTTGTCATCAAGGGCATGGGTACATTTGATCTACCACATCAACGTCTGGAAGAGGCCTCTTTGTGTTCTATCGTATCTGCATTCCAGCAAACAGAAAGAAGGAATTCAAGAAGGATGTATTATCTCCCTTAAGGATACTTTCTGGGCATCATTCATGAAACTTCCAGGCATATACCATTAACCTGAAGTTAGCCACATAATCATACTCATTGTAAAGGGAACTGCAGAATATAATCTTAGTCCAGGTGGTAATGCAGCTATTTACAAAACGCTCATCTTCCAGTGAAGAAGAAGCGAATACGTCCTGCATGATCTCTTGGTCTCCGTCATATCAGATTAAAATGAAGTAAATAAAACATATTTCTGTATTCAACAAATACTTATTAAATATGTTCCCTCACCAGATAGTGCAAGGTGTTGGGATAAAAATGTATTAGTCTGTTTTCATGCTGCTGATAAAGACATACCCAAGATTAGGTAATTTATAAAGAAAAAGAGGTTTAATGGACTCGTAGTTCCATGTGGCTGGGGAGGCCTCACAATCATGGCAGAAGATGGCAGGCAAGAGAGAATGAGCCAAGCAGAAGGGGAAACCCTGATAAAACCGTCTGAACTTGGGGGACTTATTCACTACCACGAGAACAATATGGCAGAAACTGCCTCCATGATTCAGTTATCTCCCACCGGGTCCCTCCCGCAACACATGTGAATTATGGGAGCTACAATTCAAGATGAGATTTGGGTGAGGACACAGCCAAACCATATCAGAAATATAAATGAAACTTGAGTCAATGGACTCAATAATCTTCTATGTATTTGGGAGGCAAGATAGCAGGTATGTTAAAATTGCAATGCAGTAAAAATTTGTTAAGATGTATGAAAGGTATAATATATGGGTAAAACATCCAGAATACTGGGAGAAAAACAAAAAGGTTGGTAATATTTAAGCTAATATTGGAAGATGGGCAGGGGTGTGCCAAGCAAGAGGAAGAGGCAGACAAAAAAGCTGCAAAAGAAGTCCAATTCACCTTAGAGACATTTGTAAGAAATAAATCAAATTATTATATTTAAAGAGTATTGATTATTCATTTTGTTTAGCTCCTCAATTGAATTTTAAGAAGCCTGTTTTATTCTCTAATTGTATGACATGATTCTTTCCTTCCTTTTCTCTTTCTTTCTATACACGTTTATCACTTACTTAACAGAGCCTGGCCCTGTGATAGGGACAAGGCATTCCTCTGAGAATTATAAAAACATAGTCCTGACCCCATAGCTTGAAGTCTGAAGAAATCTTTTAGCTATACCAACTGAGGTAATTGGATTTCTCCTGAGATTTTTCTACTACCCTGTTATATCTTCCCGTTTACATGAAGTTGTTAAGCTAGAAGAGGCGGAATGCTCTCTCTCTGGGAAAGTTGAGAAAAGAATTTTGAGGCAAGACACGGTGGCTCATGCCTGTAATCCCAGCACTTTGGCAGGCCGAGGAGGGTGGATCACCTGAGGTCAGGAGTTCGAGACCAGCCTGGCCAACATGGTGAAACCCTGTCTCTACTAAAAATACAAAAACTTAGCCAGGTGGGGGCCCACGCCTGTAATCCTGGCTACTCAGGAGGCTGAAGCAGGAGAATCGCTTGAACCCGGGAGGCAGAGGGTGCAGTGGGCCAAGATCACACCACTGCACTCCAGCCTGGGTGACAGAGCAGGACTCCGTCTAAAAAAAAAAGAAAGAAAGAATGTTCAGTTACTGAGGAGAAGGCTCGATTCAAGAATCCTGTGTTCCAAGATGATTCAAGGGAGGTAGAATATTTGATAAACAATAGCAAAATGTCCTAGGTGAAATATAATTTCCTGAGGCAGAAAAGAAAGTTTGCTGCTGGATATTTGTGTCAAGTCCTGCATTTTCTTCTTTCACTCCAGAGCCACTTATTTCAGAGGGGATGATTCAGGGTCAGGAGAAGAGAAGAGACGACTTTGCCGTCATCCACAGGTTGTTTAGGATTTCAAGAGTTTGGAATGAAAGAATAAAAGAGATATCTATTGTTTACAGACGCGAATCAAAATCGTAGGGTAAGGAGCAGACAAACATGAAGAAAGCTTAAAATGGGAAATGCAGAGAATTCAGCAAGCACTTCAGAGGTAGCTCACACTTGTAATCTCAGCATTTTGGAAGGTTGAGGCAGGAGGATTGCTTGAGGCCAGTAGTTCGAGACCAGCCTGGGCAACACAGTGAGAATCTTTCTCTACTAAAAGAAAAAACAAAATAGCCAGGCTTGGTGATACACACCTGCAGTCCCAGCTACTCAGGAGGCTGAGGCAGGAGGATTGCTCGAGACCAGGAGTTTGAGGCTGCAGTAAACTATGATCATGCCACTGCACTCCAGCCTGGGCAACAGAGTGACACTGTGTCTCAAAAAAAAAAAAAAAGCACCTCAAAATTAAAGATTTCTAGATTTAAACCCAAAGGTTAAACAAAGAGAAAAAGAAAGGTACAGGAAGAGCAAAAATGAAGACCCTGAAATGAAAGACCTTTGAGGAAATGAATAATGTTAGTATGAATAAAGCAAATTGTGAATGAGCATAGTAGTGAGCTGTTAGAGAGGTAAGCAGAGCCAAGATCATACAGAATTTTATTAATTTCATCAATATATTTTAATGCCAACACTGTCTTAAGTCATATTAAAAATTGTGGACTGCATCTGAAGACATCTGTTGGATCCACATGGAATTTTAAGCAGGGAAGTGACATGATGACATTTGATTTTTTCAAAACATCACTGGCTACTGTGTGGAAACATATTAATGCAGAGACACTGATGAATAGCTGTGCACAGATGTAAGTGAAAGCCAACAGTGGTCTGATTTAGAATTGAGGTGTCGGGGATGGAAACAAGTGGTAAATTTGAGTTACTTTGTAAGCAGAATGGAAAATGTGACTAGAAGGACATTGGAAGTGAAGGAGCAAAGACAAATCGCTGGTGACTCCCAGGTTTTTGACTGACATTTGTGAGAATAGTGGTTCTGTTTCCCCAGATAAGAAAGTGTGCTCTAATTCTTTTTTTGCAGAAATTTCTGGACTATTTTAATACATTTATTATACAAGATGACCTTTAGGGCCCTTTTGTCAACTGAATTGGGAAACATTGAATTAATAGATTTATCAATTTTAGATTGTTGGAGAACCAACATTTGACATTATGAATGTTCCCATCCAGGAAAATGTTGCCTCTCAAAATGGTATCCCTTTCATTTTATCCATAGTTTATTTTGTATTTACTTCATTTTCTCTAGAGTTTTCTAGTTTTCATCATCTAGGGTCTATATATTTTCTCCTAAACTTATCATATTTTATATATTATAAAAGTATTTTACCAGGTTGAATAGAATATTTTCTTAAATGTAGTAGATAATAATTATTAGTTTATAAAAATGCTAATTATGTTGGTATACTTATTTTGTAAATACCTGTAATTATACAATGGACTGAATGTGTGTGTCTCCCTAAAATTCATGTTGAAATCCTCATGCCCAATGTGATGGTATTTGGAGATGGGGCTTGTGGGAGTTAATTAGGCCATAAGAATGGCCCTCCTAAATGGGATTAATGCCATTATGAAAAAAGAACCCAAGGAATGCTCTCACCCTCTTTCCACCATGTGAGGACACAACAGACTGAAGTCAGCAGTCTGCAATGTGCAAGAGTGTCTTCAACAGAACCCGACCCCGCTGGCACCCTGATCCAGATTTCCAGCCTCCAAAACTGTGAGAAATAAATTTCTGTTGTTTGTCAGTCATCTGGTCTATGGTACTTTGTTACAGCAGGCTGAACTGACTAAAACAGTTATAATCTCATAATTTCAAATCATTTTCAAATGAGCCTTTCTGGTTTTCTAGTCATACAATCGACTATTTGAAAGAGAGAGAGAGAAAAAAGAAACTTTCCTATGAGATAATTTTACCCCTTCATTTTGTATTCCAAGTCAATGTTAAATAGTAATGATTATAACTAGCTTTTAAATATATTTTTTCTTCAATAATATTTCACTGTAATATTGACTCTAATTGGAAATGATATCATCATATAAAAGTAAGTCTGGCATTTAAGAAAAAAAATTTAAAAATTAAAGAAAAATAAACATTTAATTGATTAATTGATGTTGAATTATATCAATTACCTTAGAGGATTTATGAAAGACATTATATAATACAGTATATTGTCCAATTTTTTTATTTTAAAACACCACAACATTACCTGCTCCTCTTCTTAACTCAGTGCTGGATTCTATTAGTTATTATTTAATTTAGGATCCTTCATTTTCTATTGATAACAATTCCATTATTAGGGTCCTTTATTTTCTATTGATAACAAGTCTCTTTTTAGTGGGAGTTTGGGAAAACAGCCTTTTTTATATTTAACAGAGAATTATGCCAACTCTTCATAATAATTTGGGAGGCCTTCCACCTACTTCTAGTAATTGTTGAATTGTTAAGTGTCTTATTTGTTACGTAAAAGTTTGACAGAACACAATCATGAAATGTATTGACAGAATGCAATCATGAAAAAGATTTTATTTGACAGAAAACAATCACGAAAATGTCTGATTTCAGCAAGGGCATTCATTCTTAGACTCACTTTTCAATTGAATTTTGCATATTGAAGTTTTGCCTTCTCAAATAACTCATCAAAAGCCTGAGAATATTGCTCATATTTTCTTTTGGCATCTAATGTTTAAGAGATTAAGTTAGACACAATCCATATTTATGTGTTGAAAACTGGATCCTTCCATTTCTGCTTTGTTTCATTTAGAAAAACTTTTTTCCTTGAAATACAAAACATTCTCTAAACTATCTGGATGTAAGATTGCCTTAAATTTCTACAGCTCTAAAAAAATCATTTAGCAACCTATTTTAATTAATTCTGACTTTCTGGAACTAATTACTGATGGATATCATCATTTTGTAATTTTGAAATTTATATTTTTCTTCCTGATCAATTCAGTTTTTCTATTAGTTCCTCTACAATCGAAGACCTTCTCATAAGCCTGTCTCACATACCATTACTGTTTTTCTGTGTTGCTTTCTCATCTCACCCTATCTGTATTTCTGCTCACCTTTCAGCCAGCACCCATTTGTATGTCTGTCTCTCATTATATTTCACAATTCATTTCTTGACTCATAGAAACCAGGTTTCTTGAAATTTATCAAGGGAATAAGCCAGCAGTCCCTTAACATTTTTTCTAGGTTTCCAAGATTAAATCTTTTTTTTTTTTGAGACAGAGTTTCACTTTTGTCGCCCAGGCTGGAGTGCAATGGCGTGATCTCGGTTCACGGCAATCTCCGCCTCCCGGGGTCAAGAGATTCTACTGCCTCAGTCTTCTGAGTAGCTGGGATTAGAGGTGCACACCACCATGCCCGGCTAATTTTGTATTTTTAGTAGAGATGGGGTTACTTCATGCTGGTCAGGCGGGTCAAATCAAATAATGCTTATATGTACCTCTTAAGTGCTGTTTCCCATCTTTTCTCTTATGGCTCTTTTCACTGGCTCCCATTTTCTCCATTTTTAAAATATTTTTTTCAGCATAATTATCTTTAAGTATTTCAAATTTTGTTTGGACAAGATTGGTCTTTCTCATTAAGGCAGAGTTAGTGGATTTTTCAATCTCTAGCAGGAGGAAGTGGCACAAGTGCCTTCAGTACCTTGCAGGTAAGAAACTAGAAGGTGGACTGTGGGGGAAGTGTTATTAAATATTGCATCTCTTAAAAATGAAGCCAAAACCTAGCTTTATTAGGACTAATATGAACCTAATTATGTTATAACCTAGGTATCCAAAGTAAACTAGGTTTAATTTGGGTTCTGTGTGGTATGACTATCAGGAAAGATTCAGTGGGCAATTTACAGCTTCCAATGTTATTTTGTTACACTATAGACATACCTTCTTGTTTAATCTGTATGTACCCTGAAATAAAATTTCTGACTATGCTAGCATATCTTGCTATCTAATTTCTTTCAGTTCCTGAAGAATTTAATCACTATACCTCATATGTGAGCATATTTATCATAGACTGAGTTGTCTTTCATTTTCTTAATTTCTTTTCCTTAAAGATAATCGTGACCTTTTATATTCGAGCCACTGTTTCTCCCAATTTAATCATATTCAGAACCTAAATCTGTGTTATAAACATAGAAGTTATTCTATAGATAATTATTTCCTTTAAAGATAAGATATTAAGTAGGATTACAAGAGTGAGAATGTTAAAGTACTTACAAAATTTTATATTTTCACAAATAATCAACAAAACAAACTATGAAAGATATTTCAGTGACATACTTTAGAAGTGGTATTAAAAGTATTCCTTCTGGGTGCCATGGCTCACGCCTGTAATCCCAGCACTTTGGGAGGCCGAGGCAGGTGGATCACCTGAGGGCAGGAGGTCGAGACCAGCCTGGCCAACATGGTGAAACCCCATCTCTACAAAAATACAAAAAAAAAATTAGCTGGGCATGGTGGCGGGCACCTGTAACCCCAACTACTTTGGGGGCTGAGGCAGGAGAATCGCTTGAACCTGGGAGGCGGAGGTTGCAGTGAGCTGCCATTGTGCCATTTCACTGCAGCTTGGGCGACAAGAGTAAAACTATGTCTCAAAAAAAAAAAAAGTGTTCCTTTTCTCCTCAGGTATTATCATTATTTAATGCATGCACTTTGTCCTACTAGGAGTTTTCACTCTGGAGGACTTATAATTTTTTTCTTGACTAATGATGAATATCCAGCTCAGTGTTAACTTTAATAATCTAGTAAAGCCTTTACAGAAACTTTAGAACAACTATTGTAACATATTACTTAGCTACTGAATTACAGAAAGATGAAATAGATCACCAAGAATGTAATGAGAACAGATCAAAAAGTCTGAAGGCAAAAAACTAGAGCCAGAATGTCTTAGCTATTTTAAAGAAAACAGGGTAGCAATTACCAAAAATACATGAATTGAAGTTAGCTTCTTTCAGAAATTCTATTTCTTTTATTTACAAAAACACCACTCTTCTAGTCTCTCCATATGAAATAATAGAAAACCATATAGTTATATTAGTTAAACACAGAGGTCTACAATAGATCCCAAAAAGGCAATTGACATTGATCATAAAAAATATGTTTATTGATTAGTTTCTTCAGTCAAGTGAAATAAAAGAGAATCCTCCATATTTATCACCATTTTTAATTCTAGGGCCTTGTACTCCTTTCAAGGATGGTATTTCATTCACTTCCTGAATGACTGGTATTTCACGCAACTTCATGTCTGCCTTCAATTCAATCCTGTAAGCCAATGCTAGTTAGTTTTCAGTGAATTAGATACCTAACTTTCCTACATACAAAATTCTTTGAAATAAGAGTTTGTAAGGTAAAATTTCTGTTTCTTCAGATGACACATTACTCCATATCTCTATTGTCAAATATATTTTGGTCTTCACAATATGCATTTTGAAAATATCAATCACTTTGAAGTATTCACTTATAATCAATACATTCTAATTCAAAATCTAATTATATAGGTCCTGAGAAAAACTCAGATAATTTGGGGGCTAATAAAATAAATGACATTCATACACTTAAGACTTTTTAGGTTATTATATTTGATCAGTTGACTCTATACCACTAACAAAATATAATTTAAGCAAATATTTACAAAGGAAAATATTCAGTCTTACTAAAGTCAAGATATTTAAAATTACATTATTACATAAAATATGACATTCTTTATAAAATGCAGTCGACTTTCTAATAAGGCATAATTTCAATACCATAAGTCATTTACGTTTAAAAAAAGCCTTGGTCTAGTCTATTCATCTCATTTCTCCTTAAGTAAGATGCTAGTATTTGCTTGCTTACTTTCTAAAATATGATAATTACAATATATTTTCCAAATTCTCAAAAACAGTTTTATATATTCAGAATTTAAATAAATTAACATGTATTTAGAATATTTCAGACTTTAAATAAATTTCATTAATACATGATTAAACAGATGCTCAGTTCACACTGAGGTTTTATTTTTCTAAGTTTCTGCAGTCTCATCTCAAATCAATGGCCTGGTAATGCTTTTCCCTAAAGAATGAAAAACTACTACCAAAGACAAATTACTTTCATTCATATTATCTTCTTCAATAATTCTACATATGAATATGCTAATAATGGAATGTGACATTTCAAAAATTATCTCTCAAATAAAATTCTAATTTATTTCTGAAGACCTCTGCCTGTTACATAAATTGCCATAGTATAGAACTTGTGAATTGCAATGGAAAAATCTAGGTTGAAATACTGGTTATCCCAAGCTTGCTAAATTATTGTCCACAAGTTTCTTTACCTCGTGTCTACCTAGTATTTCTCAACTTTAGTATGGAAGAAATACCACCTTCCATATAAGACCATTGGAAAGAATAAGTGAAATAATTAAATAATTAAAGCAAAGCCTTTAATAAAATTGATCATAGTAAACACTATTAGTGGCCAGTGGTCACTACATATAGTGGTAGTGGTTAAGTAATAGCATCAGACATTAATAATATAAGCGATTTTGTAAAACATACTGTCAAAAAATACCATCAGATATGTTTTTTAAATTCTGAATACCTGCTCTACACAAACAAATGATATTTGTTTTTATAAATATCTCAAAATTATTTTGGAAGATAGATTTACACAGAAATACCTATGAAAGTTGTAAAGTTCTGTGGATGATATAAATAATAATATAGGTAAGTGGCACAGGATTTTAGACTTAGTGGGAGTGGCTGGGAACAACTTCAGAGGGGAAGCGGTAAGTTTTCCTGGGTCTTAAAAACTGAGGAAGATTGATGGAAGAGAGGAAAACACATCCCAAGAAAAAAGAAGGATATGCTTAAATGCACTGAGTTTCAAAAGTGTTTGAGAAGTGAAAAACATACTCAACTGATGTGAATAGAGGAGACAGGTCAGGAAAAGCAAGCTGGTGTTAAATTGTAAAGGGTTACAAATGTCAATTAAACTATTTTATTTGATTATCATACTGGTAGTGACTTCAACACTGACAGAATAACTGTTAACTGGACTGGCCTTCCTGTAGTAAATGACTATTAAACTAGATTAATTATATGGGTATAATTTTAAAGCATTGAACCAGAAGTAGCACACACTGTGATCCTTGAGGAAAGGAACACTCAGGAGGTAAACTCTCTCTTCATACTGGCTTCCTATCTGGGGCGCCTTTCAGTGAATGAGACATGGAGCTATGCTCAATATTGCAGAGCTGAGGAGGCTTAGACTGCAGTTTTAATTTGCAGAAATGGGTGGAATTTGTACAATACGATATTGGACAGGAGATATGTTGGTCATAAATCTTCATGGGGTCTTTGGCTGAGAAATGAACTGAACAGGTACAGAGTGATACTGTGAGAGGCCTAATGGAGAATTATGGCTACAAGCTGAATGCTGAATGGAGGAGGTATCAGAGGTTGTTCTATTCTGGAAGACTTTGGAATTGGCGTTATCACCCAGCAGATGGGAGAAATCTTACTGGGCACCTAAGACACTCACTTGTAATGTCAGAAAAGCCACACTTTAAGGCAAAAATGACTATATTCTGTATTAAGGGCTGCATTCCAGGACAAGGAACAGAACCGAAACAGATCCATATTAAGAAATGCATCCTCAGAGGAAGAACAGTATCTACCAGTAATTTACTGATTGGTCAAATAAAATCAACACCCTGTTAAGGAAGACAATATAATCAATGCTCCTCAAAATCTGTCATTTCCAATGTCCAGCTTCCATTAAAAATGTTAAACATGTGAAGAAGCAGATTCAGTGAAAGGGCTAAAGGATTATAAAGTAGAGTCTTTTTTCTGGTGGTTATTTTCTAGTTGGTATACTGATTGTTCCACAATGAGCAATCTAGAGGAGTGAGGATTAAAGCCAGGTTGTCAGGGTGCTTAAGCAAAGCCATGACAATATATATTGCATTCATTGACTCTAGGTCCTATTATTTTACTGGATATTTCTCCTATAGACTATGAAGGTCCAAATTTCTGCAATGTATATGGTAGAGGGAGTAGAGCAAGACTATAAAATCAAATAGAACTTTGTTCAAATACCAGCTTTAATATTTACTAGCCATGTGGTGTGGGAAATTTAGTTTTCTGATTTTATGTTCCTCATCAGCAAATGGATTTAATATTGTATTTGTTGAGAAAAAAACCTAAGGTAATGTTTGAACAGGGCTTGACACATTCTATAAGCTAAATATGTGGTGACAAACATTATTATGGATTATTTAATCAAATAATGGTGTTCTTATGTGGACAGTAAAAGGTTAACTCAGTAGGTCTGAATTACTCAAATCCTGAACATTCCAAAGAAAGGTCTGTCTTCAGGACTGAATTTTGGCCAGCTCCTTGGAGATAACCTCAGAGCCCTGGGAATATAATTCCTGAAAAGAGTGTTTCTATATGTCCGAGGCCTCAGGCCATATTGTATCAATCTGACCAGATAAGTTTACCTTAACCATGTGACCTATGTTGAATGTCTATTTTTCCTGGGAGTAGAGATTGAGTGGGAGGCAGGGCAGGGCTGCAGTCTGAGGAGCTGAAGTCAGTCATGCAGTCACTACATGCTTATCTGACCTCAAACATAAACCCTGGACACCAAAGCTCAGGTAAGCTTTACTGATTGATGACACTTAGCATGTGCTGTCACATAACATTGCTGGGAGAACTACGTGGGTCCTTTTGCAACTCTACTATCTCTGCCTAGAAGCTTACATCTGGTTTCTTCTAATTTTGTCTTTTTCTTTGTTAATATTAACCTGTATCCTTTTGTCATAATAAACTATAACCATGAGTATAACCGATTTTTTTCTCAGTTCCATGCATCCTTGCAGTGTGTCATCAAGACTAAGGGTAATCTTGGGGAGTCCACACACACCATGCTCCCTCCCTTCCTGAAGGGACTCAAGGGGACATTATTCATGACACCTCAGGTTAGTCATGGATGAGTGAAGATTGTTCTTAGGAATTCTGGGAGCCTAAAAATATATCATTGGGAGTTCAAAAAATTTTAAAATGCTCTATTTCATTTAGATTAAAATATAAATAACACAATAAGCATATTATGAACTGCCTGGATAACCACTGTATAATCGAATATGGCCCAGAGCATTAGCTCTTGTGCTTTCATTTATGCTACCATCTTTGAAGCTGATGAGTACTCTTGTAATCCTAGAGAATTATAAGAAAAGATGAGTGGAACACAGAAAGATACACCTGTGTTGAAGATCATTTGACATTGAGAGGTATTCTCAAAATTAAAGTTCCTGAGTAGAACTGAATTATGAAGAGACACATTAGCATTTACATGGAAAAATTTTTTAAAGCTTACATATGAGAAGCCGGTATATTGCACATTATAAACAAAATATCATTTCTGCAAAAATTAATGTTATTCTTAACATTAAGGGCTTATTAAAAAGTTTGACTAGTATTGCTATCTTATTTAGTACTAACATATATCTTATTAATTTTATAGTTGTATAAAAGAAATATAAGGAGTTTTTCCTGAGCTTTATAGTTGTATGCATGTAACTAATAATTTGAAAACGTTAGCTTCAGTCAATATTTTGAACCTGTAAGCATTCCTTTTATGCTTTTGAAGAGAACTGCAAGTTCCTGATTTAAGAAACCTGAAAAAGAAGATACATTTGTATTTGTGGTGTGTGAAAGAAGTACATGTAAAAAGTTTAATTTGTATGTAAATATATGGGTACTTTTTAGCCATCAAATTGTATTGCATAATGTTGGTTTTTACTTACTTGGCATGAGTACTTGAGCAATTAAAAAAAAATCTATAGGCTTCAGATTCCACACCTGAAAAGTGTGGATATTAACATATATCTGATAGGGTTGCTAAGCTGAATTAATCAAATAATTTATGTAATAAGAACCTAGTCATTTTGTTTGCCCATTTCTTCCCCTTGCTGAGAGATCCTAGTATTTCTGGAAATTTTTACTTCAAAAAAATTAATCTGTTAATAGAAAAATGACTCAAAACTCCTTTGTTAGTGGTTCCTAGAATTAACACTATATGATAACAAAACACACGATTAATAACATGATAATATGTTTTTATTATTTCAGTGAAGATAACTGTCTATACCTTAAAATGATCATACAAATAAGTCCATCTAATTCCTAAGTTTACCTAACTTTTTGCAATGCAGAATTTGGAGAGCATAAATAACACTTTATACATAATTTCTATATTGCTTTCTATGCCTAGAAATGAAACATTAAAAACAAAACAAAAACAAAATCCCAAGTATCTCTAATTAATTAATTGAATGAGGAAATGGAAATGCCATAAATATGGTTGTTACACACTTTCCACTAACCATATCATTGATCTAAGCACCGATGTCTTTCAGTGATTATTATTGAGCAGGTTAAAACATTAGCCTGAGCTATGAACCAGGCAAGACACAGATGTGGTTCACTAAATTCTGCTATGACTCAGTATAATAGAGTTTCCCATGTCCTTATTCCCTTGCAAAAACATATGCATTAGGGCATTTCTCTTGCTTCATCCCAAATTAAAAATAGCCCTGCAAAGCAGCTCATGTGCAATTTACTGTAACCTTAGATTACCAACAGAGTAATATTGCCTTATCATCAACTTGCAAAAGAACAGGCTTACCAATTCTTGCCATAATACTTCTATAACCTTACAAAAAATGTTCTTTTTAGCCTCATCGCTATTATCACATCATTAATCATTTAATTTTTCTCTCATTTTGATGAATCAACTATGTTCCAGACTCTCCAAGGATTAACCATGCCCAACACTAGCTTTCTCTAGTTAGACTTTAAAATCACTGAAATGGTTATCTGCTTACTGTTGAACCTTATCAGCCCACTCCTTATGGCTTTCCTGGAACTTCAAGCCAAGATTCTCTATGTTAAAGCCATCACCACCACATCTGAAACATTTTTTCTTACCCTGCATTCCTGTGTACAACTTTCCTACTATTTGCTCTATAAAAATCCCTTCTAATAGTGCATTGTTCACTGAGCATTTTTCGGGGTAATATTCCACAGAGGAATTTGGTTCAATATACTTCTTTTTTTTTAAATAAAATACTGAGAAAGCAAGGGGAGACAAGATTATAGAAAATATCATTAGAGTTCATTTTAAAAAATCAAGGCACTTAGTTTATTTCACTTTCATGTACACATGCTTACATGTACATGAATATGTTACTATACACTAACATTCAACCAGGAGATTTATAATATGCAATGTACCTCTACTTATTTTCATGCTTGTATTTATTAAATACTAAAAGTCAATGTGTGCATGTAGAACTAATAAACCCCACTAGATGATAAATTTCATGAATGCAGAACTGTTGTCTGTCACAATCACTGCTATTTCTCATAGAAGAGTAAATACAAGTACTCAATAAGTATTTATTGAAGAAAGAATATGACAATATTGAAGGAGAAAAACAAGTTGTAGGGCTGATACTACTAACCTACTTCAAGATTTACTATAAATCTACAATAATTAAGACAATTGCATTGACAATAGATTATTCTATACAAATCAATCAATAGAATGAAATAAAAAGCCAAGGAATATACCCACACAAATATAACCAACTGATCTTTGACAAAGGGACAAAGAGAATTCAATGAATAAAGAATAAGCTTTTCAATAAATGGTGCTCTCACACTGCACATCCATATGCAAAAGAAAGCAAACGAAAAAAATACTTGAGACAGACCTTACATTAATACTTTTCACAAAAATTAACTCAAAATAGATCACAGGCCTAAATATAATATTCAAAACCATAAACCTCCTATAGGAGAGAATCTAGGTGAGCCAGAGTTTGGTGGTGATTTTTTAGATACGACACCAAATATATGATTCATAAAAAATTGATTAAATGGACATTATTAAAATTAAAATGTCTCAGCAGGGTGGGGTGGCTCACATGTGTAACCTCAGCACTTTGGGAGGCCAAGGTGGGTGGATGCCCTGAGGTCAGGAGTTCAAGACCAACCTGGCCAACATGGCAAAACCCCGTCTCTAATTAAAAAAAAAAAAAAAATACAAAAAGTAGCCGGGTGTGGTGGTGGGCACCTGTAACCCCAGCTATTCAGGAGGCTGAGATGGAAGAATCACTTGAACCCAGAAGGTGGAGGTTTCCGTGAGCCAAGATCTCGCCACTGCACTCCAGCCTGGGTGATAGAGCAAGACTCCGTCTCAAAACAACAACAACTACAACAACAACAACAAATCTGTTCTGTGAAATATATTCTTTAGGGAATGAAAAATAAGACACAATTGGGAAAAATTATTTGCAAAATATATACCTAATAAAGAATTATTATTCAAAATATATAAAGAACTCTTAAAACTCAACAATAAGAAAATTCAATTTTAAAATGAGCAAAATATCTGAACAGATTCCTAATCAAAGAACATTTGCCGATGCAAAATTTATGTGACAAGATGCTCAACTTCATATGTCATTAGATAATTCTAAATTAAAACAAGAATGAGATATAGCTACCTACCTATTAAATTGGCTAAAACCCAAAACACTGACAAACACCAAATGCCAGTGAGGATGTGGAGTAACAGGAACTCCCAGTCATTCCTGGTGGCAAAAAGCCACAGCCATTTTGAAAGATAGTTTGGCCGTTTCTTACAAATCTACACATTCTCTTACCATAAAATCATAATTATGTTCCTTGATATTTACTCAAGTTAAAAACTTACATATATACAAAAATCTGTGCAAGAATATTTACAGCATTTATTATAATTTCCCAAATCTGAAATTAACCAAGATGTCCTTCAATAGGTGAATACATAAAAACTGTACTACATCCATACAATGGAATATTATTGAGCAACAAAAAGAAATGAGTTATCAAGCCACAAAAGACATGGAGGAAACTTAAATGCATATTGCTACGTGAAAGAAACCAATCTGAAAAGGCTGCATTCTCTAATAATTTCAACTATCTGACATTTTGGAAAAGGTAAAACTATAGAGACAGTAAATAGATCCGTGGTTCCCTGGGGCTTGGGGGAAGGGAGTGAGAGATCAATGGTGGAGTGCAGGAGATTTTTAGGTCAGTGAAAGTGTTCTGTATGATACGGTACGGGTGAATATGTGCCATTATATATCTTCCAAAACCCATAGATTCTACAACACAAAGAGTAAACTCTAATGAAATCTATGCACATTAGTTAATAATAACATCAAAACTGGCTAATTAATTATAACACATCCACAACACTAATGCAAGATGCTAATAATAAGGGAAAGGGGGTGCATGTAACTTATTAAGGGAGTGCTCTCAAGGAAAAAAGTGAGGGGAGCAGGAGGAGGTGGGGGCAGAATAAAGCCAGGATGTCGTCTCAGCTAGAGCATAGCTTATGTCTGATCCCATAGAAACGCAGACATCTGCTATGGATGGAAAGGGTATGTCTGCAAAATTCATATTTTGAAACCTAATCCTCAATGTGATGGTATTTAAAGGTGGGGCCTTTGAGAGGTAATTAGTCCATGAATGGGATTAAATCCCTTATAAAAGAGATTCCAGAGAGCCTCTTTGTTCCCTCCACCATGTAAGAACACAGTGAGAAGATAGCCTTCTGGGAACCAGGAAGCCAGCCTTCACCAGTCACCAAATCCTCTAGCACCTTGACCTTCCACCTCCCAGCCTCTAGAAAAATAGAAAATAAACTTCAGTTGTTTATATGTAATCTAGTCCATGCTATGTTTATTATAACAGCCCAAATGGACTAAGATGTTATCCAAGTACCTCTCACTTACTTTCTATAGCAACAACTTTCTATCTAACACCTGTGTACAAAGGAAGTCAACTGTGGCAGGAGTCCACAAGCAAATAGCAGATACCTATCATGGGGTCAATTTTGTGAATGTTGATGCATGGAAATTGACAACTGAAACTGGTGCAGCCGTTTCTCATGTTCAAAACATAACTTTGTACCTACACTTGATTCTTATATCCCCTTGAGGCAACCTGGGAAGTCCATTATTTGGAGAGCATAGCCATTAGCATTGGGCCAAGAGCAGCTTTCCTGAATATGAGGCAGGCAATACTCACAAGGAGAAAGGATGGGTGCAGCAGGCCAGACACTGGTATCTGGGAAGGACATGAACACTGCCCGCTTCCCTGTGCTAGGCAGCATCAGGTAAGGAGGTTATAGAGATGAGCAAGATCCAACATCTGCCCTCAGGGAACCCAGCAAGAGTATATGCGTATATATATTTCACAATGAATAGTCATTATTTGTAGCTTTCTGTGAAATTTTACTGGACATTGTTTTAAAGGCAATAACTCTTATTTCTTAGTTTATTTCCAGTGCTGCATGTAAGGCCTCTATGTGAAAGGGAAAAATGAAAAGAAAGAAAGAGACATGAAGAGTGGCTAAATAGGCCAGGCGCGGTGGCTCACGCCTGTAATCCCAGCACTTTTGGAGGCCGATGTGGGTGTATCAACTGAAGTCAGGAGTTCGAGGCCAGCCTGGCCAACATGGTGAAACCCTTTCTCTACTAAAAATATAAAAATTAGCTGGGCGTGGTGGTGGGCACCTGTAGTCCCAGCTACTCAGGAGGCTGAGGCAGGAGAATCGCTTGGACCTAGGGAGGCAGAGATTGCAGTGAGCCAAGATCGCACCACTGCACTCCAACCTGGGCGACAGAGCAAGACTCTGTCTCAAAAAAAAAAAAAAAAAAAAAAAAAAAAAGAGTGGCTAAACAAAAGAGAGAAAAAAGCAAAAAGCTTGGGAAAAATAAAGGGAGAGAAAAATGAAAGGCAAGATAAAGGAAAAGGAAAAGAAGAAAACAAAAAAAAATGTAAGAAAGAACAGAAAAAAAAGAAAAGAATGAACACATAGTAAAAGAAGGGAAGAAGGAAAGGGCAGTAAAGGAGGAAGAAAAGATAGGAAAAGAAAGGAAGGTGAAGGCTGAGTGTAAGAAGGGGAAAGAAGGGGAGGAAGGTGTGAGGAGGCAAAACTTACCAGCAGGTAAATGCTCACCTGAGTTTTAAATAAAACTGTTTCTGTATTTTCATCAATGAAGTACTTTTGCCATTCAAATTATTCTCTGGGAAGTAATAAGATATTTTTGAAAGAAAAGGTATGACAGAGAGACAGAGAAGAGTACCCTTTAACCTCCTACATCTGGCTGGGCGCGGTGGCTCACGCCTGTAATCCCAGCACTTTGGGAGGCTGAAGCGGGCGGATCACGAGGTCAGGAGATCAAAACCATCCTGGCTAACACGGTGAAACCCCGTCTCTACTAAAAATACAAAAAAAAAAAAAAAAAAAAAAAATTAGCCGGGCGTGGTGGCGGCGCCTGTAGTCCCAGCTACTCGGGAGGCTGAGGCAGGCGAACGGCGTGAACCCAGGAGGCGGAGCTTGCAGTGAGCCGAGATCGGGCCACTGCATTCCAGCCTGGGCGACAGAGCAAGACTCCATCTCAAAAACAAAAACAAAAAACTCCTACATCCATGCAAGTTACCCGGAAGTGACTTGACTTATCTTTTTCTTAATATGACTCTGGAATTCATAAGCTAATAGGTAAATGATACATCCCATAATTTTCTCTAACCACATTCAATTAACATCCATATCAACTTTAACATATCACTGACAGGTGGCAATAATTCCCCAAATCATGATACATGGGTTTTCTTAATTTGTGAAGCTATCGTACAAAGAATTGAATTTGTTACCTATTTTTACAGTGCCTCTTTTCTAAAACTTTGTGCATTATATAAATAAATATAAAGAAAGCTATATAAAGAAAGCTATATATATATATATAAAGAAAGCTAATATTTAGACAGCGATAAATGCTTTTGAATAGCAAATGGTATTTTATATCTTTTTATGCATCCCATCATTTTCTTATTTCCAACATCTATATATAGTTTTCAAGTTTCTTTAAGCAATGCACACCTGAATACGGCCACCACCACCCCACACATTTTCTTCCTGTGGTCACAGCTTCAGAATAGTTGCCACTTATATGCAAAAGAAGGGCATCAGCTGCTTTGAATAAGAGCCAATTGTTCATAAATAGAAAGCAGAACACAGTGATAAAATAAGTCAAATAAAAATGGAGCACAGAATTGGACAACAGAAAAAAAAGCAGGTGTTTTCCACCTGTGAAATCTAACTTGTTAATTGAAGTTTGAGTCTGTATGTATTTCAGTAATTACAGTACCTTTAGATATTTTCTGATATATTCCTACTCTAAACTTTGAAATGTTCTTTACTATTTTTTTGCCTGGTCACTGAAAGGTAATCAATATGAGACTCTGATTTTGCATTTCAGCATGAATTTACTTGGAAAAACAAAGCAAATACTTTTGAGTGAAACTCTGTGCTTACCTTTTATTCCCTAAGGCATTTTCTAATGCATTCAAAAGCAGAACAGTCAACAAGAGTTTATATTCTAAATCTTTAACTTTGAAGGGGATGCTTGTGGCAGTAAGCTCTTTTGAAATATTTATGTTTGAGGAAGTTGAACTGTTGTCTAGATCAATTTAATTAGAAAAATAAAATTGCAATGGCCTTTCAGACACAAAGATGAATAAAACTCAGAGTCAGCCTGCTTTATTATGACTTAAGTTCACATGCAATAATGAAAAGATTAAGTTCATCAATAGACCCAAAAAAGATAACATTTTTTTCTGTGTTAATTCTAAAGAAATCTGTAGGAAGTGAAGAATAGGACAGCAGCTTCTAATAGAAAGAAATAATTCAGCTCACTCACAGTAACCTAAGAGCTATCTGAGAGTGTTATTGCTTTTTTCATCCTGCAGTCTAAGTTAAAAGAGATTGGTTGACTCTAAAAATAAACATAATATATAACAGTCTCTCAGGCATTGTCAAAAGCAATATGGAGAGACTGATGAGGGTTCTTCTACAGAGTTTAAATGAACCTTCTACTTTCTTGATTCAGTCAAAATATAATTTTTTTAAAGCAATTGGTCACATCTTTCTACTGGGATGATATTCTTTTGACTGATTCTACCAAAAGAGAAAACAATAAGAAGTGACAACAATTCCAAGCCAGAATCCAGTGATGAGCTAAGTTTGTAGACAGCTTAAAATATGAGATGGAAAAGTAAAGCAGAGTATGAACTTAGTTCTATAATTTAAAATACTTATTACTTTGAGGATCAAAGAGAAATAGTGAATAAATAAAAATGCTCTTACTTTTACATTCAAGTTCGTTCCTATCTTATACTTCAATTTTTGTCTTGTGAATTATACACTACGAGAAATGCCCTGAGCCTTTATTAAAATGCCAGTTCTGCTCACAAACAGAAAAGTGAAATTAAAGCTCTACGATATAAATATTCCCTTGAATTGCATTGTTTTAGGATAATATCCTCTAATTATTGGGGTGGCTAAGAACCTTAAAACTAACCCAGTAATAGCTCCTGGAATGGTTTGTAGCATTCAGTAGTGTAAACTAAATCTAAAATCCTAGGTTCCCCAGCAGACTGAACAGACCCCCTCTTGGCCAAGGGAACCCCAGAAAAACCTTAAAAACTGAGTGCCTAGCCATAATAAGAAAGGAAGTCAGACACGCCTCATTATACCCTCTTTGTTTTGGAGTTTAGACACAACTAACCAGCATTTACATTAAAACAGAGATCATAAGACTAACATAGCCTACTCTTTGTCGTAATGAAATGCTAAATTATAAACAGGGTTTAAGGCCATGCTGGCAAGGGTAAAGTCACACACCTGCACTTAACAAAATGAACTAGGTTCTAGTTACCACAAGGTTTTCCTTTTTATTTAGCAGTTAAACAAGCACTGGCTTCGAGATAAGCAATATTAAAACAATTTACAGTCCCACCAGATGCTGATTAACTGCGCTCCAGCCCCTGTTCCACAAGCCATAACAACAGCTTTGATTGAATAAGAGACTGATTTCAGTAACTTTCTCCTCCTAAGATCGCTGACCATGGACTGGTTCTGGCCAGTTTACAGAGGCTGTGCACTGGAGTAACTTCACGTCCCTACTTTACGTTTTGATGCATAGGGCCCAACTGTAATACATTTAAATGTTAAATTTTTAATCCCAGCACCTTGGGAGGCTGGGGTGGGCAGATCACTTGAGGTCAGGAATTCGAGAACAGCCTGGCCAGCATGGTGAAACCTGGTCTCTACTAAAAATACAAATACAAAAATTAGCCCAGTGTGTTGGCACGCGCCTGTAATTCCAGCTACTCAGGAAGCTGAAGCAAGAGAATCGCTTGAAACCGGGAAGCAGAGGTTGCAGTGAGCCGAGATTGCACCATTGCACTCCAGCCTGGGCATGGCAGTGAGACTCTGTCTCAAACAAAAACCAAAAAATGTTAACTCTCCACTAGTTCATATGCAACATGCACATTTATTCAATGAGCATGTGTCAGAACTGCCTTCATTAATATTCATAGCTTGTCTCATAACCAGTTAAATTTGTATGGTTAGCCAACCTGTTTAGCATAAAGCTCCTGCCCCAACCCCTCCTCCTTTGAAGTGCCTTTTCTGGTCTTTGCCAGAGGCTATGCTTCCCAGCCTGCGGCATGGCCACCTTCTTCCTTTACGAGAAAAAATAAAAGTATCTTTTCCAAATTCCTATATCTTGTAAATTTTCAGTTAATAATAGGTATACAGATAAATAAATTATTATTTTTAATTTCTCAATGTAAATTTACCTATTTAGACTTACATTAATAGGTAAAATCATATTTTATCATATTTATAATTTTCTTAATAATTGCTTACAAGATTTTCTTTATTTCTATTTTCAAATGTAGATGACTTAAAGTAGTTGAAAGTGAAATTGAAATGCTGTGCAAACAAAACATTTATACTGTCCATGAAAAAAGAAGAAATCATTCCCTAGTATCTCTCCTCTCAAGCTCCATGAAAATTACACAAAGCACTTCCTATTATTATTAAGGGAGTGATCTCAAGGAAGATAGTAAGAGGCATAAACTTAATACATAAATGGCGAGTGTTCTGACTGCTGCAACAACCTGAGTTTCCCATCTGTTCCCTCTCCTCAGGCCTCTCTATTGTCTGAGACACAATATTGAAATTAGGCCAGTTTAGAACCCTGCAACGGCTTCTAAGTGTTGAAGCGAAAGGAAGAATAGCATGTCTTTCAGCTTAAATCAAAAGCTAAAAATGATTAAGCTTAATAAAGAAGGCATGCTGAAAGCCACCACAGGCCCCAAGCTGGGTCTCTTGTGCCAGTTGGCCAAGTTGTGAATGCAAAGGAAAAGTTCTTCACAATGTACACTATTCAGGCGATGGTCACAGTAAAAGCCCAGACTCACCACTAGGCAATATGTCCATGTAAAAAAACTACACTTGTACCTCTTACATTTATTCAAATTAAAAAAAAAAGGGAAAAGTTCTTGACACAAATTAAAAAGTGCTACTCCAGTAAAAACACAAATGGTAAAAAAGCAAAGAAGTCTTATTGCTGATACGGAGAAAGTTTTAGTGCTTTGGATAGATCAAACAAAGTCACATTTCCTTAAGTGAAAGCCTAATTCAGAGCAAGGCCTTAGCTCTCTACAATGCTATGAAGGACAAGAGATGTGAGGAAATTGTGGAAGAAAAGTTGGAAGCCAGGAGAGGTTGGTTCATGAGGTTTAAAGAAAGAAACCATCCATATAAAACAAAAATGCAAGGTGAAGCAGTAGACGCTGATGTAGAAGCTGCAGCAAGTTATCTAGAAGATCTAGCTAAGGCCATGGATGAAGGTACCTGCACCAAACAACAGATTTTCAAGATAGACAAAACAGCCTTATATAGGGAAAAAATATCATAGATAGAGAGGAAAAGTCAAGGCCTGGTTTTCAAATTTCAAAGCACAAGCTGACTCTCTTGTTACAGGTGAATGCAGCTGGTGACTTTAAGTTGAAGCCAATGCTAAACCTTACCATTCTGAAATTCCTAGAGCCCTTAAGAATTACACTGAATCTACTCTGACTGTGCCCTATAAATGGAACAACAAAGCCTGGATGACAGAACATCTGTCTATAGCATAATTTACTGAATATTTAAGCCTACTGATGAGAAAATAAAATTCTCAGAAAATAAAATTCCTTTCAAAATATTACTGCTCACTGACAATGCACCTGGTCACCCAAGAGCTCTGATTAAGATGTACAAGGAGATTAATGTTGTTTTCATGGCTGCCAGTGCAACATCTATTCTGCAGTCCCTGGATCAAGAAGTAATTTTGATTTTCAAGTTTTATTATTTAAGAAACACATTTCAAAAGGCTGTTGCTGCCATAGACAGTGACTCCTCTGATGGATCTGAGTCATGTAAATTGAAGAGCTTCCAGAAAGGATTCACCATTCTAGATGTCATCAAGAACGTTTGTGATTCATGGGAGAAGGTAATGTCATATTAATAGGAGTTTGGAGGAAATTGATTCCAATGCTCATGGATGACTTTGAGGAGTTCAAGACTTCAGGGGAGGAGGTGACTACATTTGTCATGGAAATAGTAAGAGAACTAGAATTAGAAGTGGAGCTTGAAGATGTGACTGAGTTGGTGCAATCTCATGATAAAACGTGAAGGGATGAGGAGTTGAGCAGAGAGAGAGTGTTTCTTTTGATATAGAATCTACTCCTGGTAAGGGTGTGAACATTGTTGAAATATCAGCAAAGGATTTAGATTATTACATAAACTTAGTTGATAAAGCAGTGTCGGGGTTTGAGAAAATTAACCCCTCTTTGAAAGAAGTTTTACTGTGGATAAAAGGATATCAAACAGAATCACATGCTACAAGAAAAATCTTGTGTGAAAGGACAAGTCCATCAAAATCAATGCAGCAAATTTCATTGTTGTCTTATTCTAAGAAATTGACACAGCCACCCCAATCATCATCAGCAACTACTACCCTGATAGCATCCATCAACATCGAGGCAAGTCTCTCTACCAGCAAAATGATTAAAACCACTGGAGGCTCGTAAACATTTTTGATTAAGGTGTGTATATTGTGTTTTCAGGTATAATGCTATTGTATACTTAATAGACTATAGTATAGTGTAAACACAACTTTCATATGCACTGGGAAACTCAAAAATATGTGTGAGTCACTTTATTGTGATATTCACTTTATTGTAGTCTTCTGGAACCAAATCTGCAATATCTCCAAGATACACTTGTACAGTCGATTCTCATTACTCACAGAAGGTGTGTTCTACAAAGTTTCTGTAAATGCTGAATTAGCAATACTGACCATTGCTCGTAGGGGAAATATATATCTATATATACACACAGAGAGAAAGAGAGAGATATAGATATCTATATAATTATATGTATATGTATAATTACATATAACTATATTCATATATAATTACATATAATTATATGTATATATAATTACATATAATTATATGTATATATAATTACATATAATTATGTGTATATAATATAAATACATATAATTATATATTATATATAAATATATTTATGTATCTATAGATAGATACATCTACAGGGACATATATCATTATATAGCTTTCTATATATCTATAGATATATCTAGAGAGACATGTGAATATACATATCCATATATATCTATAAATATATAAAAATCTATATATGTCCATATATAGAGATGAATAGATATAAAGATATGAATAGACATAGATAGATAATAGATTACAATCTTAAATCCTAAATACATCTAGTATTGGTAGATTTTATTTTCTTTATGTCACAAGAGTAAATAAATTTACACAAGAGTAAATAAATGAAGTGTTAAGTGACTTAACTGAGGCCACTCCACCAACAGATGCTACAATTGAAATTCAAAATGCAGCCAACGAGCCCCAGCGCAGGAGCTTCTTGCCCTACACTGCACTGCCCCCTACTGTCTACCTCCTCTGGCCATGGTTGTAGGTAAGGCCATGGTATGGCCATGATTGTATGTAAGGAGAAGATAAGAAATAGTTCCCTTGTTCTGCCTTACATGGGGAACAGGTGCATCAGGTGATTCAAATTTTCTTCTACTTTGCACTGTCTGCAAGTCACTATGAAAGCCCTCCAGATACTGGTTTTAGGATTTTAAATAAATTACAGTGAGTAGGTGAATTTGCTAATTTGGAATTTGCAAATAAAGTGGATCAACTACAATATCAGCAGTCAAACTATACTGACATGATGGGAAATATCAGAAAATTACTCACAAATGAATAAAAATTTTTAAAATTTTAGAACCTCATATCTGTCATAAAATAAATGGGAAAGGCAATATGACAGTTATCTATCCCTGATTTGAAAAGTGAAATAAAGCAAACTCAAAGTATACTGAAACCTAATTTACAGTGAATGACCATGTAAACTCCCGTAGAAATATTATATAAGAAAATTTTATCTACCATTGAGTAGCTGTGATGATGAGTATGTTCACAATTTATTGGACATGAATTACATAATGGAACACTCTGCCTGTATTAATTATTAAGAACTGTTGTCACAAAGAAACCTCAAATGCTAGTGGTTTAATGAATACAAGTGATTTTTTTTCCTTATTAACATAACATTTCAAAGCAGCTGTCTTGCTTGATAGGTGGAATTCCTTCTTGCAGTAATTTGGAGACTTGGTCTCCTTCCATCTTGTGTCTTTACCATCCCTTAGGGTCTTCTGGTTCTTTGTATCCCACTGGCTGAAGGGAAAAATCGGTTGTAGAGAGCACATCTACTTTCTAAATTGTTAGCTGAGAATGAGATATATGACTTATGCTCACGTTCCATTAGTAAGAACAAGACTTAGGACCACATTTACATCCAAGGGAGTTAGACTATGAAATCCTAGTCAGAGCAGCCACTTCCTATATTCCCACAGTAATATAGAAAAGGAAGCATATATCTGGAATTTTACATTGATATTAACACTGACATGACAATATTACCTAATATAAACCAATAGATAAATAGTCTCCACATCATTTCAAGTTTTTCTTTCGGTCCAGAACTCATATTCCTACGGTCAACTTTGATCTAGAAGTTATTAGTTTGTCTCTGTCAGATTTTCGCTCAGAACAAAGAGACCAGCAAGAATTTTGTCCTCCAGATGCAATTATCCAATCAAACGGGATAATTTTGAATGGAAAAATCAAAACAGTTAAGAAGTATCAGCTTTGAACAGAATTGCAAGGTTATTAAAATACCACCATTTCATTTACTAACTATTGCTTGGCAAATGAATTCATTAGTACACAAACCAGTTAGTGACTGAATAAGTGTGTCAGTAAGTAATTTCAACATTTGGATATTGAAGGTCATTAAGTATTATTCATGGAATGGAGAACAGAAGATTAATGTCTACAGGTTGGAGACTAGCAAACCTGCAGATAGGCTGGCTACACTATTTCATGCTGATTGTTTGAAATGGAGCAAGAAAGCAATAGACCGCAGAGATCTCAATCAGCTGGAAACAAGCATCTCCAAAGAAAGTCCCTGCCACAGCAACCATCTCTGACTAAATTGCTTGTTATCTTTACAAAGCGCCCCTCCTGGTGCCATTAATTTATATGCTTCCTATTACCCCAAGTGCAATTCTCAATGTTATATTTGTTCTTGGGGAATCATTTTTCCTAAACAGAAATCAAGTGCTTTCTCCAGTTTTACATTGTCACAGCTCCGTATCCAGCACCCACAAGTGAAAAGTGCTCTGGTCATATCTGCTGTTCCACCTTCGTAATCTGTCACATCAACGAACTGTCTGATAATATTAGCCTACTTCATCTAAAGCTCTTCCAAACCTCACATCTGAAAATAAAACTTAAAACAAAAATGCACAATTTAAAAAGGAAGATGAGATTGAATGTCACCAAGAGTTTTACAATCTACACAGAAATTTGGCAGACATCAAAACTACCAGGGTTTCCCAAGAAAATAATGATGGTGCCTCTATCAGTGAACACGAAAGTGACAATGATGGGCATCTCACTTATCTAGAAAAAAAATACACCTTAGATATAAATGGTAAAATGGTAGCAAAGTTAACCATAGGATGAAGATGAAGGTAAAGGAAACTTTTTAAAAAACATAATAATGACCCTGAGTTTCATCCTCCAAATCAAGGACTGGCCCCAGCCACTGAAATCAGCAAACAAACTAGAAGAAAAAAGATTGATATTCCACCTTTAGAATTTAATAGGTAACATTAAGAAATATTAATGAACAAAAAGTTACCTTATCTTTTTAACACCTGCAATTGCATTGTCTCATTTCACAACACAATCATAATATGCATGCTAGTAGAAGAGCATTTACACAAACACAAAACTTGTTTCTTGTTACAGATATTTTGAAGTTAGTAATCTTCAATATCAAATTCTAGCAGAAATTTATAGAAAGGAGTTTTGTTCTCCAGTTCTTACAGATATACAATTTTTGCTTCAATATTGACTACTCTTACTTTAATCATTAATAGAAAATCAGCACTAATTACACTATTGATTGTCAAATAATAAAGAAAAATTCTGTTAACCACCAGACATCTTTATTTATAGCATGTTCTGTGAATGTCTAAAACTATGTAGATTTTTGTTTGCTTGGAATTTTTTTTGGCAGTAAATTCATCCAACATCTTCATCCAAAATCTTCATTCTCTACCAGCACCAAATATATTACACATACATATGCATGCACACACAATATGGGGAGAGCCTATCCTCACTGCCTGGCTTAATACCAAAGTAAATGCAAAGTTTGCCCATTTGCGGTTAAAAGCACAAAATTCTAAGAGTTTGGTGAAATATAAAAGAAGTAGAAAAATAGGTAGAATCTAAATAAACAAGAATAAATTGTTTTTTTTTTGGCATTTGTCTCCAGTTACTGTATTGTTCCATTGTTAAGGTTAGCAGCAAGAATGTCAGTAATCTTTTATGGATGAACAATCTTGGCATTGTCACCATATCAATAACAGAGTATTGCAAGAAGGTATGTCCCTCCTTGCTCTGTAGATCTTCTCGTTTGTGCATTATTTTTATGTGAATTGTCTTCATAGTCATTTTTTTATGTTTGTGGTGTATTTTACTTTAGGGACATAAATGATCTTTTAAACAGAATATTCATTGTAGTATCATAAAGTGTGTCCTGCTACGATGCCTCTATATGAGCTACCAAGAAATTTAGCATAAAAAACCATTAAAACTAAACTAATAGAAGATTTCTTTATTATTCCATCATTCTAGCAGTCACCTCACCAGCCCTCCTCTGTTTTAATAAAACTAATTTCATAGAAGAAAGAAAAATGGTCTAAAAAGTGCACGATCTAACTAGGATGTTGTTACCAATCAATGATGACAGTCTTGTAAAATTGGAAATATAATTGCAGATATATTGAATGGATGGTTGAACAGGCAACAACTAAGGCCTTTTAAGATGTTTGTGGCATGAATTTGAGTGGAAAATAAATTGAAAGTGAAAATAAGTGGTACCACCAAGTGATACCGTTTGGATGTTTGTGCCCTCCAAATCTCATGTTGAGATGTGATTTCCAGTGTTGGAGGTGGGGCCTGGTGGGAGGTGATTGAATCATGGGGGTGGATTCCTTATAAATGGCTTAGTACCATTCCCTTGGTGCTAAGTGAGTTCTCACTCAGTTAGTTCACTGGGGATCTGGTTGTTTAAGAGTCTAGGACCTCCTCCTTCTCTCTCTCTTGCCTCCTTTCTCACCATATGACATGTCGATTCTCTATTCTCTTCCACCATGACTGTAAGCTTCCTGAGGCCTCACCAGAAGTGGATGACAGCACCATGCTCCCTGTACAGCCTGCAGAACCATGAGCCAATTAAACCTCTTTTCTTTATAAATTACCCAGCCTCAGGTATTTCTTCATAGTGACACAAGAACAGGCAAAAACACCAAGCATGGAGACAGGATTATTTCCAAAACTTTATTTTTTGTGTCTACTTTGAGGGCCAGAGAAATATTAAAAGTGTATAATTGCATCTTTGGGGATTGCATTTCAGAAAATAAAAAGTAAGCAAGGATAAGAAATGTAACAACTAAAAATTTTAAGGACAGGCCAACCCTTAATATTTGTGGGGCTTCATTCAAAAGTGTAAATAAAGATCAACACACTATAATTGTAAATATTTAGAATGTATACTATATAAATAACAAATGTAAGTAAGATATATTCTATTCTGTTCTCTTGACATGTGGAACTTCATAATGACAAAACCGAAAGGTACGTGAAAAGATTATTTGTCTTTCCAAAGACAAAATTCAATTACTATTGCACATATCTAGGTATTCTGCTGATAGGCCAGTGATGTTTGCATAAATAATAAAAAAGAAACATAATTCATGAAATATACATACTTTCATGAAATTATTTTCATGCCTTATTTTAGAAGAATCACTTATAATCTTGTAATAATCCAGATTTTAAAATAATTTTATTTATATTGACAGTAATGCCAAATCTCAGTTTTGGGAGGACATTGCTATACTTAGTTTTATTTTTTCAATTAAAAAAACTCTGCTGTGATGTAGCACCTGGTATTAGTAATAAAATTTGCATAGAAGGTTTTTTTCTGGAATTAACCATTTTACATACTATTTTAACCATTTTGATTTAAATAATTAGTTTTTCATCAAATACTACTATTTTTACAAAATTACTACTGCTTATATCATGATTTCTATTTCCTCCTAAAGGAATAGCTAGTTTCATTAGTATTTCTTAAGTTCTTCTTCTATCAAATTATTCAATGTTGGGATTTTATGAAGAAAAATAAAATGGTAGTATGTTTTAAACTAATACATAAAATTGAGAAGGTTATTTTTGTTGTTTATGTTTTTCAAGTAATTCACTTAAACTAAAATATTCACTTAAGCTATATTTGTTTTTGTAAAACAATGAAAGTGTTTATTAACTCTAACATATTGTTTTCTATTACTGGTATTTCACCAATACATAGATTAAATATTAGTTGTTCAATATAATATTTGCAGTGATCAAATTGCACTGAATGTTTACTTTGGTAATTTCATTTATGTTTTCTTTTTTCACTTTATCCACCATTAATTAATATCTCCTTTCAATTCTTCATCCTGATAATCATATGCTACATTATTTTTAACCTTTATTACATGTTCAGCCTATTGAAATAAGTATTTGAAGTGGAAAGATAACACAGTAGGAAAGTCAGCCTGAAAAGAAACTGCTTTCAAAGATCCAGATCCAGCAGGGAAAGAATCTTCTAAAAGGTTTTGTTCACAGCCACCCTTGGTACAAGTACCGGAGGTTCTAGAAACAGAATCCACAAAATTTCAAGCATTTTCCACTGAAACATGATGTGGGCTGATGTGATCATAAGCAGAAAGGGTGCATGCATCTTCTTTTGAGAGATAACAATAGCTACTTCTCAGTAATTAAGCTTTTAGAATTTTCTACATAAGCATGTCCAATTTTCCAATGGGGGAGAATGGGGCCAGGAGGAAAAGTTAAGAAAAAAGAGGAATTAAGATGGTTCAGAAAAATCTAGATTTTAGGACATATGTTGCAACATGATAAGAAACAAGAGAAGGATGCTTGGCTTGGAGCCCTGGAAAGTTATATATTGTTACACGAAACTCTATTGCATTTGTGCACTATGAGAGAAAATAATATGATGAGTTAATTAATTTGTCTTTTCTCTCCCTGGAGTACTGTTCTACTCCAAAGGCTACCCACACTCCTAAGCAGTATCTATTGCAAAAGTTAGCAGCACAAATCACAAAATGTGCCCATTCAGATCATTGGCTTTTGTAAGAATGATGGGGGCCATCACGGGTGAGGAAGCTTTTCTTAAGGCCTGTGTGGAGAGAGGCACAGAGCTGATGTTTAGTGCTAAGGGTCACAGCATGCCAGCTCCAAATGTGGGATTCCGAGTAACACAAGTGCCCACGGTTTCTTTAATATGTTTATTTCCGCATGTATGACTGTGAGATGCTGAGACCTCAACTATGGGCCCAGGCCTAAGGCCAGCACTATTCTAAGACACACTGCTTTTCAAACCTGTACTGTTAACAGTCAAGATAAAGTCACTCAATCTTCATGAAAAGTAAAATTAAATATTGGCTATAGTAGGGCCAAGATTATAACAGTTATTTCCCTGTTAATAAAATTTGTTTGTAACTCTTTCAGAATATATTTTAAGCCAGCGAGCCGGTGACTTTGTGTGCCATGTGGTTAAACAAGAGAGTAAAAGCTTACTGCCATGAAAGTAAATATCCCTGGCCGGCACTACTTCAGTAATTTACCTAGCCTAAGGTCATTCTAAAGCAGTTTAAATGCATCATTATCCACAATCCTCTAAAACACTAAAATACTTAAATAAATTACAATGGAGTAGGATGAGCCTGAAGAGAGGAAAAAACTGTCAAGATATGATACATTTAAATGATGCAAAAAAGTCTCTTAGACTCATGAATAAATTATTGCTAAAATGAAAGGCATGATAAAGAGCCTATAGGACATGATACGAGCAGTTTCATTTGGTCCAGAAAGATTAAGAAAAGGAATCTTGGGTTTCACCTTTCTGCTTGTGAATTTTCATCCACTTAGTTTTAACCTTGGTAACTCAAAATTTTCATGTTCATTTTTATTACATCTTTTTTTTTTTTGCTGCAATCCTGTTATTCCCTTGATTGCTGTCCCTTCTGTGTCTAGCAATCTGTAGACTTAAATCATACCTATGCATGTGTGAACGTATGTGCAAGTATGTGTGTGTACAGGTATGTATGTGTGTGTGTTGGGAATGGGGGCCATAAGTAGAGTTACCAAGATCAAACCCAACACACATGTAGAAACTAAGCAACAGACAGTAGAAAAGAGACATAAATTTATGAAGTGTAACTTTATAACTTAGGTCACCAAAGACTTTATTTTCCCTTAAATCAACAGATATCCCAAAAAGTGTCCTATAAAATTTTGCCTTCCAGATAAATTCCTGATCAACCAGTCAGGCAGATTTTTTTTAAATCAGAAATTGTAGCATCATATGCAAATTTATGAACAAATTTAAAAATTCACTGAAGTATGAATTCTGAGAAAGCAGATTTTAACAGCACTAATAGCATGCAGTATTGGAAGATGCTCCTCTCTTTACTTACTTCCTGTGATAATAATGGCATGAATGTCAGCCTGTGCCTTTTTTACCTGTGCCTCCTCACATCCCTATATCTGCAAGCCTTTCTATAACCTATGTTATCTGAACTACTACATAAAAAAAAAAATCTCTGGACTTTTATTTATGTTTAAGCTTCATCATTTCCATGGTACATCATGCCTTGGAATGCTCTACATCAGAATACTCAGTATAAAACCGGGAAACTGGTGCTTGAGACACAGGAAGGTTTTAGACGGCAGAGAGCAGTCCCTAGAGTGCTTATGCAGCTCCAGCCCTGCACAGCAGCTTAAAAGGCAACCGTCCTTGTGTTTCCTTTACTCGCCTGACCTAGCATATTCCTTACTGTTGAACACCAAACTCTGTAGCTCCCTATAAAGATCTGGGAATCAAAGATATGTGTCCATTCTCTATGCATTTTATGTTTGTCTTTTATATTGCCAAGCTTCAAACCTGGACCAGCACTTTGTTGCTTAGCCCAACTCATGTATATATCCAGTCTCAACGGAGATATGAAAAAGCACCTCGGACTAATGTTAGAAACTCATATTTTGAAATGAAATTCACAAGTGTATATGTTGTGTGATTTTGCTGCAAAGAAGTACAGTGAATATATTTAACTCAGTGCTAAATATCTATGAGGCTCTTGGCACTGGATGGAGAGAGAGTGAAGGGAGAAGAGAGAGAAAAAGGGAGAACAATAAAATATTTATTGTCTTTGTAGCTACCATAAAAGTAAAAAGCAAAGACAGAGGCTGGGCGTGGTGGCTCACAACTGTAATCTCAGCATTTTGGTAGGCCAAGGTGGGTGGATCACCTGAGGTCCGGAGTTCAAGACCAGCCTGGCCAACATGGTGAAACCCCCTCTCTACCAAAAATTCAAACTTAGATGGGCATGGTGGTGTGCTCCTGTAACCCCAGCTTCTTGGGAGGCTGAGTCAGGAGAATTGCTTGAACCTGGGAGACAGAGGTTGCAGTGAGCCGAGATGGCGCCATTGCACGTCAGCCTGGGCAAAAAGAGCGAAACTCTGTCTCAAAAAATAAATAAATAAATAAATAAATAAATAGACAGAAACAATGAATTTTAAACTTTTAAACCCACAATAAAGCAAATAAAGAAACAAACAAAAGAGTGAAGGGAGAAACTACATGCACAAATGTTAATTAAGAAAGTTACACCAAATAAACACAGCATTTATCTTGGAGCTTCCTACTAGCCAAGAATATATGACTCTCATTTCATAACCTAGTAATGTAACATGCCAACCTATCAAAGATAAAAGAGGGTTTGCTGGAGTTTTGAGAGTAATGTCTCAGGGATGATTTTGTAGGAGAGTTGGGTAAATATTTCTAGATGGGAAATGTGCTGCATAATTAGGGCTATCCTCATGGGCGTTTTCCCCCTTACATTATTTTAAAACAATCTTAAACTTAAACTTCAGAAAAGTGGTTTTATATATTATATATATAAATATATATAACATATAAATATACATAATATATTTATATATTAATTATTAATTTATTATTAATATATTATATAAATATATACATTATATATCAATTACTATTAATATATAATAATTAATATCTATAATATTAATATATAATATGTATTTATATATTTTTTTTTCTGAACCATTTAGTATGAAGTTGCTAACAAGATGTCCCATTGCTTTGAATAGTGACCTTCTCCTTCATAACCACAATACAGCAATCCAGGTCAGGATATTAACACCAATTCATTACTGTCACCTAAGCCTCAGATCCCACCACGTTTCACCAATCGCCCCCCAAAATATCCTTTATACAAATGTGATCTAGTTCACTCTCATGCCTTGCATTTAGTTGTAATATTTCTTTAGCTTCTTTCAGTATGGATTACGTCCTAGATTTTTCCTGATTTTCCTGATGCCAACCCTTCTGAAGATTACAGGCCAGTTATTTCATGCATAAATTTGGGCATGTCTGCTGTTTCACTATTTGATTCAGGTTGTATATCTTTGGAGGGAATACCACAGAACTTATAACACATTTTCATTGCATCCAATCAGCTGGCTCACAATTTCAATTTGCCCTATTACTAGTGATCATTTTGTCATTTACGCATTGTGGTGTCTGCCAATATTCCTCCTTGTAAAATTGCTCTTTTCCCCTTTGTAATTATTAAGTATTTATATGCACACATTTACATATATATTCATTTTGTGTTTATATTTGTATTACAAAACATGAATGCACATTGATTTCTCCAATTCCATTCTAATACCTTAGGGTTCATTCTAGGTTTTTCCCTTGACATATTAACTCTCTTCTATAATGAAGAGAAACTTAGCTTCCTTTTCCTTCAACATTTACTTATTTGATCTATTTGCTTGTATTTAAACCATCTTCCATCATAGCCATCACCCAACTCTCATGTGAAAATGCCAACTTCCCCTCTCCAAGGTAGTCAGTGACAATCACGAAAGAAGACTGAAAAAGTTGAATGTGTTAACATGAAACAATGAAAACTCTTCTGTGGGATACGAAACAAAATATTAAAAATCTGAAAACATTTCAGGGAATTAATAATACAATCATATCATATTTACGATGATGTTGGAGAACTAGAAAGGAGGAGCATTCAAATAGTGTGTGGTACATGACAAGGACTGGGGTGTCTTCAGTTATATTTTTTCTGTTGTATTTGCAAAGATGATAGTAGAAATATTATCATTCTATTCTTTCATATCTTTTTATTGTCTAAAGTATTTCTTAATAAATAATTATTAAAATAAAAATATACTGACTTGGCCTTGAGCAACTGTTTAACGGTCATTGTTGCCCCCAAAGTTCATCAGCTCACCTCTACATTGATGAAAAAGGGATGTGACTGAGAGCAGTGCAGAGTTGGAAGCAGTGTGAAGTAGTTGCCAAAAAGATGGGATACAGAATCAGATGTGCCAACTATTTTTATATAATTTAAAAATAGATAGTTTCATCTAGCCCAACCCCATTTTCTTGAGGGTCTGATATCAAATTAACTGTTTCAGTGTCCACACTACTAAAGGATGCTAGGAGAAAGCATTGAGGAAGTAAATTTTATTACTTTTAATATTACTAGCACTATTTTATGATGCTGTATGGCTAAGTGATAGTATCATTTTCCCTTCAGCTCCAAATACTACATAAAATCTAATGATTGTATAGATGTTACAGACAATATTTTTCTACCTCGTTCAACTATCAATTGATTGCACCCTATCTTACAATAACATTTAAAAAATATTTTTTTATTTTTGTTTACAGTAAACCATTATCACTACTGTTAACTATTATTATTTAAAAATGAGAACACTAATAGTAAAAGAAATCTGACAGGTTGTCTTTAACATAAGATATGTCATAAAATGTACTTAGCCATTAGTAAGTAATTAACATTCAGTCACTTGTAGACATATACTTGTAACAATATAGAAAGCTAATTTAAGCTCTTATTTATTAATGAATTATACATGACTATTTTCACTTTTCTCTAGATTTGAATAATTAGAGACTGTCAATTGCTTTAAAAATTAATGCTATATCCATAAATAATAAAAAAGCAATATAATGATCTCGACCACTATAAATATTAAATGTTACATTATACATAATAATAGCCTTTCTGCCTAAGTAATATATTTTAGAGCTTGAGTAACATTTAGGTTATAAAACTATAGTTATAAATAAACTATTGCTATAGTTATAAATAAACTATAGTTGTAAATAAAAATGTAAAATAATCTAGCACCTAACAATGTTAAACAATAAACAGTGAAACAAAACCCACACACATACATTTGCATAGACATACAGACACACACAGATACACGGAGACACATATACATACACAGACACACAAAGCCAAAAATCCTACTTGACCTTAGAAACAAATTTTCCATTTTTCTGTAGAACTTTGTATATTTTTCAAAGTAGAATATTAATATTCTTTTCTTGCAGAAATAAAAATAGAAAGCCATAGAAAATTAAACAAAATGTGCTTATGACCTCATAAATCCTTTTGAATTTACTCCTCATTTCTAAGTGATATGTTTGTCAATCTTTCTTTCAAAATTCAATCAGAGAGAGATGGCAAGAAGAACATGGAGAATGTTCTTTGTCTGTCAATAAGTGGTAAAACTAGGTGTTGTTTTTAGTTCTGATGCCTCTCACTCTTTTTGCTAACTACTATGAAATATTGTGGCTTGTGGCTAAATGTTATCTCTACAAGGTTCTTCAATTACAATAACTCCATTTCCACAGTCTAGGGGAAAACTGAAACAAGACAACAACAAAGTACTCCTCCCCCTGGTTCATCAGTTTTCTCTGTAGCCACTAGTCGAGTCTTTTATCTAAGCATGTCTGACTTACGCCTCTCGTCCTTTACCCCTCTTGCCTGTGCCATTGATAGAAAAGAGCACTTTTCATGATTTTCTAGGGACACATCTTTAGATGGTATATCCACACTTTTCAAGCACTAGTGTTTCCTCCCTCTTCCTAAAATCTATTAGCCATCGCATATTGTAAATGTGTGTTAAATGTAAAATCTATTAACCACTACATATTGTATCCTCTCAGTAAATGAAATGTAAAGAAAACCCTACATCATGCCATTATGTTTATTTTCCTACAAAGAAAGGCATTTGAAGTGTTTACCAGGGTCAGTATCCTAAATTTATCAGGCCAATCAATCTCAAGTTCCAGTGTGATATTTCCAAAAAGAGATGTACTAGTGACACCATCGCAAAGCAATGTTGTAATAAGGAAAACTCCATGAGTCTCAGGAACCTTAAGACTTGAGCTAAACTGAGGCATGAATGTTAACTCATTGTGTGGTTTTGGCCAATACATTCACTTAGTTTCTTCATCTGACTTATGAGAAACTTAGGCAAGATTATTTTATCCATTTTGAAGTGGCAATCAATTCCGTGAGAGCAAATGTACTGTATTTAATTGAAAATACTTATACTTAGAATCACATAATTTCCTGAAATATAAGCATTAATGTTTTACACTATAGCATCTGCTTACAAACAGGTTTCCAAATGTTATCCCAAAGCCAGGAAATATGAGGACTTGGCTTTAAAAAATGTTTTTTTAATAAGTAAGTGAAATCTTTTTTTTTATTTTTCAAAGAAAGAAGTCTCTCATTTTGTGGCAAAAACATGAAAACATCTATGCAAACTGTTATAAAAAGGAGATCACATTGCATATTTTGCTCCGTATTTTCAAACAGTGGTTGAAATGATTTTGCTAGAGCAGTGTGTTTAAAAAAGATGAAGATAATTATGGGTTGGAGAAATGTAGCTATTTGATAGGAAAAATAAAATATATATATAAGCACGTTCTAAAATAATTCCCCTATTTGAATATATTTCTTTTAACAGGCTGGACCAAAAGTTTATTCCATAGCTCAAAGTCTATGCTAATATAAACCCATACACCAAGGCTAATTTAACAATACAGAAATCGGACATTATATTATGATTTAGACAATACGCTAAGAAACCAGAAGAGCAGAAGAGTGGAAATAAAATTTCTTTTTACCATAGTTTACAAACAAATTTTACATAACATTCAAAATGTGACTATGACTCTGGACCATAAAAACTCAAAAAAATGCAGAATCTACTACTAGAAAAGAAAATGACTGAAAAGTCATAATAATTAAGATTTTAGCCAGGTATTTTGGTTGTTAATGAGAGAATAAGATCATTTTTCCTCTGATTCTATTTTATTCTTAATATTAGCATCTTCAAAAACTTCTGGCTAAACATAAAGTGTGCTTAACAAATTAAAATTGGAATAAGATATTTAAAAACCAAGAATGCATTCACAGATACCATTTGTTGTCAGCAATAATATTTATAATAAAATATAAATTCATAAAAAATATTAAACACCAGTCAATAGCAATTCATTGAGCATCCCTTGTCCATTATGATAAGCAATTTATACTTTACTTCACATTCATAAAAAAGAAAGCTGCTTTTAATACTATACCCTAGATATCATATATAATTTTGTCCATTTACATACTTTTAATATTGCTTAGTACAGCACTAATCAAGCCACACGTGAAACAGGCCTTAGGGTAGAATCATCAAAATCAGGTTTTGACCATTCCATGATATTTTATATTGATTAAAATTAGCATTTAAGGCTGCTTAAAAATGGAAAAATTGTTCACAAATCTCTGACTTCCAGGATGTATAATCAAATGAGGGTAATTTAAACATTTTGCTCTAATGATGGAAGGACTTGGAAGCTTATTGAATGTTTATGTTTGTCTAGAAATACACAGTTGGCAGCGTGTAATGCTTACCACCAGCTAGTGTAGACCTACTTACCTTTTATCCTTTAACTTTATGACTCTTTTGCTTGGGCTCATAATTAATAAAAATCAATCTTATTAATGAATCTTAAGTGATGTTTTTGTTAGTCATGGCTCAATACTTTGTACTTACTCAAATAAAACCAATAAACCAGGGAATAATATGATGTTTGATAAAATGAGAAATGATAAGTTTATTTTATTTTATATTCTTATTTTTTACTCTATACTTTTTTTTGCAATGTATTCACATGCCTATTGTTCTTGACAATGGAACAAATTATATAAGTAGATATAGAAATATTATCTATCTATCTATCTCTCTACCTATCTATCTACCTCCCTATCTATTCAATGTCACTAGTGCTGGAAGAAAAATACTATCCAAAACTTGCCATAAACAAGACAATAAAAGGTAGATATGAAAACAAGAACATATTAAATAAATTAATTCATGAGATAAATAATTGTAAATAGGAATATCCTGCCCAATTTAAAGTTTGAGATACAAAAAAAATTAAAAGACTGAAAACATATATAGATCAGATTACTATTTTATATTTATAATAATAGCAAATATTGGTGGCAAATATTTGACTGTTTTACCTGAATGATAATATTTTAAAAACACATTATTTTAAAAAATTTCATTAGAATCTTTACATTTCATCAGTAAAATGAAAATGAAAACCAATTTCCATGGAAAATATCATAGGGAATTGGCATTGTGTATAACTACATAAAATATAATAAATTTATCAATTATCCAGATCAAAGATATTACCATAAGACAAGGACAGATTGTGTCTCAAATAAGTAGAAATATGTAACTGGATATACTTACAGGAACCACATACAATCATATAAAGTATTAAAAATAAAAAAATACTTTTGTGTCCAAAACAGGGTAGTTACCTAAAAGTGTATCCACATATTTTCTTATAATATTAAAATGATACCCAAGGACATATTTTTGTTAGGTAACACCATTAGAAAGTTATGTTTTAGCATACAAATATTATGATACAAAACAATGTGCAATGACATGTATAATTTTTGTTTAATTGTATCTGTAAATGATATTTTTATTAATGAATGCCTTTGAGCTGGTAACATTAAGGAAAAAGAACCAATTTAAACAACTCCCTCTAATACTTCTGAACATCTTTTTCTATTTAAATCTAGCCAATAAACCTTCTTTTATTGAAAACCATTTTCATACACTATTGAAATGAACACAAAAGCAAGTGAAATGAAAGAAGGTCAAAGCTAGGTAAAAAGTAGATAGAAATGTCAGAATGAAAAGTTTAAAAATGAAAAGTTGACCGTAGTGCTAGTACAAACAAGAGGAGATATAATTAATGTGCTTGATGTAATTTAGCATTATGAGAAAAGTTGTAGAATCATTTCACCAAACACAATGTTATTTAATTATCATAACAGTAAGACATTTTTCCCCAAGACACTGCATTTAATATGCCTCTACCAAATAAAGCTTGTCATATCTATTCCAGCTCCTATAAATTTTCCTAATCTCTTTCGCATGTTTTACCTTTGATTTTTCTCCCTTTCTCTCCTTGCTTCTACGTTTCTGCTACGTGACTGCTAATTCAAATGAACCTAACTCAAGGTAGATTTCCTTAAAAAGAGTGGGGGTTGTTCAAAGGAGGACTTGTGCTGGAGAATCAAACCAATAGAAGTCTTAAGGTCTGAAGCATTCAAATTAAAATAAGCCCCTTGAAATATATCAGTCTATATTCCCAAAATTACTTCTTTTAATGAAGTGTGCTGCTTCATGGTCACTTGTATTGTGTATTAATGAACTCAGTCAACCACATGCTTTTTTTAAAGATTAGTAAAGTTTTAAAAATAAGCTTTTCCTAAATTGCCGTGGTAGTTATTTAAATGTAAACACACATTGTGCCTACACATTTTATAGTAAATGTTATACAACAGAAATTGCATAATTGAAGAAAGAGCAAATTCAATGGTTATATTTTGTTATTTATGTTATCATTGGCTTATTTGGCTGTGACAGTCTTCTTTTTAATAAAGTTATTTAAATAATCCATATCTTCTATAGCATAGTCAGAGGTCAATATGTCTGATGAAATCTTACAATGTTCAGTATCAAGATCAGTCAAGTCTTGACATAATAGCATATTTAGTCAGGATAAGGTTGACAGAACAAAAATATGCAAATGGAACATTAATTCATGAGTATGACAACTGTTTACTTGCTTATATTCATATTTGTTTGGCAGTACCTATATGATATTTATACATATTTTGATTGTGTATACTCTTATTTTTTTGTATACATATAGCTCAACTCAAATAAATTCAATATGTAAAAGACAACTTTTTGACACTTAATTATTTCAAGAAATATTTATCAAGTACTTAATTTGTGGTCAGATAATGCTAAGCACTCTAAGTAAAAAGAGGAAAAAAGATAGACAATTCCTGATTGTATGAGCTTCCTGGGATTGCTGTAGCCAATCTCCACAAACTAGGCAGCTTAAAACTACAAAAGTTAATTCTTCCACAGTTCAGGAGACCAGAAATCTGAAATCAAGGTGTTGGCAGGGATGCACTACCTCTGGAAGTTCTATTAGAGAATCCTTCCTTGCCTCTTCCAGCTCTGGTGGTTGTTGGCATTTCTTGAGTTCTTTGGCTTGTGGCCACATCACTCTAATTCCTGCCTTCGTCTGCACATTGCCTTCTCCTTGGTATCTATCTGACTTACCACTGCATCATTGTAATCTCTGCCTCTGTCTTCATATCTCATCTACATATTCTGTCTGTGTCTTTTAATCTGTCCATCAAATTCCCCAGTGTGTCTTTTGTAAGAAGACTTGTGATTGAATTTAGGGCCCAAAATTTAGGGCAGATAATCTAGAATGACCTCTGCATTTTAAGATCTTCAAATTAATTACATTTGCGATAACCATTTTTCCAAATAAGATAATACTCACAGGTTTCAGGGAGTAGTACATGAGCATATCTTCTTAGGTGCCACCATTCTACCCACTAGTATGTTTAAGAAACTTACTGATCAATAGAGAATAAACTACCTGAACAGGTAGTTGATATTCAGACTGATAAGTACCGTTATAAGGGCAGAAAAAGAAGATATAACATCAAACTGTTGTATCTAATGCAAACATGGGAGATTAGGAAAGTTTCCCAGAGACCGCTTGACGAAAAGTAGAAATTAACCAGGCAAAACTGCAGAGAAAATGTCTTCAAATTCCAGGGGGAAAAAGTATGATACTCCCAGGAAACTAAAAGAAGCTCAAAATGGTTGAGGCTTAGGGAGTCTTGGCAGTGAAATAGTGATCAATTGGATGTGGGTGCATATCAAGAAGACTCGGGGTAAGCTGTATCAAAGAAAACAAGCTTTTATCTGAAGCTGTAAGAGTCCAATAAAGAGATTTAAGACTGGAGTAGCCTGCTCAGTTAAGCACCTTGGATAAACAGCTCTGGCTGCTGTGAGGGTGAACTTGAGAGCAAGCTGGTGGCAGAGTATCCTTCTGAGGGTGTCTCACAGAAGTCCAGTAAAGTTTTTAAGGTGATCCCAACTAGGACACTCACAAGGGGTGTAACGAGACGTGGATGAATTCAAGAAAGACATTGTAGGAAGCACTGCTAGTACAGTTTACCATTGAAAAGTGCTGGGGCTAGGGATATTGACCTCTTGTGCACTCAAAAATCTGCATGTAACTTTCAACTTAACTACTAATAGCCTACTTTTGACCAGTGGCTTTACCAATAAAATAAACTGTCAATTAATGCATATTTTGCATGTTATGTGCATTATATACTCTATTACAGTAAAGTAAGCTAGAGAAAATAAAATGTTATTAAGAAAGTCATGAGGGGGTGGGCATGGTGGTTCACACCTGTAATTCCAGCATTTTGAGAGGCCCAGGCAGAAGGATCACTTGTGGTCAGGAGTTCGAGACCAGCCTGATCTCGAACAACTAGACCATAGTGAAACCCTGTCTCAACTAAAAATACAAAGATTAGCTAGGCCCAGTAGCATGTGCCTGTAGTCCCAGCTACTTGGGAGGCTGAGGCCGGAGAATCGTTTGAACTTGGGAGGCAGAAGAAGTTGCAGTAAGCAGAGATTGAGCCACTGCACTCCAGCCTGGGCGATGGAGGGAGACTCCATCTAACAAACAAACAAACAACAAAAAAGGCATGAGGAAGAGAAAAGACATGTAGCGTACTGCATTGTGTTTATCAATACCATAAGTTTGTTTCGTTTGTTTATAAGATGAATTGTCTGAAGTGGCAGGCAACTGCAGCTGTGGACTTCCATCTACGGTACGTATCAAACAACTCTACTTTGTCTTGTAATGTCATGACTCTTCTCTGCTTCTTGGGAGTACTTCCAGCATCACTAGTGGTAATTTGGGTCCCATGGTGCTATTCAAGGTTATGGTTTTACACTAAGCATGGCCAGAAATATGAGAGAATTGTGATATCATGTTTTACTGAGATAGCGATTTACTAGACAGATGAACTGCTCACTTCTCCAAGTGATTAGCATCGCACAGTGTTTTAAGCAGATGCTCGTGATACTTGAACCCACTGTAATAGCACAAGGAGTGGCTATGAAATTCCTGCAGTAGTACAGTACGTATTACAGTTAATTTCATGCAATTATAACCCAATACTGCATCTTTATATTTGTTTACATTTCTCTTGATTGTGAATGGTGCCAGGTATGGTCTGTAAGTGTATTATAACTTGTGATAATCTTTTTACTTTTTATAATAGATTTTTGTGTATTTTTATGGTAGCACATAAAATAGACTAGTACCTACATATATTTTATGCATTTGTAACATAACTTTTTTTATATTACTAGACTACATGGTTTGTCTGCAAGCTTTTTTCAAATTTTCTGAAAATCTCCAAAAAAATTCCAATGTATTTATTGAAAAAAATCCACAGGTAAGTGTACCTATGCAGTTCAAACCTATGTTTAAGGGTCAACTATACTTAGCATTCAATTGAATCTGAGAGTAAAGATAATGAAGGTACCGAAGACAGTGATCACCTTTCAGCTTGAATGCTGGAATAGTATCCAGGTTACTTCCTTTAGATAAGATAAGATAAGATACAGAGAAGGAGGAAAGGTATAGGGAATGAAAGGAATTTAATTTCAGACTTCTATAATTTCAAATATCTGTTTCTAGATTTTAGCTTCATATGTGGTTCATATCGTAAGGAGGGAAATTTGGATTAGAGAAAATAGTCTGGGAGTCAACAACCTAAATTTGATAACTGAAATTCTGAAGGCTTGTGAGTGATGGTCCCAGGGAGAGTGCAGAACAAGAAGTAATTGTACAAACACCTGTGAAATTACATAATTCAAACTTAAAGTTGTTGGAACTTTAAATTTTCTGAGCCTTGAGAAGAGTATGGCTATGCGCCCTGAGTCACAGAGCATGCGGTTGCAACTTCTACCTTTTTCCTGTAAATAATTAAGACCAATTAATTATTTCCTGTAAATAATTAAGTGGCAGCCATAAGATCCCCTTAGATCATTGCCTCTATTCACAGAGTAATAAAGTAATCTTCCTTGTAATGTAGCAGTCTGTAATCAATCAAATAGCTGTGGCATATGCACTAGTCTTGTATGGCAAATGTGACCTTGTTGGAACTTTTTTATCTCTGCCTATATAAAGTGTAACCTTAACTTCTCCACTTTGGAACACTGATCCCATTCATTTGGAGTCCATGTTTCCAGGTGGCTGTTCTCAAGTTTTGCATTTGAATAAACTCTATACTTAATAGTTTCTGAATCTCATTATTTAAGGTTGACACTCCCGATGAGCATATTTTTAGGAAAAGAACACAAGTAGGAGTCTGTAAAGGATACTGGTAAATGTACGTGGTATGGGTGTTGGTTGGGAATGGCAGTGAAGACAGAAGAATTAAAATAGGGGTGTGCACCGAGAAGCCTGAATTACCAGCACACGCCACTTGATGTTTTCCTGTTCTACTCTCTTTTCTGTCTTCCAAAAGCTGCTTTTTCCAATCCCTTCTCCCCTCAAATCTCCTACCTCACCACCTCTTCTCAGATGAAGAAGACCGTTTTCCGTAGGAGTGTTAAGCTAATTTCTAACAAGTAATACGACTAATGATATGCGGCTTTGAAACAACTAACTAGAGATTGCTGATGATATTGGCGAAAGGGGTTAATGCAGATTAGCAGGAGTCAGATTCAGCCTGAGGTGGGTAGAAACGGAAAGTCAGGAATGGCTCCCCTACCCCCTCCAATAGGGGGAGAAACCTCAGCATGTTTAAATATTATTGTGAGGGATGTTTTGAGAGGAAAAGGCTGAAAATAAATGAATGAGAAGAAAAACAAAATATGTGGACGTTCCTAAAGAAAGTTGTGATTCATAGTCTGGATAGAGGTTCCATATTTATCTTAAAGCTAGAGATGTTTTTCCATAGTAACAGGAGGCAAGTAGAGAATTGGGAAAACACCCATGCAAATGGCAGTGCTTTCTGGTTTTATGACATGAGTCGTGGTTCTCCCCAAATGAAAATCCTATACTCACAGTGAAAGATGAAGGAAGGCTACCTACCAAGCATAATAAAAGAGGTGGTGGCACGGGAGATTTGAAGAGAGAAAGAAGATTGGAAAAAGCAGTTTCCAAAAACGACGAAGAGAGCTGAATAGGAAAATGTGGAATGATTCTTTTCAGGTAGTTTATGTTTCACTGTACCAGTTTATACTTTTAACTTGTGAAAGATTGTTTCTGTTAAGGTGACACAACTAAGCTATATTTACTTTCTGGTTGCGTAGTTTGGAATAAACTGACAGGTCCCAGCATTACAGACAAACCAATGACAACAAAGAGCAATAGCAGAAGACTTGAGCTGAAAAATATTTCTCACATCACACACATTCTAATAGTTGGAAACACGGTGATGTTCAACAGAATGTTTTTTACGAAGCAAAAGATTCAAGTTTTTGAAGTGTCTCATCTTTCATCTATTCATCGGGCTAATAATTGATCCAATCAGTCCCTATGTGAAACTTGTCTTTTAAAGGAAAAGGAGGAAAAGAAAAGGCTCTAAGAAGTTGGGAAGAGGAGAGAAGAGGTGTAAAGTGATAGACTTGCTTATATTTCTGCACTTTTCTTGAACTCTATCTATTGGTTTCCCTGATGCTTATTTTCCTCTCTGTATTTCATATATTAGAACTCAAGATCTTTGTCGTGGAATGCCAAAGATCTTCCAAAAAAATGTAATTTCCTTTGGCTTGTGAAAGAAAAGTTAAAAGTTTCTACGTAAGTTAAGAGGGGGGACAATTCCATTACATAGTTGTTAATCTGACACCATTCTGCTAGGCTATCTGAAAAATGGTAAAATTCACTCGGCTAGGGAACAGAAGCATTTTTATTTTCCCCCATCACTTAATTTTACACAGCTTTCCATTCCCCTGTCTTTCCGGCCAGCTGGTTTCTTGGAAGCACTAGAAGAGGGCGTGAGAAAGCACTTCCTTCATCAAGTTACTCAACTATGGTCTCCAGCCGCATTATTCTTGATTTTTCCAATTCTACCTGACTGTTGGATGCAACCAAAACAACAACGTTAAAACTCAAGTTAGATGAAATAATAAAGTATTCAGCCCTAAAGACATTCTTTGAGAATTGTCTTTGGCAACTAGACTGATTTAATGACACAATTTAAAAGATCGTTTTTTCCCTGAGGGCAGAATACATGTTCAGAAATTAACACCATGTAGTAAGAACAGAACTAAAAATATGAGGGGAAAGGTCATCAAAATAGCATTCGTTGTTCATTGCATATTCTGGGAAGAGCTACATTCTCTGTTGAAATCTAATTTGCTTCTGACAGGTGGGACCACATGAGACCTTGGTTCAAGTTACAAAAACTTCTGAAACAAGTGCCGTATTATTTTCTGTATGGGCTACTCAAGAATTTAAAAAGTGAAAGAAGAAGTTAAACATGATTCAAACACTTTTAAAAACTACTTTAAAATGCAAAAATATCAAGAGGCATTGATGGATCTAGAAACAAAAAATAAAAATAAAAATGCAAAAATGTATCCAAAAAGGGAAACATATTCATGATGGTTCATGAAAGAAAGTGTGTGGGAACATGTTTTTTCTCTTTTTCCAATCTTAACTTTCTAGAATTCTAACAAGTAATAATAGGAACATGCTTTTTCTCTTTTTCCAATCTTAATTTTCTAGAATTCTAACAAGTAATAATAGATAACATTTTAAATTGCTTATCATGTTCAATCCAGTTTTCTAAGCATTTTATGCAGATTAGCTTATTAAAGCCTTACACCATCTAAATCCATTAGACACTCTTTTTATACTCTTTTTAGAAATGAGAAATCTAAGACACAGGGAAGATAAGTAATTTGTCCAAGGTCTTTGAGTAGTTAAATAATGGAACTGGAACTAACACCAGGGAGTCTGGAGCTAGTGTCCATGCCCTTCACCACTGTGCATATTGACTTTCACAGTTAAATTATTATACCATTTCTTTTGTTGCAATGACCTAGGATATTTCCGATGCAGTTGTAATATATGGTGAACTTCATATAATCTCAATAGTTGATATTGATAGAAAAATCCCTGTACTACCTTGACAACTTTTTAAAATCTCTTTGCATTTGTAATATAAGATAGTAATATTTTACATATATATATATATATATATATATATATATATAAAATGGATTTGTGTTGAGGACTTAAGAGCAGTTTAATACAGTGTCAGAGAAATGTTAGAAGTTCAATAAATGTGACCTTAAAGTTTATTAATATGTGGACTTTTATTTTTACTTTTATTGTTGTTTTATTATAATCACTTTATCCTTTTATTATGAATATATTATCTTAATATTTTTTGGCAACTGGATATTAGTTGCAATAAGTACCACCACCCACCCATCTATCCCCACTTACTATACTATGCTTAAGTACACTCTTGCTTGTTTATTTGTTTGTTTCCTTCACTCTGTGTATCTGGTCATCATCAGCATTTATGTTGACAGGTAGCTTGCTTACTTATTGACAAGGTGGCTGTATGGTTTCCTGACATCTCCTTTCAGTATTATAGTCGTCAGTCTTTTTCATAAGATTATATAAACTATAATAAATATCTGATTACCCATCTATCATCTTTCTAGCTAAGACATCTATAATATATATATATATGTGTGTGTGTATATATATATACATATATATATATTCACAGTTTATAGACTATTTCAGAAATTTTTAATTACCTCTCTAAAGTAGTAAGATATTTGCATGGGAAAAAAATCTCAGACATCTCTGCCAGGAGAAACATTCAAACTATTAAAAGCACAGACTCTAAATTTGCCTTTTGGATAATAACCATTGCTGCTTCTCTCTTTGCTTTATTTCACTTGACTACCTCCATTCTCCTTGGGACTGTCCCCTCAATCTCTCAGGGCATCAGCCTTCTCCTGACTTGTATCTTACCAACCAGGGTCCCACATCCAGCCATTTAGATCAATGCTGACCTCACCAGTATCCATTATCCGTCTTAAAAATATAAGATATTTTAGTTAAATATTTAGTCTTACCATTTAATCTAGTATAATTTTATTTAAATTTCTACAATTGTGTGTAACTATAATCAAGAGAATACCAGGGACAAATTATCAAGCCTAATGACATCTTGAAACCCTTAAACAATGTGGCTGTTAACATTGCCAATTAGTTTCTTTTTCTATAAATCCAGAGCTCATGGACTCAAATTCTGTCTTTGTGCCTTCCTTACTTGTGAATTCAGTTATATAGAAGAACCTGTCAATGAATTTGGTGGACGATTAAATCCTAAAGGTACAGACGACTTAGAGTGGGACCACATACAATCATCACACAATAACTTACATATTTTTTACCTCTTCTAAACTCTAAATAATTTGAGCATGTATTTATTGTAAAGCCATGTAATCCAGCCTTATATTAAAGTGTACATATGCCTTTTTAAACTAATAGATTCGAAGTTAATTGAAAACAGGTTTATGGTTTAATTGCTTATTTCCCTCTGGGTCTATCCCAGTATGGTGCACATATTGCATATCCAAAAATATGGTATCAACAATAAAAGAAAAATTGATAGTGGTAGATTTTATGTATTTTATTATATCTTTTTTAGGTGTACACAATATTTAAGGTTATTTACTACCTTCAATGGACGTTCTAAAAAGTCAAGAAAGTATAGATTGCTATTTGTAAAGCTTCCCTCATTATTTACCATGTACCAAGCAATTTAAACATACAATCCAATTATTTCTCCTAGCTACCCTATTATGAGGTAATTTTTGTGTTTCCACGTGTGGAACTGAGGTTTAAAGATGTTAAGTAGCATGCCCACAGTTACATACTTCTGTAAGGGATGAGGCCCACCTACAAACTTGAAGTATCTGAACTCCCCTTTGCTTAATGCCAACCCTGTGTAATTTTTATAAGAAGAACAGGCACAATGCAATATGTTTTATCTGTCCCCTAATTCTACTGAAAAAAATGCTAACTCCATAAAGTGGCTGAATGATTTTGAGAGTTTTTATTCTACTTTTTAACTTTTTTTCTCCTCGAATAATCCAGCCAAACTCATGGCCAAGATTTAAACAGCAACAACAAAAGTAGTTCTCAGTTTCTTGCCTGTAATTAGTAAGAAGAAAAAAAAATGCTTATATTGACTCATGGACTTTATTTTTATAGGAAATGACAGTAGTCACTACAAAGAAATATTGCCTTTTTTCTTTTCTTTTTTATTAAAAGCTTCAACTTTTGGATAGTTTTCAATACAATACATCAAGAACTAATTTTAGTAATTTTTGTAATAAACAATAAAAAAATTAAAATAATCAACTTATCCTTAAGTATGAAATCCAAAATGTTAAGAAAAATGCCCTTTTAGTTTCTAAGACTCTATTGGCTTATTCAACAGTCCTCCCTACTACATTCAACACACCAGTGACGTTGCTCTGCTGTGCTGTCTTGACAATGCCTCTGAAAGAGAAGCCAGCTGTAAATATTTATTAAACAAACACTAATTACCTTGGTAAAGGCAATGATTGCTTATAAACACTTGTGTGTAATAACTATATATATATATATATATATATATATCCGTTAAGCCTTGTTATATACTGTTAAAGATGCTAAGCGTTTAATCCTCATTATAACACTACAAAAAAGGTATCATCACCTGCATTTTACTAATTAAGAAAACTGATCCAGGGAAGAGCCATAAGTTCTTAAATGTCACAACATACTAAGCCAGAATTTTTAAGCCTAAATAATTTGATTCTAGAGACTACACTCTGACCTAAAAGAGAACAAGACCCAATACTACAGAAATTCTGATATTTCTCCTTAAGTTCAATTGGATTTTCCAGCTGGGGAGACATGTCAGAAATAAGGGCACAAGGCTGGGAGTGGGGGCTCATGCTTGCAATCCCGGCACTTCGGGAGGCTGAAGTGGGGGGATCTCTTGACAGTAGGAGTTGAGACCAGCCTGGGTAACATAGTGAGACCTTGTCGCTACAAAAAAAATTTTTTAAAAAGTTATCCAGGTATCATGGCGCCTGCCTGTAGTCCCAGCTACTTGGAAGGCTGAGGCAGGAGGACTGCTTGAGCCCAGGAGACTGAGGCTGCAGCGAGTTACAGTTGCACCACTGCACTCTAGCTGGGGTGGCAGAGTAAGACCTTGTCTTGGGGAAAAATAAATAAATATATGAGGGAAAAGGAAAGGCCACCTCACTAAAACTTATGTGGCATACCTAACAATTTGGTCATTTTTAATATAATGAAAAAATTCAAAATTATTATAATTTTCTCTGGATTTCTAGATTTCAAGTATTGAAATCATAGTCCATGAATATTTGAATACTTGAAATAATTCAAAATTGGCCTTCTTAGCCCTTATTGAGAAACCACCAGTCCTTAAGACAGGTGGTAGCTACTATCATGCTCTATAACAAGAACAATTGTGTTAATTATATTACATTATAACAGCGACTCTCCTATTTATAATCTGTGCCATACTAACAGACTAAATCCTCATTGTGAGTTTCACACTTGCTAAGTAGATGTAAGCACTTCTAGAGATGGATGCATTTTCTTTATCTTTCTGCATACTTTTCTAGAATACTTCATTTCAATGGTGCTTCAAATTCCCCTACCTACCTATTGTGGATTCAAAGCAATGGAAAAAACAAAAAGTCACAGAAGTTAAAAATATTGCTGAAAACAAAACAGTTGGGTGGATTTAATTTTTCTTTATAAGTGAAACTACGGATATGGGTATATGTACCTGTGTATGTCTGTTGCTAAATGAATTAATAAAATGAATACATTTAATTTGAGAGTACCAATAATTCAGTTCACATCTTTTTGCCCTACCACACTGGAAGCAAAAACCTTGGTGGAAACATTGATGTGCTTTACCTTGAATTCATCATTAGCCCTAAATATACCTTTATTTGTTCACCCTCTTTCTGATGCCATTTTGCTTGTTAAGCAGTGACAGACATCAACACATTAGTGAAGAAAGTTAGAGGTCATGATGCCTTGAAGTTTTGTGAATGCTTGTCCTTCTTTACAACCTTTAAATGAACCCTATATAGATATATTTTATGTGTCTAAGTACATATTTCCATAGCACACAGGTTTTTTATCTGTTGTTTTTTGTTGTCCATTCAAGCATTACGACTACATTTTGAGATAATTTAGAAATCATTAGCTGTACAGTGAGGTGATAAGGAGAGCAAGTTTAGGACAGTGTGTCTTTACTGTCATCTTCAGAACCTTCCATTTCTTTGCACACTTGCACCTTTGTTTAATAACAGTAATTTTGTAAACACATGCAAATATGAGCAAAAGAAAAGAACATGGTCTCCTTAGATGGTTTTAAAGATCTGATGTTTCCAGAGCTAAAACTCTTCCCCATAAGCAAGCCAATCAAGGGAGAAATGGGAATACATGATGCACGAAACATATCTAAGTCTGATTCTATATTCCACTTACATCTTCTGATGCCTTCTCATGATTTTAAGTTTTATCTCTGCCTGTAATGTTATTGTTGATGTCCCTCAGCTGTCTTTCATTTGTATAAAAATGTTGCAAGGAGAGACATGGCTGCAAACTTTCTAAGGGTTGTCACGGCTACTCCTGACAAACAAACAAAAAAATTCAATCCTTTCTTCTACACCGTTTAAACCACTCAACCTTTCTCACCCTTTTCCTATATATTCCAACTTGATTTGGCTCCTTTTGCAGGGAAAACTTATAGGAAACTAATTGATTCAGCACAGCTTGTCCAACTCAGAAATGAATAGAGGGGAAAAATTATTTATTTATTTTTTTGACCAGATTGTGAACAGAAGACTGTGTTTCACACTCTGTCTCCCATGGGGCAATGTGATGAACTAATCATGTAGTGATCTACCAGGTCACAGCAAATAATTAAGATACTTGTTACAGTGTTCCGTGTGGTGCCACCCTGTAGTGATTCTGAATGCATTTTCCATAAATTCCAGAAACGGTCCTTTAAAACCCTAATTTAAAATCTACATCTTAGCTAATTAAGACCACTGTGGCTCAAACTAATGTGTCCTTTCATATCTAGTGTATTGATAATGTGCCATCCTGAGTGTAGGTGTAAATTTTTCCTCCTGTCCTTAGCTCTTCCAAATTCTAAGGTATTTGCTAAAAAAGGAACACAGACATAAATTTTACAGCTTTAGTGATCAGCATGTTAAAAAAAAAATGCCTAAGACAGTTTGCATACACTGGGTACCAATTATCTGATATTTTCTTATTTTCATGTTATAAAACAAGTTTTAAAAGCCACTGGAAAAAATATTGTTGTTCAAAAAGAAGGCTCCCCTGCAGTGTAGGGCTGATTAACATTAGATGAATTAGACAAAGATGCTAAGGTATCCTTTTCAGAATTTTTTTTTAATGGAGGTAAAGTCACATATCTGTCAAGCACAGTTTACAAGACAGAAACAATGCATTACCCCACAATATTTTCCATATATAAGGTGTGAGCTCTCAGGACTTTATTCATCTTGTTATGTGACACACACGAAGAGTCCTACTTTAAAAATAGAAATTCTGAAATTCAAATAAATAATAGGGTTCCACAATTTCAAAGAGACATAGAGGACCTAGGCTTTTTTTTTTTTTTTAATGTGGTAGAAAATCTAGGACAATATAAGCTTCTAAAATCATTCTGAACAGTTCTGATCTGTTTTAAAATTCTAAGATTTTGGCCCTCATTTTTATTTAAAAAATTGCAAGATCCTCTTCATATTCTAAATATTCTTGAATTATTTCTGTAATTAATATTATTTCCAAGTTACTTGCTAAACTACTATTACAGTTACTTTTTTTGGAATTTGGGGTTTTTAAAAATGTATTTAGGAAAAGAAAGTATTTGGTGCTAGATTTTTTTTCACATATTCTTGAATAAGTGATTAAGAAAAGAGAAATACAATAAGACTGGATATAGTAGTTTTGTTCTAAAATATAGTATTATTCTATGTATCATCCTAACTCACAGCTTATGACCTAAATATGTAAGTGGTATTTAATGCAAATACAGCTGAAACAAGAGAAGAGGAGCATTTCAAATGTTTAAACAGAAAAATGAAGCTAAGAATTACTTTACAATGACTATATAGCAATCATTCTCAGCTAAATATATTATCAGTAGATTCTTTTAATATACATATATATTTCTAAATGACATAAAGGAGATACTTATATCATCCCAATAACAAAAAAAGACAAAATTAAGTCAATTGAAAATAACACATCACAATTATAATAATGTAACATCTAAATAAAAATTTAAAAATATAATTTTTATAAAATCTTAAAATCTCAAAAACTTCATATTTATTTCAGTGACTTGATTTCAATTTTGCAGATCCCAAACCATAAAAAACTTTTAATTGTATCATGTTATTAAAACTGTTATATCGATCCTCTTTGGTTTTCTGAGAGTAAAGGAAAAAGAAAAACTTTGAAATAAATAACTTGGTAATTTTTACGTCCTTGTTTCATTTTCTGCAACATAAATGCAGAAGATTTTAAAATATTAGAAAATTATCTTAAATATTATTTTTAAATGAAGGTCTAGAAAATACAAACAATTAATGTGTAATCAGACAGTAGATTAGAGAAAAAAAGTGTTAAATACTAAACATTGTGAAAATTAATCCACATGGTTCCCATCAGTGTTTCCTGTTTCACTTCCCTTTATTTTATTTACTTCAGATTGCAGAATTAGTACAATTTGTACTCAATACTAGATAGAAAAATTATTAGTGATATCATCTGCTAAAATATAAATAACGTATATTTTAAAAGAATTAGCCATTCCATAATTTTGAATTTCCATAAATTAAATTATTTCCCTGTAACCTTTTCTAATAATTAAACTATTTAAAACAGTGCAAGTTTTTCAGCTCTTATGACCACTACCACATGATACTCAGAACTAGAACCCTTGGCTGTTTTACACATAAGTACTGTAAAAATAGTTCACTCATTTGGGCATGTGACTTGTTTGACTAGCCTCAGTACTTATTGCTGTCAGTGCTTTGATCTGCACATTATCTTCATCCTCAATATTTTGCAACTTGGGGAGAAGTATAGTAGTAAATGTGTTCTGGGGAACATTTAGCAATTAACCATGAAAATGTCCTTTAAAAATTAATTGCTAAATAGAAATAACATATTACCCAGTAGCCAAATTATGTTTCAATTTAAAACCTATGTGTTTAGCCACCTTGCTAACATTGCAATATACACATACATTAGCCAAATATTACATCACAATATTAAGCATGTTTTAAAAGTTGCTTTTTATTTGTTCCAATATCAATATTAATGACTTAACTCTTACTTACCCAAAACTTGCTTATTGAGGACAACATATCCTAATTTTCCTTCTAATTATAATAAATAATAGAATAAAACCAATGAAAATGAACTGTTTCTATTTTACAGTGAATTATATTTTTCATTAAGTAATCAATTAATTTTTACCTTTTAAATTTTATTTTTTAATCTATAAAAAGTATTAGTTTTAAAACCATTATTTAGGTAATATTAAAGTAGATGACTGACATTCATTTTGGGGCTTATTTTCTTCCCCACTTGGTTTCAAAGCCTCTACATAGAGTTATTAAACTGGAATGTCATACAATATCAATCAATTTCAGTTATTTATTCTACAGTATACGAAAATTCTCTTGCCACCCCATGTCTTTTATACCCATTACTTTATTACCTGAAATTAAGTATCATTTGCACTACAGAAGAACCAGAAATAAGGAAACAGTCAATTATTATAATGACAGATCAGAGAGTTAAACTGTCACAGTTTTTTTTTTCTGCTATTAGACAAACAATTTTCTCATTAAGGGTCAAAATTATAGAGTCAATGTGAAAGTTGTAAGAATCTCATTAATAAAATTAATTAGCGCTTTATGTTAGCTATACCAGCAAATACTTCAGATGGTTATTGTTAATTGAATTAGCAAATTTCAAGAAAAAATAATTTTGCCTTTCCTGTTTTACCAGCATGGAGTGGAGATTTTACATAATAGCATATTGACTACTAAAGTTATTAAAATCCTGTTTTACATCAAGGGTTGAATGATGTAAATAAGAACAAAAAAAGTTTCACATCCAAAGTGTCCATCTTCTTTTTTTCACTGGAATGACAAAACAGAATATACTTCAAACCAAAGTTGAATTCCTATTAGAAAGGATAATAAATATTAACAACTAAATGAAAATATGTCAACATTTTTCCTCGAAATAACAATCCACTAAAAATCCATGGACAACTCATTCTCTTTAAAGTTTAGAGACTGGTAATGATTTCTTGTCATAATGAAAAAGCAGATTACCTCTTTATATTGCACAACTAACCACTGTGCAAAAAGAAAATTAAACTTCATTAAGTATAAGAGCAAATATTTAATGGCCATTACTATATATTGCTGTTTTCCAGGAATGGACTACTTCAACATTTTCTATGTGTGGAAGGTACAGAGTGTTCATGGGTGATGACCCTTGAAATTAAGAATATTAATATTCCAAGGTGATGCACAGGACTAACTGAAAAAGTGGTTTATCAATATCATGAAGAAGACTGCATTCTGTTGTTAAACGTTTAATTACGGAAGCTATTTTATTTATTAACAAACAAGGAATTCGACAACATTGATTTTCATCAACATTTTGGGAAGTCTATTTTGCATTATTGTTCACCAGGGAACACAGTTATTTTGGTCCATGTTAAGTCATGAGGTATATACATACTAATGAGTTACATATTAAGTAGAAAGAAAACATATTATACTACATATCTTTAGTATGGGTGTTTCCAATATGACAGCAAGCTGTTAGCAACATACTGTTATCAAGCGACTGTGAAACGGAATGAACGTCCTTAATAACTCTGCCTGTGTGCCCCATGGCAGCACCTTAGCAACAGGGGAGACGAAAGAGAGACTTTAAGTTTCGACAGGGTAAAAAGCTGTTGCTAAGCAAAATTTACAACCAAAATACTGAAAACCATAGCTTGATTTTTAAAGAACCACTTCACAATCTTAATGATTTAGTTGGCCCAATTCACCTGAACATAGACATGCATGCCAAATGGAAAGCAAAAACCTATCCTTGTCATTAAACTTGCACCAAACCCACTCCCACCTCCATAGCTGAACAGTTACCTTTCATCCACCTCAAGTCAAAATCAACCTAAGACCAATGGTGAAAGATTATCTTCTCTTCTTCTTGACCTGTCTTATCCTTCTTTACTAGTTGTACATGTCACGATGTTACTGGCTGCAATCTTAAAACATCTACTTGCTTAAACCCCAAAGTCTCTAGAGTCTTGTAATAATCAGCTCTGTCAAGACTTGGGGGAAAACCCAAGGCGATCCCACACCGGCTTTCTCGAGTCCCCGCGCGAGGATCACTGCCTTACCAATCCTTGTGTGATCTTTCTCTGGGTGGCACTTACCTGCTGCTCCCCGGGCTCCGCTGACTTCACCAGGTGCTTATCCTTGTACAGAGACCAGAGACCAACGTTAGGCAGGAAAATTAAAGCCACCGTGAACAACAAAGTCATCTGCAGAAATCTCTTCTGTTTCCTCTTCATTGCAAATGGTAACAGAGAAGAAAAGTTAAAGGAGATGGCTCCCTGACTGCTTCTTGTGTTTAATGTCAAATTCCTTTCCTCTCCCCTGCGAAGCACCAGAAACTGAGAAGCTACAAACTTTTGTTGCGTGCTCAGCACCAATCTGCAGGATTCAGAGGGAGTTGGCCATCTGCAGAACAAACGCACAGTTACTTTCCCCCCAGAAAACTATGACGAAGGCATTATCTATTGGCTTAGAAATAAATGACTTGACTAAAGAAATCATTAAGCCCATTGACCTCCATTAATATAAAGCAATAGAGTAAATATGGTCGTTTCATTGACTAAAGGTAAGTTATAAAAAAGTCAACAGCCTGCTAGATACTTAGGTAACTGGGAGTTTTTGTTGCTGTTGTTGTTGTTCGCCCCCCACCTCCTTAGTGTGGGAGGGCTGGGTCGGGGTGGAGCGGGTTAGGAGACAGAACTGAGAGGAACTGGCTCAACCCCTTCAAGTGTCAGGAAGAAAAGTGTCCGCTTTTGACATTGGAACAGCGTCACCTTCTTCGTCTTCCCTGAACATCTTTTCCTGTGCTCCCCTTGGGATAACCCACCTGAACTCAAGTTCAACTCCCTCCGGAGCCAGCTTGCCGGCGGGCTCCACCGGGATCCAGGGACTCGGGATCCGGGCAGAACTCCGGTTCGGATGGAGGTCCACGAAGTGCCGGACCCTCGCGCGCTGTCTACACGCTCCTCTGCAGGCAGCGGCTGGGAGCCCCGGGAACCTGGTGGAAAGGAGGCTACAGATGTCAGCGGAGTCCAGCCAGGAAGTGGTGGCGCCGCGACGTCCCTTCCTCGCGCGGTCCTCGGAATGCGATCCTCTGAGAAGTGAGCGCTCTGCCCATCAATCTCGTCCCTTCCCCCGGTGACGCTCTCACGCTCCGCTGTTCATGTTACCATTCTTTTCTGGCAACTGAACGAACCCACAGGACCATCACGAGCACCTAAAGGGCAATATTTTTTGATCTCCTCTTCTCGTAAAGGGGATGGAGGCGGAGAAACCGAAGTCTGTGCTGGGCTTGGAAGCGGACGAGGGCGCTGCGAGGAGGAGCGGAAGGCGGAGATGCGCCGCGGCTGCACACGGTCGCCCGCGCCCCACTCCCCGGCGCCTGCCTTCCGCGGAGACGTCGCTGGTGTCTGCCACGTGCGGCAGCCCGGAGCCCAGGAGGGGAGGGCGGGCCGCCTGGCGGGGGTGGGCAATGCCTCCCGGCCTCCAGACGCTATATAAACAGACCCGGACGCGAGGCAGCGGCGGAGGGCGAGCGTGACGCTGGAGGAGGAGTGGGAGCTCCCAGCCTGCGCGGGTCCTCTCTTTACCTGCCAGGGCTTTTCCGGGTAATCTGGGACCGACAGGGATGCCAGCACCCCGTCATCTCACCCAAAGGGCGCCAGGCCAGAGATTCCTGGGGAAAAGTCGCCGGCTGCAGGCGGTTGTCCCAGGAATTCCTCCATGGTGCCGGCGGGAGCGCGGCGAGCCGGGGCGCGGCGGCTGCGGGAGGTGGAGGCGACCCGGGACAGGGCCGGTCCCAGGGAGAGGGGATCCCCCGAGCCGCGCGTTCCGCCGTTCAGGCCAGGTAGGGGGTGGGGAAGGAGGAGGAAGAGGATCCCGAAGCAAGACAGAGCTGAGGCTCAGAGTTCTCAGGCAGCAGCTTCTGGAGGACACCGTGGAGACCCAAGGCGGCTTTATTTGGGTCTGCAAACACCCGGGGCCCCGGTTAAGATTCGGCAGGGCCACCCCGCTCCTCCCCCGCCTTGCACGACCGCACTCCGCGCGCCTTGTCACTGCGAGGGCTACCTGTCCTCGCACACTCCTCCGCGATGGCCAGAAAACGTGGGACTCGAGATAAGACTCTGGCAGATGGTACTCCTCCCTCCGCCTAACGTATCAATGCACCAACGCCCCTGACCGCACACTCAGGAACCTGTGGCAGCCTCGCCAAGGGACAGCGTGCCCAGCACCGTGCACTGGGCACTCTTGGATCTGGAGCTCACAACTCCGGAAGGAATGGGGACTTAGATGAGGTGACAGACATGCATGCATGCAATGCAGGCTGAATCCGCCTGTCTGGAGCCAAAAATAAACGCCATGGTCACCTCTTTGTTACAACCTGGATATGATGCCCACATGCGTGGGGTAGACATGCTTGGGATAGATAAGCCTGTGGACTTCAGACGGTATTTTCTCTTTCCCTTTTTTCTTCTTTCTCGTCCTCATCTCTGTCCCTCCCTCCTTTTCTTCTCGCCCTATCTCTTCCTCCCTTTCTACTCTCTCTAGTGTCTCACTTGAGAAAGACCTAGATTTGAGTGGGAAGAGTTATGCCTTAAACTGTTCTCATTATAAATTCAAAATGTACTTGAAGAATACAGATCGACTGTATGATGGCATGAATAAAGCGCTATGCTGTAATATTTGTTTTTGTGAATCACTTGAATTTTAAAATAGTCTAAAAATATATTTAATAAATGTTGTTGAATGTGTCCTTTATATAAAGACCAATTACCTTTAGATTTTATATAAATGCAACTTAATCTAGAGTGCAAGGGACTTAATTCCTCACCCCCACCCCCACACATACACTATGCCTTTTGTAGTCTGCGTTATTTTCTAACCTTTTTCTCTCTAAGGAAGTGCAGTTTTGAAACACAGAAATGTGAATTCTGGGAAGCAACATAGCAGGGAGAGGTTTCCTGGGAATATTGTCAGGTGCTCAAGGAAATAAATTTGGAGAATCATTTAATTATATTGGATATATTTTTAAGTACTGATACAGTTATTAATTTTCAAAGTAAAATAACTCAAAAGTGCACTTGGAATTAAAAAAGTAAAATCTCTCACATTTTAAACAATACCTGTTTTTTAATACCTTAAAAAATAGTCTTGGATCAGGAATAGACATACTAGCATTCTATTTGTTGAATCCAGGGTGTTGAGTTGAAACATGCTTCACTGTTGTTAAACTAGCAAATGGTCTTGCATACAGCACCCATTCAGAGAAAATCGTTAATTACTATTACTTCCCCAATCAAGTACACGCAGAATACATGGTAGAAACTGAAAGGAGAAAATTACTATGTTTACTTCTGTTTTATAGCATAGTTCCAGACCATAACTTTAGCTTTTTCTCCTTTTCTGTATAATTTATTTATTTATTTTTGATTCAGAGCATAATTTCTCTTTTCCCTTCAGTCTGGTATTCTTTCACAATTCCTCATGTAAATTACCAACAGATGACAATGTGTCTAGCTAAAATGGGTATTTTAGGTTGAGTTTACAAACAAAAAACTTCAGACGACAGTTAATTTTTTTGCTCAGATAATCCAGATTAAATGCCAATATAAATGTGTGTGGATGTTGTATGTATATATGTGTATATCATATATATTATATATAATATATATTATATGTATAATATATGTGTATATTATATATAGAATACACATGGACATGGTCTTCTACATTTTGACTTACATAGAAAGTCACCCATTCTATGCCCTATTTGCACTTCCATTCTGTTAGGATTCAACTGGCAACCTCAGATTATCAGAGTCCCATGCTGCTAATAATGTACTAATAACTATAGGGACACATTGGAAAGAAAACAGCAATATTCAGTGACCTTGAATAACTTACACTCTAGTTGAAAATGCAACATAAAGACAATAGAAATAAATTACCAAAGGTGCTTGGTACTAACCTTAAATTGAGCCAAATTTAAGCCCTATATTTAAGGAAGCAGAAGGTTATTGCTTTAGTTATCTCTCTACTTCAAAATGTAGCGACTTAAAACAAATTATTTTGCTATCTCTCTTATGATTCTGTGCATTGAATAGGCTCAGCTGGGTGGTTACACTTCCTGTGACGCAGGCTGAGGCCGAGGAGGTTGAATGGGCTGAGCCAAGATGGCTACTTTACATGGCTGACAGTTGGCAGTGACTGTCAGCTGGGGGGTCATGGGGCTGTCAACTGGAGTGCCTCAGCTTCCCTCCATATGGCCCCTGCATGTGGCCTGAGCTTCTCATACCATGGTAGCTAGTATCCAAGAGAGAGCAACCCAAGAACCTGTGTTCCAAGAGGGAGAAAACAAAAACTGTCAAGTCCTCTTAAAAGCTAAGTCCGGAACTGGCACAGCCTCTCTTAGGGAGCAGACACTGGACAAGCCCAGATTCAAGGATGAGGTGGAGGTAGGGGATAAAATGAACATCTCACTGAAAAGTTTGACGGAGAATGTGTGGCCATTCTTAATCCACTTTAGATATTCAAAGGCACAGAAGTAGGGAGTTATAAAGAAGGCCTAACTAGATTAGAAACCAGATGAGGGGAGCAGTAGGGAAAGGTTTTCATATATTGGGTTCAGTAGAATAGTTCAATTGCTACAAAGATAGTGAAAGACTTTACTTTAGGGTAGAAAGACTTTTATTACCTTATATTTTTAAAAACATGATGACATGAATGGAACTTAATTTGAAAGACATGCACTCATGATTTTGCTGTGTTAGCAGATATTTTCATATGAACTGGTTAAAAGGTTTACAACTGAAAAGATAATGCCTGGAGAAAGTCTGTAGTTTCACAAACCAAACGAATGTCATCAGCAACAAACTTTGGGGTATGAGTTTTTACCCCATCACTTTAGAGTTGTAAGTTGGTAAATTTTGTTGTTAAATATAATAACAAGACTGTAAGAGAAAATGTAAATTGAGTTATTTTTAAGGTTATAAAATAGTAACTTTAAATTTTTAAGAAATTATATTGAAATGTATCCATTATCTTTGATCTTGAAATGGTAGTGTTTATTTTCATTTCATTCATTTTCATCTATACACATAAAGATAATGTGTGTAGAAATGAAGATGCATTCATACTTCTTTTATCTGATAGAGATCCCTGGAATATGAAAAATCTTGAAAGTTTTCTTTCTGGATAAACTATTAGACTACTTTCTTATTACTCTGTATTTGGCTAAATTACCTGTTTCTGAAAACAAAAGCATTCTGCAATGAAAAAGGAGAGATAAATGTACTAAACAGCAATTTTAATAAAAATACATTTAAATTATAAATTATGCAATTCATTTTGTATAATTAAGATACATTACTAAAGTCTTCCATTTTTTTTCCTCTGGCATTTCAATATTTGCCACTACACTATAAAGAAAAACAAGAATCAAATTACATATTAAAATTGTGATATTACCCAGTCACTATCATCTAAATTCCTTACCAAAAGAGCCCTGAGTCCATTTCTATATATATTCAGGTGCTGTTTGACAGAGGATACAGAGATGAACATTTGAATTTTCAGCGCCATAAGGGAGTTAAAAGGTGCTTGCAATTAAATGTGGTAGAAATTAAAAAGTGACAAATACTAAAAGGGAAAGAAGGAGGCTATTTCTACTTGACCTAAATATTTTCTAACTAGACAAGATTCTTTACCTTATGAAATTTAAACTCTAAGTAATAAAATATACTTCCAAATAGTTTTTCCTCTACCAGTATACTATATCTTATTGTAATATTTTCTTTTCCCATTTATTTAGTTATCACACACTTATTTAGCACTTACTACATGCCAGACATGTAATCCAAGTCTTTTCCAAACATTAAGTCATTTAATCTTTTTTTTTTTTTTTTTTGAGACAGAGTTTGACTCTTGTTGCCCAAGCTGGAGTGCAATGGCACAATCTCAGCTCACTGCAACCTCCTCTGCCTCCTGGATTTAAGCTATTCTCCTGCCTCAGCCTTCTGAGTAGCTGGGATCACAGGCGTGCGCCACCACACTCGGCTAATTTTTGTATATTTAGTAGAGACGGGGTTTCACCACGTTGGCCAGGCTGATCTTAAACTCCTGACCTCAGGTGATCCACCCACTTTGGCCTCCCAAAGTGCTGGGATTACACGCATGAGCCACTGTGCCCGGCCAAGTCATTTAATCTTATAAATAATTTAATTATGTAGTTTCTATCAATATCTCCACTTAATAGTTTAAAAAACAAGGGCAAGTAAGTGGTAAGCATCTTTCCCAAATAAGTGCTAGCAAATGCTAGGGCATGTACTTAATCCCAGGCATTTTGTGCCAGATTCCACGCTGTTAACCACTATACCATATTTTTCTAATATTTTACTATTTTCTTTCCATGACAAAGGTATTAATTCTCTCTCTCTCCCTTTTTTATTTCTGTCTTTGTGAGAAGATTAAAGGAGCTAAACAAAAAAGCTGAGTTTTGGAAAGATGATAGTCTAGTTTTATAACCTGAAATCCTCTCTATTCATATTTTTTTGTGGAGTATGAAGAAGGGGGTACAGTAATGTAACCATACATTTATATTTTACACATTATGTAAATATAATTCTGTATTTTTTAGTTCATATAATTATAATTTTATGTAGATCATATATCAGATTTTAATCTTAGATTTGACCTTTATCTTTTCATGTAAAATACTTGCATCATTTTAGAAAGAGTGTTTTGCATGTCAACTTCAACACAAGTTTGCTTGTGTCGAACAAGTAAATTACATTCATTTATTTCAAGTGAAAAATTCAAATAATTTTTGGAATGATGAGATCAAATGGTAATAAAGAGAATGTTAAATTTGTAGAAAATATATTTTTATAATAGCTCAATACAAAATATCATGGCGAACATTTTAAGGAGATACAATGAATAAGCGAAGCCAGTGAAACATGCTAAAGAAGCCACTGAATGACACATGGCATGTTCTACTTTTTCTCTTTTGGAGAAAGAGAAAATAAAGAACGCCATGCACACATTATATATTAGATACACAATCTTTTTCAGGCAAGATATTTATGAATATGCAATAAATAAACCAAAAATGTTTTAACATTTTCCCTTCTGAAACATACTAATTTCAGTTAACAAGACATATATTGAGTATATTATATAATCCAGGCATTGAAGATACCATAGTGAACACCACAGGCAAAAAAATCCTGTCTTCAGACAATCCACAGCAAAAATATATTAATTGTGGGGCCTAGTGTTTTAAAAAAAAAAAGACATGGAGGAAAATAAAGCAGTGAAAATGAAAAGCAATATAGAATCCCAAAAGTTACAGTGGTGTACGAAGGACACTTTAAGGATGCTGGTTTGAGCTATGAGACTCCACTTCTACACAGATTTTGTTCCACTTCTGCCACCCCTGACAAGAAAATCAACCCTGCCTCTTCCGGCACCTCCTCAGCCTCCTCATCGTGAAGACAAAGAGGATGAGGACTTATGAATAAGAAATACATTTTTCTCTTCCTTATGATTTTCTTAACATATTTTTCTCTAGTTTATTGTAAGACTACTGTATATAGTACGTATAACATAAAAAATCTGTGCTAATTGACTATGTATTCAACATGGCTTCTGGCAACAATAGGCTATTAGTGGTAAAGTTTTGGAGGAGTCAAAAGTTATACACAGAATTTTGACTATGCTGAAGGTCAGTGCCTCTAACCCCCTTGTTGTTCAAAAATCAACTGTAATTTCTGATAAAGCATACTGGACAGTCCTGAGTAGGTAACATTTGAACAAATATCTGAAAGAAGCAAGGAATTGACCATTGGATGTCATGAGAAATTGAATTCTAAATAGAAAGAACAGCAAGTGAAGGGCCCTGAGGTAGGAGTTTGGGATCTCAGAACAGAGGGCCCTGAGTGTGGAGAATAATGGACCTAAGATCTAGAGGTGATGGAGTAGGGAATAATGTTAATATAATTTATTGTAGAGATTTTGGCTTTTAGTCTGAGTCAGAGGGGAAGCCTTCACTCAGCCTTCACAAGTGAAGGGCCTTGATTAGAGACGGACAAGATAGGACTTACTTTTTAACAAGATGATCCTGGTGACAATGCAGGAAATAGATTACATGGTAGATAGGAAGCAAGGCGAGACTAGTTGCAATAATCCAAAAATGGTGATGTCTTGCATCAGGGTAATGGAGATGATGAAAGTGGTTAAAATATTATCAGAATATTCTGACTATGAAACTGCATTGAAGTTGTTGAAATGAATGTAGGATGTGAGAGGGAAGACTCAACATATTCCAAGTTTCAGATCCAAATACTGGCTAAATTGAATTTGTCTTTTGCTGAGATGGGAAGAAATTCAGAGAAACTAGTTTAAAGGACACAATCAAGTGTTCATTTTAGAATTATCGAATTGACATTGCTAATGGTGAAAATATTGACTAAACATTCAGATATAAGACTTTGGAATTCTGCAGGAGTAAGTGAGTACATGGAATCTAAATTGGAGATATAAATGAAGAAGTACTTAGAGTACTTAAGGAAGTGAGTGTATATAGATGAGAGAATGAGCAAAGGTGGCCAATAAAAAGAGCTTGAGGAGATCAGGAGAAAGCAGTTAAGTAGTGGTTAGTGCTGCAAAATGAAGTCAAGTGAAGAAACTGTCTCAAAGAGAAGGGAGTGATCAGTTTCATCAAATGAAGTTGATAAGGCCAAAAAGATGAAGTTGGATTAGCGGTTGCAAAATTCCTTATCCCATTAGAAAGCAGAAGAGTTAATAGCATCAAATGCAGCCAAAGGCAGCACTTTAGACACTGGAAAAGATGATCTCTACAGAAAATCTGATTATAAAGTTTTAATTAACATAATTATGTTAAGCACTTAATGACCAAAGCAAAGAATGTATTTAATTTTGTGCTATTCAAGCGTATTTATCTCTAAAAGCAATTATCAAAAGCAAATGAAAAGATTCCAAACATTACTAGTTTATAAGAATTTAAATTATCCTGTTCCATATTGTGCAAGTAAGACACAATGGATTTTTAACTAACTGCATATAGGCCTCTCAAACTTCTAATGCAAACATTTTGAAAGGCTAAACTGATTTAGCTATCCTTGCCTTCTGATCCTATCTGAACAACTTGAAGGTTCATAGCTAGCCATTCGTTAACATGCTCAATAAATTTTATTGACAAGCTAGTCTTTCTAAAACCTGTACTGAGCCATCTTTCTATTATCCAAACAAACTCAAGTTCACAAGATTTCAGATGTAAAGTATTTCTGCTCTCTTTTCTTTTGGAAGTCTTTGAGGATCTAATTTGACTCTTCCTTTCTATATATTTTTGTATATATTTGCACACATATACACATGTAATTTCTATCAGCATAACTATGCAGCCAAAATGTTAACTGTCTCTTAATACTCATAAAAATATTTTGTCATATGAAATAGGGAGCTATTACTATGCATGGATAGATGTGCTAAAGTATTGGTGGGGAGTGAGAGAGAGAGATAGTAACTAGGGACAAATGGCAAAACCAAATTCACATGCAGTGCATCTTAACACTAATACATTCTGTATAAAGTCATCAGCATATAGCACTGTCAAATTCTATGCAATAGCCAACACTCACTATTTCCCTGTTCAGTATGTGATTCTGTCTAAACACTTCAGTTTTGATTATGTTTATAATAAATAAACAAGTAAATAAAATCTTAAAATGATAGAAGCTCATGTTAATCATGTCTGAAATGCCTATGAATTACATTAATAATTCTGGTACACAATATTATTTTAGTCATAAGAGTTGAGATTTTTAATTTCACACCAAGATAAGTAAATATATCTTTGAGATCCCCCTTTGAGAAGCTTTAAGAAGTTGTATGCCGTCAACATAGCGGCAGTGAAAAGAACAGCTGGGACAAGGAAAATCTATGTTCAAAATCCATTTGCATTACTTACCATCTGAATGACCCCGAAAACACATGAAACTATCCTGCCTGTCATCTTGTAGAACTGTGGAATGGGAAAATTATACCTATTTCAAGGGTTATGGTGATGATCAAAACAGGAAACATAAAGATGTTTTCTGAGATGTTAAAAATTTCTCTACTATAAAGTTTCATTTACATAGGCAGAATGAAATCAGAAAAGCATGCTGATAGTGAGATCTCATTTATTAGTTAATCACTTATGATAAAATTTATCTTGTAAATCACAGTAAGAATTGCATGTAATTTATAAATTTAGAAAAAAACATTAACTGTGTGATACATTTGTAAAATTATTTTGTGAAAATTTAATTACTAAATCTAAGTATTAACTACCCATAAACATGTATTCTATTATTCTTTATTTTATAAACTCACCAATTTTATAATCAAAACATAAAAACCTTGAGTTTATCATGTGTAAAGTTTGCTTTTAGTAACAAATGGAAACTAATGCCATAAATAATGTACCACTATTCTATTTTGAATAGTCCCTAAGAGCTACGTCTACTCTATTATAGTAAGTACACATATGTTAATTTAAGAGCATTGGATAAAATAAAGATGTTGGTTTGAGAATTCCATTCCTAGTGCTTATAAATAAAAAAAGAATTGCATGTAATGTAATAGTCAGTCTATTCCCCAAAATAGAGGAGAAAAGTCCTCTCTAATCTAATCTGATGGTGACATTTACCCTCAGCTAAACTCAAAGTATCTTGATCCAAGACATTAAGCCTTTAAAACCACTACTAGATTATTAATGATTAAAGTTTTAGTAATAATAATGCATTATTGTTACTAATGATAATTTTCATTATACCATCTATAATACTGTTCGACAAGTGCTCATTTATGTGTCAGGTACATAGTTAAACATGTTTTACATTTATTATCTAATTTAATACTTGGAGAACCTCTGTAACCAACTGTCTTTTAGTAAGAATTACCCCCTTTTCAAAGATAAGTAACCAAAGCTCAGGAGGATAAAGGAACTTGCAGTAAGTCACTCAGCTACTACTGACAAATCTGTGAAATGAATGTATGTCTCTGCAATTTTAACATCTGAGCTCATTGTATTAGACAAAAGTCTGTGCATTTTGCTGAAATTAATGTAACCTTTTGTAAAATAGATATAATCCAGATTAATTTTAAAATCATAGGTTACACGCTTTCTTAAATGACATTTGCTTTTCATGATATGCTGAGGTGATATTTCAAATAATGTTTTCTCATCTTTTAGATAAAACATCAGAAGTAGTTTCAGGATAGAAGTGTTCATATCCAGCCAAGCTAAGCTTCATAAGTGAAGGAGAAATAAAATCCTTTACAGACAAGCAAATGCTGAGAGATTTTGTCACCACCGGGCCTGCCTTATAAGAGCTCCTGAAGGAAGCACTAAACATGGAAAGGAACAACTGGTACCAGCCACTGCAAAAACATACCAAATTGTTAAGACTATTGACGCTATGAAGAAACTGCATCAACTAATAGGCAAAATAACCAGCTAGCAATATAATGACAATATAAGGATCAAATTGAAACATAACAATATTAACTTTAAATGTAAATGGGCTAAATGCCCTAATTAAAAGACAGACTGGCAAATTGGCTAAAGAGTCAAAATCCATTGGTGTGCTGTATTCAGGAGACCCATCTCACATGCAAAGACACACATAGGCTCAAAATAAGGGGATGGAGGAAGATCTACCAAGCAAATGGAAAGAAAAAAAAAAGCAGGAATTGCAATCCCAGTCTCTGATAAAACAGACTTTAAACCAACAAAGATCAAAAGAGACAAAGAAGGGCATTACATAATGGTAAAGGGGTCAATGCAACAAGAAGATCTAACTATCCCAAATATACATGCACCCAATACAGGAGCACCCAGATTCATAAAGCAAGTTCTTAGAGGCCTACAAAAAGACTTAGACTCTCACACAATAATAGTGGGAGATTTTAACACCCTACTGTCAATACTAGACAGATCAATGAGACAGAAAATTAACAAGTATATCCACGACTTGAACTCAGCTCTGGACCAAGAGGACCTAATAGACATCTACATCTACAAATCAACAGAATATACATTTCTCTCAGAACCACATCACACTTATTCTCAAATTGACCACATAATTGAAAATAAAACACTCCTCAGCAAATGTAAAAGAACAGAAATCACCACAGTCTCTCAGACCACAGTGCAATCAAATTAGAACTCGGGATTAATAAGCTCACTCAAAATCACAAAACTACATGGAAACTGAACAACCTGCTCCTGAATGACTACTGGGTAAATAACGAAATGAAGGCAGAAATAAAGATGTTCTTTGAAACCAATGAGAACAAGACACAACGTACCAGAATCTCTAGGACACATTTAAAGCAGTGTGTAGAGGGAAATTTACAGTAGTAAATGCCCACAAGAGAAAGAAGGAAAGATCTAAAATCGACACCCTAATATCACAATTAAAAGAACTAGAGAAGCAAGAGCAAACAAATTCAAAAGCTAGCAGAAAACAAGAAGTAACTAAGATCAGAGTGGAACTGAAGTAGATAGAGACACAAAAAAAAAAACCTTCAAAAAAATCAATGAATCCAGGAGATGGTTTTTTGAAAAGATCAACAAAATAGACTGCTAGCCAGACTAATAAAGAAAAAAGAAAGAAGACTCAAATAGACACAATAAAAAATGATAAAGGGGGTGTCACCACCTATCCCATGGAAATACAAACTACCATCAGATAATACTATAAACACTTCTACGCAAATAAACTAGAAAATATAGAAGAAATGGGTAACTTCCTGGAGAAATACACCCTCCCAAGTCTAGGCCAGGATAAAAGGTTCTGAAATTGAGGCAATAATTAATAGCCTGCCAAGCAAAAAAAGTCCAGGACCAGACAGATTCACAGCCAAATTCTACCAGAGGTACAGGGAGGAGCTGGGAGCTGGTATCATTCCTTCTGAAACTTTTCCAAATAAACAAAAAAAAGGGGGGGGGGCGGGAATCCTCCCTAACTCATTTTATGAGGCCAGCATCATCCTGATACCAAAACTTGGCAGAGACACAACAAAAAAAGAAAATTTTAGGCCAATATCCCTGAAAAAATCCATGCGAAAATCCTCAATAAAATACTGGCAAACCAAATCCACCAGCATATCAAAAAGCTTATCCACCATGATCAAGTCAGCTCCATCCCTGGGATGCAAGGCTGGTTCGATGTACACAAAGCAATAAACGTAATCCATCACATAAACAGGACCAATGACAAAAACCACATGATTATCTCAATAGATGCAGAAAAGGCCTTCAACAAAATTCAACAGCCCTTTACGCTAAAAACTCTCAATAAACTAGGTATTGATGGAACGTATCTCAAAATAATAAGAGCCACTTATGACAAATCCATAGCCAATATCATACTGAATGGGCAAAAACTGGAAGCATTCCTTTTGAAAACTGGCACAAGACAAGGATGCCCTCTCTCACCACTCCCATTTACCATAGTATTGGAATTTCTGGCCAGGGCAATCAGACAAAAGCAAGAAATAAAAGAGTATTCAGTTAGCAAAAGAGGAAGTCAAATTGTCTCTGTTTGCAGATGACATGATTGTATATTTAGAAAACCCCATTTTCTCAGCCCAAAATCTCCCTAAGCTGATAAGCAACTTCAGCAAAGTCTCAGGATACAAAATCAATGTGCAAAAATCACAAGCATTCCTTTACACCAATAACAGACAAACAGAGAGCCAAATCATGAGCGAACTCCCATTCACAATTGCTACAAAGAGAATAAAATACCTAGGAATTCAGCTTACAAGAGATGTGAAGGACTTCTTCAAGGAGAAATACAAACCACTGCTAAAGGAAATAAAAGAGGACACAAACAAACTGAAGAACATTCCATGCTCATGGATAGAAAGAATCAATATCGTGAAAATGGCCATGCTGCCCAAAGTAATTTATAGGTTCAATGCCATCCCCATCAAGCTACCACTGACTTTCTTCACAGAATTGGAAAAAACTACTTTAAAGTTCATATGGAATGAAAAAAGAGCCCGCCATTGCCAAGACAATCCTAAGCCAAAAGAACAAAGCTGGAGGCATCACGCTACCTGATTTCAAACTATACTACAAGGCTACAGTAACCAAAACAGCATAATACTGGTACCAAAACAGATATATAGACCAATGGAACAGAACAGAGGTCTCAGAAATAACACCACACATCTACAACCATCTGACCTTTGACAAACCTGACAAAAACAAGAAATGGGGAAAGGATTCCCTATTTAATAAATGTTGCTGGGAAAACTGTCTAGCCATATGCAGAAAACTGAAACTGGATCCCTTCCTTAAACCTTATACAAAAATTAACTCAAGATGGATTAAAGACTTAAGTGTAAGACCTAAAACCATAAAAACCCTAGAAGAAAACCTAGGCAATACCATTCAGGACATAGGCATGGGCAAAGACTTCATGACTAAAACACCAAAAGCAATGGCAACAAAAGCCAAAATAGACAAATGGGATCTAATTAAGCTAAAGAGATTCTGCAAAGAAAGAGAAATTAAGGAACTATCAGCAGAGTGAACAGGCACCCTACAGAATGGGAGAAAATTTTTGCAATCTATCCATCTGACAAAGGGCTAATACCCAGAATCTACAAAGAACTCAAACAAATTTACAAGAAAAAAACAACCCCATCAAAAAGTGGGTGAAGGATATGAACAGATACTTCTCAAAAGAAGACATTTATGCAGCCAACAAACTTATGAAAAAATGCTCATCATCACTGGTCATTAGAGAAATGCAAATCAAAACCACAATGAGATACCATCTTGTGCCAGTTAGAATGGCAATCATTAAAAAGTCAGGAAACAACAGATGCGGGAGAGGATGTGGAGAAATAGGAACACTTTTACACTGTTGGTGGGAGTGTAAATTAGTTCAACCATTGTGGAAGACAGTGTGGCGATTCCTCAAAGATCTAGAACTAGAAATACCATTTGATCCAACAATCTCATTACTGGGTATAAACCCAAAGGATTATAAATCATTCTACTATAAAGACATATGCAAACATATGTTTATTGCAGGCTGTTCACAATATCAAAGTTTTGGAATCAATCCAAATGTCCATCAAAGATAGACTGGATAACGAAAATGTGGCACATATATACCACAGAATACTATGCAGCCATAAAAAAGGATGAGTTCATGTCCTTTGCAGGGACATAGATGAAACTAGAAACCATCATTCTCAGCAAAATAACACAAGAAGAGAAAAACAACACCACATGTTCTCACTCATAAGTGGGAGAAGAACAATGAGAACACATGGACACAGGGAGGGGAACATCACACACTGGGGCCTGTTGTGGGGTGGAGGTCTAGGGGAGGGATAGCATTAGGAGAAATACCTAATGTAGATGATGAGTTGTTGGGTGCAGCAAACCAACATGGCACATTATAACTATTTAACAAACCTGCACGTAGTGCACATGTACTACAGAAGTTAAAATATAATAAAAAAGTTAAAAACACAGGGAAGTAAATATTGAGTAAAGAATAATATTATGTAATTGTTTCTTGTTTGCAGTGTGGAACTCTTTGAAAATTTGATTAAAGATAAACAGATCCTCTCTTTAGAAAAGTATGAATATAGACATAATGTTTCCATACAAATTTAGGAAGCTCACAAACTTCCATGTGACCATCTATAAATTCTTGGTTAAAGAGTCCTATTTTCAGGATGAAAGATAAAAAATTCATAAAAGGAATATAGTATAAATAATATTTTAAAGGTAAAATATAAATATATGCAAGTACATGCTTATATATACATATATACATATATACTTATATACATATATGTATACATATATACATATATACTTATATACATATATGTATACATATATACATAAATATATACTTATATTCATATAAGTACACATATATACATAAATATATACACAAATATATACATATATACACACATATATATACATACAACACATAAAACCAAACAAAAATAAGGGGAAATGTTATAAAATGATCTGATAACATTTAATAGTCATTGAAAGCATCTTTATAAAAATTTTAAATGTCTATAAGGAGTTTCCCAGAGAATTGGAAAGTTTATATGCATAATGTTAAGAAAAGCACAGTTTGAAAGATCCTATTTTCATGAAACAGGAACCATGTAAGAAGAGTGCAAAGTAAAATGATAAAAATTAAATATTTTGAAATGTTATAAAAAAAGAAATGTTGACATCACATTAAACAAGATTTCTAAATATATATTATATTTTCTTGCTTATAAAGATGTTAAGAACAGTTGTTTTTTGTTTTTTTTTTTTTTTGTCTGGGACTTCACTGGGAATTCCTTGCAAAACAAAGGCTGGATATGTCTGTTGCAGTTCATAAAGGACACCATAACTGTAGTATTTTTCCATAAAGCTGGTGCTATGATTTGAAAGTGTCCCCTTCAAAATTCAAGTGTTAAAATTTGATGGCCAATTAGATGGTATTAAAAGGTGGGGGCTTTGAGAGGTGCCTGGGTTATGAGGGCTCCTCCTCACTTGAATGAGATAAAGGCCCTTATACAAGAGGCTTCAACATAAATAAGAACAAAAATCTTGTCTTCTGCTGCAACATGGATGCAGCTGGAGGCCATTATCCAAAGCAAACGAATGCAGAAACAGAAAACCAAGTATCGCATGTTCTCACTTCTTAGTGGGAGCTAAACATTGGGTACACGTGGGCATAAAGATGGCAACTATAGACACTGTTGACTACTAGAAGTGGGAGGGAGGGAGGTCTGAGGATTGGAAAACTACCTGTCAAGTACTCTGCTTAATATCTGGGTGATGAGATCATTCGTACCTTAAACCTCAACAACATGCAATTTACCCATCTAACAAGCCTGTGTATGTACCCCTTAAATAAAAGAAAAAAAAAAAGAGGCTTCAAGGTAGCGTGTGGCTAGCTTGCCCTTCCACCTCCCACTATGTGAGGGCACACCAGTCTCCTCTGGAGGACGTGACAACAAGCAGCCATCTTGGAAGCCTAGAGCAGCCCTCACCAGCCAGCCAAAATGGCCAGGACCTTGATCTTGGCCTTCTCAGCCTCCAGAACCGTGAGAAAAATTAATTTGTTTATTATAAGCTACCCAGTCTGTGGTATTCTGTTACAGCAGCACAATACGGACTAAGACAGCTGGTAAAGAGGAGTTTGCAAATAGATTCTAAAAATTGTACTCACGATACATGGAGATATACCCCCATTATATATTATCATTAGCAGAATCTTCCAAATTAAAATACGAATATTTTTAATTAGCCAGTTTCTAACTAGTACTGAGGTCTTAAAACATTTTATTCATGATTACCTTTTTATTTTTTGGAAAGAACTGAAATACATATTTGAAATATTAAATTTGTGTATATGAATAAATGCAAACATAACTACGTATTAACATTGAAGGTTCAAAGTCTCTTTGGTGTTTGACAGTATGATGTATTTCCCAAATAGCAGAAACTTTTTTATTATAGTTATTGAAGGAAACAAAGCCAACAAAAATATCTCATCCCTAGCCCTAGCACACTGCAAATGCTCAATACATGTTTTTCAAATGAATGAACATGTAAGTGAATATCTGAATATTATCACTGCCCGTAGAGAATATGTTAGATTTATATAACCTCAGCATTGAAAGTATTCTCAAAAATCACTTACACAAAATATTCTGCAGCTTGTACCACAACTACATGCTTCGAGAGGCTGTCAAACTCTTGTTAAAAGACTTACAATATCAGGGAATGATCTACCTCGCAAGTCACCCATTCCATCCTTGTACAACACAGCTACAAAATTCCTCCATGTATTGAAATAAAATCCATCTCTCTGTACATTGGTCATGATTTTATGCCTTGTGCTCACTCAGTATCAGTTCAATTCCTTTTCCACATGACAGCATTTTCAATATTTGATGATGTTCTATTTAGTAAAGATCATTCGTGGATCCTATGTAGTTTATTTTATAACATTTTCAGTGTCTTTTAGTTTTTTGAGAGGAAATTAGTTGGCTTATTTTTTATGAACATATCAAAAGAATTTTGCTGCAGCAGGTAAATATGCTCTCAGGTACATAATATGTGCCCATTAATCTTATAAATGCATTTTTTCCATCCTCATCAGGAACAAAAGGAACAGAAGTTCACATCTGCAGGGAAAGCAGAATAGTATATATTGACATTCTTGCTTCAGGCTGTATTAAGTCTCCTATGCTCTGTGATAATACAGTCCAAAGCAAACTGTCCTATCCAGACTTCTTCACTACATTACACAGATCCACTTGACTATATAGCATCAACACCATGCAAATTTATATGGATGAGTCAGTGACTAGCTTGGTAAAGACATTTATTATGAGACATATAAGCTCCAGAAAATAGGAGAAAAAAAGATCCTATGAAGGTTCAAGGACCCACCATATCACTGAGATTTTTAGTGATTCCATGTTCCAAGAATGCCATGGTAAAGAGCACATTGCTACATCTCATACCTTTAGAGTAACTAGCAAATTATCAGATCTCATCTCCCCCACCACTAAAATAGAAGCACAATGCCCGAAAAGCTGTCCTGGATTCTTGAGATAGCATATACCCCTTGGGAATATTGGTCTAACCATTACTGATTGGCAAACAAGAGTGCCATCTCTGAGCAGGCACAGAGCAGGAACACAGCAGGTCTAGGCAGTGGCGCAAGCAGTCTTACCTCTCAAGGTACATAACCTGGTGGATATTATAGTATAAAAAGTATCCCAGATTTAAAAAGAAGATGTTGTTTGGCATTCGTGACAAAACCCAATAAGAGGATCGCCATGTAGCTTCTAAGCTACTGGATCTGAAGGAGAAAATAATACTCTCCTTTAAAAAAAATTTCTGGCCAGGCATGGTGGCTCATGCCTGTAATCCCAGCACTTTGGGAGGCCAAGGGGGGTGGATCACGAGGTTAGGAGTTCGAGACCATCCTGGCCAACATGGTGAAACCCCATCTCTACTAAAAATACAAAAATTAGCCAGGCGTGATGGCAGGCGCCTGTAATCCCAGCTACTCTGGAGGCTGAGGCAGGAGAATCACTGGAACCAAGGAGGTGGAGGTTGCAGTGAGCCGAGATTTTACCACTGTGCCACTGCACTCCAGCCTGGGCAACAGATGAAGACTCCATCTCAAAAAAAAAAAAAAAATTCTGGTGGCTAGTAGGTCCTGGTAGAGCAGCACTTGACCATAGGACAGCAAGCGACCATGTACCAGGCTACCAGAGCTTACAATATGAGCTGGATTTTATCAGATTCACCAAGTCATAGGACCAGGTGGCTTCGGCAGGAATCGTCCGTACTATGTTTATGTTACATCTGGGATTGGGCACAGGCAAGGCTAAGAACAAGGATCCAAGTAAAGTATGCAAAGATGTGACCAAGATATCCATACCACCCACCCCTGCTTCACTGGTACCTTTGTATCACCTCATGCCTGTGTCTCCACCTATCTGACAAAAGTGGACACGTTCAAGCCTGGTTTTTGGATGGGATAATTTGGTATGTGGGAAACCACCATAATTAGACTGCTGTTGTACAATTCAGGGCAATTCTAAAATTTAGTAGTGAGAATTCTTTCCAATTAGCAGAATTTTAGGCAGTACAACAGGTCATCCAGTTTGTGTGGGAAGAAGATAGCCTGAGGTAAGAAAATATATATAGACCTATCATCGATAGAAAATAGTGTGGCTGTTAGGGTCCCAGAGGGAGGAATATTGGAATATCAGACAGGAAGCTCTAGTGAAGGAAAAAAAAAAAAAATATATATATATGGATCAATGAGAGTGCAAACAAACTGTGACTCTATCTGTATAGCATATTAATGCCCATCAGAGATATCCACTATGGAAGGGGCACTGTACAAGAACTATATCAAACGACCTGGCAAACTGTCATCAGCGGAGGCTGTCTTTGCTGTCCCAGCACTGCTGTCATGGGCTAATTAATGCTGTAGCTAGGGGGCAGGCATGGAGGCTATGCATGAGCTTAACTCTAGGAGCTTCCACTCAGTAATGCTAAACTAGCTACTGTCACTGACAAATGTCCAACCTACAAGCAATAAGGACTTAGGAGTAAGTCAATTACATAGGACTTCTTCCACCCTAGAAGGAGCAGCAGTTCATTTTAACTGGGATGAACCCAAATGTAGGCTTTCCTTTTTTGCCTTTACTGTCTCAACTAGCAACTATCTGAAGGCTTATGTTATAAGTAAGCCTTGCAAGTATTATTTCAACCAACACATTATCCCACATAACATCCCATGGAATCAAGAGATCCACTTTAAAGAAATGGAGGGAGCAATGGCCACATGGCCATGGAATCTCTCTAGCCTGTCACCTACCATACCATTTAGAAGCTACTGGCCTAGTAGTGCAAATGGAACAAACTTTTGGAGAAAAATTTGGGGTGGCAATAAATGACAGATTGTGAGGGCTGGGTACCAGCAATTGTAATATTTAGAATGCATGGGTCTGTGAAACAAAGGTGGAAGTAAATAGTAGTGGCAAACTTGAATTTGTTTCTTGTCTCGGTACTTCTAGTCTCGGCATGTCTAGAAGACCTAGTTCTCAAAAGGAAGGGTACGCTTCTGCCAGAGCTTTTATGAAACTATTAAACTTTAAGCTGTTGCTGACTTCCAGTCACTTTGTGCTTCTTATGCCAGGAAACTAGCTGTCAAAGAAAGGATGAACTGTCTTGTAGGTAGCTGACCCTGATCATCAGAGGCAGAAATAGTAATTTTGGCACCCTAATGATTCATAGGAGAATTTCTTCATACTCCTGTGTCTAATTATAACAGCAAATGGACAGGTGCAGCTGTCACAGCCTGAAAAGTACCTGGCGACTGTTGCGGGGCAACGACAGCTGATGGAGTGGGGGTAAAAGAAGAATTTACTAAGACAGCTATAGGGAAAGGAAGGCAGATTTATTAGAGAAAGTAGGAAAATATGTTGCCAGAGAGAGAACGGGCTGCCGGAAACTGACTGACTGTAAAGAAACAAAGGCTTGCTGGAGATTTATAGGTTAGTGTTTATGCTGTCTGTCAAAGAGAGCTTTCTGCAGTACTGATAATGCCAAGGTTGCAGTGAGCTAACTTGCAGGTGTCTTGTGATAGTTGGGCACAGAGAGATTGTGAGTTACTTGCACAGGAGGGCTGTGTGTCCTGGATCTTGAAGAAAGGCAGACTTGTAGCTTATCTCCTTTCTGTCTTCGCTTTCCCCTACTCCCACCAGCCTGACTCCTTTTGCCTAATTAGGATTCCACAGTGACCAGGGCTCAGATCTTTTAAAGATGATATTTGGGCAACCCATCCAAGTGAGCCACCTAGACTAGGCAATGTGCTGACAAATAGCGAGAGGAATCTGGAATAGGTAGTAGAGAAGAGAGATGGTAAGTACTAAGTTATGCCTTTAGGACCAGCACCATTATGAGCTTTGTTTGTCTTATTAACTTTCCTCTTGTAAGTTACCCTTGGAAAAGAACCACCTTAAACCACAAGGAAGCTGTTTATAGATGGGGTAAACTCACGGCTTGAAGCAATAAGTGGACTGTAATGGATGCTGTGATTTGGCACCCAGGTCCTTCTTTGGACTGAGACTGTCATTTTCCCAATTGTCAGGAATGTTGGCTGCTTGTGGCGTAGAGCGACATCTTTCGCTCTGGAAATTGTCAATCAATAAAGAAGGTTGTCTCTTGTAACGTTATACACCCTTATCCCACCACCGTCCTTCGGGAGGTAGCTTACAACCAGTGGTTGAATGTTGAAAGAGTGCAAAGGCTTGGATCCCTTGCCTTACTGGGGATAAATCTGAAAAACAGTCTGTTTCAGAGCTGCTCATCCAATCGTCTGAAATACGTGCTGCAACCACAACACAGTTCAGCCTTTCCCTCTGCCCAGTCCTCCTTCCCTCACCTCTTCCTGATGTGATTCCATATAACAGTCTCTGTTGAACCTCCTGCATTTAACAATGATATATATTCAATCCAGAATGTGTAGGACCATTTGTTCGGTACCTCATTTACTATATTCTACAGCAACTATGGTATTTTCTTCAGATTATAAGCATATATTAACTAGTATTATAAAACCACTTTGAAGACATTTTCTAAAAATGACTTAAGGACTCTTTATGGTCCCTGTTTAATTAACATTGATAACATACTTTATAGAAAAGATTACTTGGGGAGAAATAAAAACAATATATTCAACAGCTATAATGACTGCTTTTAATGTCAAAACACTGAAATACAATCCCTTTAATATGAAGTCTACAGTGTTAAAACCTCATATATTACCATTAAATCATCAGTTGAATGATTGGTCTTTTCCTTCACGCTCATTTGGATAACCTGGCAAAATATGAGCCAGGAAAGGAAAGTCTTAACAGTTAAAATACAAGTGTGCATTTTGGATTTACAGTAGCTATAAGTAACACTGAATTCAAAAATAATAATCTTACTCTCTTATTTTAGGTTTACTTTTACCTTGACTTTTTGCTAGCAAAGATCTACCTTGTCAAGATAATGGTCCACTGTCTGTCACTCATGTATCCTGTTACAGGGTGGACTTAAGAAAACTGACAGTTTCCATGAATAACAATCACACATCCAATGATGTCTCCAGAAAAGGGCCTTTTATTGATGAAAAAGGGACCAGAGCTTTTTACCTTTTCCCCTGACCTTGTCCTTGTGCAAGGTAGAATATAGCTGAGGTCAGGTTCACCTTCAGCCATCTTCCTCACTGCATCAGACACTATCAAATAAGACCAGAGATCTGTCCATGACTTTTTGTGTGAATATTTTCTGGGATAGACTTTAAATCTTATATTTCCTCAAAAAAAATTTCCAAATATTTATTAAATAATAAAAGGATGCATTTGTGTGTATCAATAACTTAATATAATAATGATTACAATTATTTGTTGAATAATCTTCAGTCACAGGTTTTCTAACACAGCTACACATTAATTTCAAAATATTTCCTAAAACTAAAGGCCTATTTATTAAATCCCACTCCATTCCTCAAGCCTCCAGTGGTAAAATCAAGACCCCTACATATGGTGTGGGAGAATGAAAAGTGATATTTTCATTCAAACAACTAAAAATGTCTATATATTTCAGCAAAAATAGCAAACCCTTTAGTCACATTTTATATAGTTCTTATGCTCTTAAAAAGTGTAAGCCAATTTTTTAGACAATGTGGATACAGCAGTTAACAAAGTTCTCTGTCCTCATAGATCTTAAATTTTAATGTGGGAAGACAGAAAATAAATAAAAATAATGTATAGTAGACTATATAGTTTAATATAAAGTGACTTTATAAACTTAAGAAAACTGACAGTTTCCATGAATAACAATCACACACCCTAAGATGTCTCCAGAGAAGCAGGGTATGAAGCACCAAGGGCATTGCATTTAGCAAGAGAATAGACGTGCAAGTTCTCATAGTGATGACCACTGGGCAGTCTTAATGGAGAAGACATAACCAAAAATATACTTAGGGAAGAGCATTTCAAGCAAAGAAAATAGTAAATGTCAATGCCTTGAGTAGGATGGTGCCTAATATGTTACCTAGGTGTCATTTCGTAATTCCTCTTGCGTTAGAACACCAATTTCTTCCTTCCGCCACAAACAATTCCTTTATTTTTAGTATTTAATTATTTTTAATTAAATTTTAACTGTGGCAGGAAGTCGAATAATTGACAATTGTTTCTCTGGTGTCAAAAGAAATTTCTCCGCACAGCTATGTTTATATACACTTGTATATATACATATAAACATTTATATATATTGATTTATATACATTATTTTATATATTTATATATACTGATATATGTATATCTATATATGTAAGTATATATGGTGGTGAAAACATGGTAAGAAACATATTTTCAACAATTTTCTTCAAAAAATCCAAAACCACATACTCTGATGTGTAAGTGCGAGATAAATATTGGGTATTCAGGGACATAAAGACGGCAACAATGGACAATGGGGATGACTGGGGTGGGGAATGGAGGTGAGCAGGGGCTGAAAAACGGTTAGGTACTATGCTCAGTACTTGAGTGACGGCATCTTCTGTACTCCAAACCTCAGCATCACTTGTTACAATATACTTAGGTAACAAATCTGCAAAAGTACCGCCTGAATCTAAAATAAATTTGAAGAAATTAAAAAGATAATAAAATTAATAACCACTAAAAACAAAGTAATTAATTAATTAAAACACTCAAGTGACTTGTAAAAATAAAAGTAAATGTGCTATCAACCACACAAAAAAATGAAAGAACCTTAAATGCATATTGCTAAGTGAAAGAAGACTGTTTTAAAAGTTGCACGCTATATTACTTCAAGGATATGACATTTAGTAAAAGCTAAGACTACAGAAGCAGTAAAAATATCAGTAGTTGTCAGGGGATTGGGGAAAGGTGTAGAGATGAAAATGGGGAACTCAGGGCATTTTAGGGAAATTAAACTGTCTTATATGATACTATAATGATAGAAACATGTCATTACATATTTGTAAAAATCCTCAGAACTGTACAACACAGAGTGAACCCTGATGAAAACTATGGACTTTGGTAAGTAATAACCTATTAATATTGGTTCATCAATGGTAACAAATTTACTGCACTAATGCAAAAATGTTAATAATAGGGGAAACTGTGTGCAGCAAGGAGAGGAACTATATGGGAACTCTCAGTTCTTTCTCTGCAATTTCTTTGTAAACTTAAAACTGTTCTAAAAAATAAAGCCTATCAAAAAGAAATGTTTCCTTCTCAAAGTGGTGTGGTGTATAACAGACTTCTGTAGCTGTTTTAAGATACAATAATAATGATAAGAGCACATGTTTTGAATAAACTTGCTATACATCAGGCATTTCTCTAAATAATTTACATAAATTTACACATTTAATTTTTATAAGAACCCTATTATTCACACGTTGCAGATGAGGAAACTGAGTCATAGAGAGGTTAAGTAGCTTGCACTGTGTAACTAGTAACACACACCTCGTAATTCACACAGCTAGGGAAACAGTGCTATATACTGTCCTTTTTCATGAATATTGCATACGATTATTTCAAATCGTAATTTTTTTTCTGTGTAGGCACATACACATTCCATTTGAGAATGTTGAGAGAGTAGATTCCACTCTGTTGGAACAGTTCTTGAATCCACTCTGTATAGGCTACAAGTTCCCATTTCTACTTCTGTTGCAGACATCACTAATCAATCAATGCCCTCTTTCCAGGTAATTCTGAAAGCCACACTCACGATCATTTCCACACAACACTCTAGGTAAGCCTGAGTGTAGACTGGAGCTGGTAATCACCTGGAACCTATTTGGCATTCTGCAAGTAGGCAATAGAATCATTTAAAAGCACGTAAGAAGGAACTGGCACACACAATAGTATATTTTACAGAATTCCTACGTCAGCATTATGGAATATGGCTTGCCTTGTGAAAAGACCAGAAATATAGATTTCAATCAAGAGGCTATGGAATAATTCAGTCATGAGATGATGAGGTCCAGGGTAAGGAGTTAGCTTCAGGGAAGGGGAAGATGGTCCAGAGAAAGGAAACATTATAAAGCAGGACATAAGAGCAAGAAGAGCTGAGTCAAAAAAGGTCCTTCCCTTATCCTTTCAGCTTTTCCTTAGTCTGTACCTACAGTATATGAGTTATACATTTCAGTTCAGTCGATATGATCTTTAGCAAGAAAGAGCTGTTAGCATACAAGCAGAGAACAGGTTAAACTAACACACAAAATTATTCCTGTCCTAAAACCACTACTTAGAATCAGAAAACTTAATTCCTGCTGTCTAAGTAGGGAGTGCTTTTGCATTTTATTTTTAGAGCATGGTATAATGGACAAGTAGTTTACACAGGGAGAGATGCAGTACCAGGATTTCATAAAGCATGCATATTAATAAAAGTAAACAAGTGAGCCTGCATATAACTCTCGTCTCTGACTAAATAAAAGTTACATCCCAAAATATTAAAAATCTGTATTTCCTTCAATAATATTAAACCAGTGTTGTCAATCAATAATTTTGTATGATGGAATCACATGTAATTATATTCAACCATTAATTCATATTAGCCATTGTGTGTTCAGAACATACTGAATAAGCCGCTAGACCAATGAAGAAAAAGAGGGAAAAAAAAGAAGTCATATTTATCAATTTTTACAGCTCCAGTAACAATTAATTCATAGAGATAAATGTTGAATTAAAGTTCAATAAATCAGTTGAGGTCAGCTGAAATGACTATGTTGACTAGTAAAGTTATTGGCCCCTTATTTTCTTATCCTCCACTTGGAATTTTGTGCTGCTTCAGCATAGAAAGGACGGAAATTGTTGTTGGAAAATGTTATATGAAATTGTATGTTTCCTTTTTCAATATAAATTATTTCAGACATGCAAAATATATATAAAATAATGTTATGAACACCTGTCTTGACCCCACCTATGTTCAGAACTGAATTATCAATACCATTAAAGTCCTGTATCTTATGTGCTATGAGGTTGCTGGATGCAATGGGTGAATGTCCGTTTTTAAAACTGGTGTTGCCCATGAAACATTAGGACATATATTTGTTGTAAATATAATTATAAAAATATTTATAATTCCGCCCTTGTCACATAACACATTGCTATTATGCAAATTTACAATGCTGAATTACTTATTAACCACGGCTATATGGAAACAATATTCATATTGATTACAAGTACTGTAGATGTAAATAGTATGTCTTGTCATTTGTTTAGCTAACATATTTTGTTCATGTTGAATGTTTGAAGGTGATGATGATAATGATGATAATAATGTTGGTGATCATTGCTTGCTTTGATGAATAATTAAGCCTCCTTGCTTCTCTCATTTAAATTCAACAATATTTATTGAGTACCTTCTCTGAGCCATATACTGATAGATGCAGAAAAATATAAATAAAAGAATAGCATAAACAATATCAATTATATTCATTTTAATTTTGCATGCTGTCTCATCTACTATTCTAAGATTTTTAAATGCATTCACTCATTTGATTTTAGTTAAAACCTGTTTATAGATGAAGCAGACGTCACATATCTTGCTCAATTCATAGAGCTGGTAAACAAAGGAGCCAGGACTCAAGCACCAGTTGGATAGCAAGATAAATAAGCCATTCCCTTTCTATTTATAAGCAGTCTCACTAGAATATACACAAAATAATAATCTAGGCAAATAGTAGTACCAGTACTCACACAACATGGAGCATATATCTTCTGGGATGAGGCAGTTAACTTTCAGGAGGGAGCTGGCATGACATCACACACATATTGGCTCATGTCATAGCATTAAACAAAAGATAAAGATTTCTTTCTAGGTGGTGTCGGAAAAAGAAGACATGAAGCAGTTTTGAGTGGAAGGTATTGATATTTTATAAAGGGCCCACTGGGGCAACTATGTGCACTTACAAGCAGGTAGTGGAGCATAAGCCTCCGTAGACCATGGAGGAGAGGAGCTGGAGGGAAAACAAAGGAAGACCTGATCTGAGTCAGGAGCAATGCAGAAGGAAGAAAGGGGTAAGTAGGAGTCATATTTGGAACTTGGAATGGATGGAAAGAGATGATCACTTAAAAACATGGTAGAGCAGAAAGAAAAAACAGGCAAGAACTGTACAAGGGAATACATTTTGTACTCTTAACTAAGGAAGGGCCTACAGCAGAAGCAGATTTGTGGAGGAAAAGTCACTCCAATGTTTGAATTCAACATAATGAAGAATCCCCAGGGTAGATTAACTCCCAATTTTAGCTCTTATTTTACTGGTCAATATTTAACTTGTTCTGAACAAAATATTATTGTTTATTATTATTATTAAAAACTTAAGGGATGCTATTATATCTTAACTGCTATTTTTCTTTTTGAGCCTTCTAAGATGTGGACAATTTTGTTTCTTTCCTTGAATTGTCTGGAGATCGTGAGCAGATGGACTATCTCTAGGAGATGTCAAGATTCAGAATAAAAAGTAATTAAAAAATCAAGTAAATACCCATTTTTCTAATTTGTTGGAAGCAAACATTTAAATAAGGCAAAATAACTTGATGACTTTATTAGCAATTTTTGAAATTAAATAGTACCTAAATATATACAAAGTTAACCACTAAGTATATCTAATGCTAATCAAAATACTACTTTTTCAACCAAAACAAGAAGTGACTGTAGTTAGTGAATGAGATTAATACTGTTGTTCACTCATATAAATTAGGTTGATGTGTTTTGAAGTTACTTTTATTAAAGCAATGTAAAAAATTTAATCACTTGAAAAGTAATACTGGTAAAATAATCATTTCTATTGAGAATAAAGATTAATTAAGAGATTATCGTTTTTTAAGGGATCAGATGTGTAAAATTAAGTATTCCTGTCTTTTCATCCTAAATTCTCAACATTTAAGTGCTTGTAAGACTACAATAAATGGTGGATGAATGTAAGAATACTCAATATGGCAAATAAGTTAATAGTAAGTTTTTATTTACTGAGTCACTATAGAATTATTTTGTTAATTTTTCAGAAATAGTCAAAAGTTATCTATTTGTGTATAAATTGCATTGAAAAATAAGGATGCTTTATATAGTTTTCTATCTAGTAATGTTTAGATTCAATAGTTTTAAACTTCACTGTTTCATGGCAGGCATATATAAGTAATGATTTCTGGTAGAGCAAAAACTACCCAAGTTCAGAACAGTTCTTTGAAAATTAAATGATGTTTTTGTTAAAACAAAAAATAAAACCCAGAAGTGAGTTTAGAGAAATGTGTTTTCCAAATACTTTTCTAAAACTCAACTTTGAAATGTAGGAGTAACTCTACATTATTCTAATCCATCCATCTTTTTCTCCTGTTTGCTTGCGAAATAAAAATCTAAATACAAATTGACTTTCAAATAGCATGCTTTTTGAAGAGATACGTTTGTATTTATCTACCTATTATATTCTTATAAATATTTCACTGTATACGTAGTGGTGAGAAAAATTATAAATAAGGTGTTTTTTACTGATTGGATTCATATTATTCAAGATATCAATTTTAAAGCTTGCAGTTACTTGTCTCAGCTCCATGGTGGAGCCAAAGGCATGATCTTTACATTTTCTCTTGAATTGAAAGCAGCATCTATATAAATCTTGAGAACTTGCACTGAAATATAATAGTTAACGTTTCATAAAATATGTTAAAAATATTGCATTCCTTCTGCAAATCTACTGGTGATGGAGTGACAATTCAGATTCACAATTTGAGTCACCAGTTGGTTACTTCATTAATGCAATCAATTATGTTAGAAAGATGCTGCAAAGAACAGAGATTTGGGGAAACTGGGGAAATAAAATAAAAACATGTTTATGGGAAAATATTTTCCTGAATTTATAAGTTGCATCTTTATTAAAAAAAGAGGATAATATATTGCAAACATTTTAAAAGCAGGCTGGATAATGTGTATAAAAAGATTTTTAAGGAAAGTAAAAAGGACAAATAATTTAGAATTTTGTGTGAAGAGTTGCTAGGAGTTTAGAAACTAAAATAAAACTGCTGAATTTTGTATTCACTGATTAATAACTTTGCATTTAAATGGGACCTTTCACATTGAATTCACTTTTCAAGTATAAACTAATTCTCAAAACACTTCACGGAGGCCAATCAACTCTCTTTTCACAAATAGAGAAACTGAGGCTGGAAGATTAAATAGCTTTTTTTCTTGCATCTGTGAGGGTTTTTACATAAAAAGAAAAAGATAATTAAGAATTACCTGATCTGTTTTAAAATTAAGTCTTTGCATATTACTTGTTTCAAAATAAGAAAAAGTTCAAGCATGGTAGCTTGTACCTGTAATCCCAGGACTTTGGGGGGCTGAGGTGGGTGAATTGCTTAAGGCCGGGAGTTTGAGAGGAGCCTGAGGAAGATAGCAAGATTCCATCTCTACAAAAAATAAAAATTAAAAATTAGCCAGTGATATGGTTTGGCTCTGTGTCCCCACCCAAATTTCACCTTGAATTGTAATAATTCCCATGTGTCATGGGAGGGACCTGGTGGGAGGTAATTGAATCATGGGGACAGGTTTTCCCATGTTGTTCTCATGATAGTAAATAAGTCTCATGAGATCTCATGATTTTATAAATGGGAGTTTCCCTGAACACCCTACCTCTTGTCTGCCACCATGTAAGAAATGACTTTGCTCTTCATTCGCCTTCCACCATAATTGTGGGGCCTCCTCAGCCATGTGGAACTGTGGATCAATTAAACCTCTTTCGTTTATACATGACCCAGTCCCAGATATGTCTTTATTAGTAGCATGAGAACAGACTAATACAGTAAATTTTTACCAGAAGTGGACGCTGCTCTAAAGATACTAAAAAATATGGAAGGGACTTTGGAACTTGGTAACAGGCAGAAGTTGGAACAGTTTGGAGGGCTCAGAAGAAGACAGGAAAATGTGGGAAGGTTTGGAGTTTCCTAGAGACTTGTTGAATGGTTTTGGGCAAAATGCTGATAGTGGTATGGACAATAAAGTCCAGGCTGAGGTGGTGTCAGATAGAGGTGAGAAAATCATTGGGAGCTGGAGCAAAGGTGACCCTTCTTGTGTTGTAGCAAAAACACTGGTGGCATTTTGCCCCTGCCCTAGAGATTTGTGGAACCTTGAACTTGAGAGAGAGGATTTAGGGCATCTGGTGGAAGAAATTTCTAAGCAGCAAAGTGTTCAAGAGGTGACTTGGGTACTGTTAAAAGCATTCAATTTTATGTATTCACAGAGATATGGTTTGGAATTGGAACTTACATTAAAAAGAGAAATAGAGCATAAAAGGTCAGATAATTTGCAGCTTGATGATGCAATAGAAAAGAAAAATCCATTTTCTGAGGAGAAATTTAAGCCTGCTGCTGAAATTTGCATAAGTAATAAGGAGCCAAATGTTAATTGCCAAGATAATGGGGAAAATCTTTCCAGGGCATGTCAGAGGTATTCATGGCAGCCCCTCCCATTACAAGCTGGGAAGCCTAGGAAGAAAAAAATGGTTTCATTGGCTGGGCCCAGGGTCTTGCTGCTTTGTGCAGTTTCAGGGCTTGGTGCCCTGTGTCCCAGCAATGGTTAAAAGGAGCTCAGCCCCTTGCTTCAGAGGGTGCAAGTCCAAAGCCTTGGTGACTTACATGTAGTGTTGGACCTGCGGATAAACAGAAGTCAAGAATTAAGGTTTGCTAACCTCTACGTGGATTTCAGAGGATGTATGGAAGTGCCTGGATGTCCAGGCAGAGGTGTGTTGCAGGGGTGGAGCCCTCATGGAGAACATCTGCTAACGCAGAGCAGAAGGGAAATGTGGGATGTGAGCCCCCACACAGAGTCCCCACTGGGGCAATGCCCAGTGGAGCTGTGAGAAGAGGGCCACCATTCTCCAGATCTCAGAATGGTATATCCACCAACAGCTTGCAGTGTGCACCCGGAAAAGCCACAGACACTCAACACCAGCCCATGAAAGCAGTCAGGACATGGGCTGTACCCTGCAAAGCCACAGGGGTGGAGCTGCCCAAGACCATGGCAACCCACTTCTTGCATGAGTGTGACCTGGATGTGACACATGGAGTTAAAGGAGATCATTTTGGAACTTTAAGATTTGGTTGCCCTGTTGGATTTTGAACTTGCATGGGGCCTGTAGTCCCTTCATTTTGGCTAATTTCTCCCCTTTGGAACAGCTGTATTTACCCAATGGCTTTACCTCCATTGGACCTAGGATGTAACTGACTTGCTTTTGATTTTACAGTCTCATAGGCAGAAGGGACTTGCCTCATCTCAGATGAGACTTTGGACTCTGGACTTTTGAGTTAATGCTGAAATGAGTTAAGACTTTGGGGGACTGTTGGGAGGCATGCGTGGTTTTGAAATGTGAGGACATGAGATTTGGGAGTGGCCAGGATTGGAATGATATGGTTTGGCTCTGTGTCTCCACCCAAATCTTACCTTGAATTGTAATAATCCTCATGTGTCACAGGAGGGACACGGTGGGAGGTAATTCAGTCATGGGGGTTGGTCTTTCTTGTTCTGTTCTCATGATAGTGAATAAGTCTCATGAGATCTGATGGTTTTATAAATGGGAGTTTCCCTAAACAAGCTCTGTTTCCTGCCACAATATAAGATGTGACTTTGCTCCTCATTTGCCTTCCACCATGATGTGAGGCCTCCTCAGCCATGTGGAACAGTGGGTCAATTAAACCTCTCTCCTTTATAAATTACCCAGTCTTGGGTATGTCTTTATTAGCAGTGTGAGAACAGACTAATATAACTAGTGATAATGGCCTGTGCCTATAGTCGCAGCTACTCGAGGTGAGAGGATTGCTTGAACCCAGAAGTCCAAGGTTACAGTAAGCCATGATTGCACCACTACACTTCACCTGGGTGACAGAGTGAGACCCTGTGACTAAAAACAAAAAAAAAAGAAAAAAAAGAAAAGAAAAGAAAAAAGAAATGGAAAAAAGAAAAAAAAAGTCAGAAAAATAATCTTGTTATGATTTTTTAATACTTTGGGACTAATTTCTTCCTATTACATTTGATGCTTATAACAAGTACATCAAAGTATTTTTTAAAACATCTTAATGCCTGATGTTTCTATTAGCAAGACTTTGGTCAATTAAAAGGGAGGTTTATGTCCTACATTAGAGAACAAACAAAATAAGAAAGAAATAAAAGACACCATTCAGTGAGCTTCATTAGCAACTACATAATTTACATAATATTTAAATACACTAGTTTTTTTTGCAAGGTAATGTATAAGATATTGCAAGGCAAGAAAAAGTTTAAGATAACATTTTGCAAGGTAAAATAATGTGAAATTGGTTCAGAGGACTATGTTTCATGCATAACCATGCTATTGTCACATAAGGTAAAGAGTTCAAACTCTTTCCTCTAGAGGGGTGAGAGGAGGGAATGAGCTGGAAGTCAAGAGGGGTGATAACAAATTCCTAGATTCTAAGAGTAATTTTGTGAAGTTTGTTTTGGTTACTAAAAGACATCATGTAAAATCATGTGTGTGCATGTGTGGGTTTAGTTTCTAAAGTCATTGTATAAAATTTGTTTTAGTTACTAAAAGCCATTATGGAAAATTACTTTATTAATATGTACTGTGTGTCTACAAACACAAACGCACACACATACGCATACACATGTGACAGTGTGTGTATTAATAACTTCACTATTTTGATGTTGAAGCCTTTCATAAGTACATAATTCCATGTATTTATGGTTTAAGGGCTAGAAATATAAGATTGAATAAAATGCAATCCCAGGCTGGATCTCAGAGAACCTAATGGGACAGAAACATGATAGAAATTATCTGATGGATATTATAGATCTGGCATATCACATAATGGAATTTAAAGTTATATTTCACTTCGCATAGAAAGTAAAAGAAGAAATATGTGTGTATATAAGCTAAGAAAGGAAGAGGAAAACAGTAAGAATTTGCAGGGAAAAATTTGAAGAACACCATATATTTTCTGCTCTACCTTTTATTTTTTTCTTCATCTATGTCTAAGAATTATACTTTTAAATTCTAAACAATTATTAATCAATTCTTCTTCTTCTTTTTTTTTTTTTTTTTAGATGAACTCTCACTCTGTCACCCAGGCTGGAGTGCAATGGCACCACCTCGGCTCAGGGCAACCTCCACCTCCAGGGTTCAAGCTATTCTGCTGCCTCAGCCTCCCCAGTAGCTAGGGTTACATGTGTGCACCACTACACCTGTTTAATCTTTTGTATTTTTAGTAGAGACAGGGTTTTGCCATGTTGGCCAGGATGGTCTCAAACTCCTGGCCTCAAAGTGACCCGCCTTGGCATCTCATAGTACTGGGATTGCTGGTGTGAGCCACCCTTCCTGGCCTCTTCTTGTATCTTTCTTACCTCTCTTGTCTTTTTTTTCTCTATGCTCCCATTCATCTAGCCTGACTAATGACTCAACTATTTGAACATATCAAAACAGGTGGCATGATGCTCCCTTCTCTTTTCAGGGGTAATTTCTAAGTAGTTCTGTGCTCATGTAAACTAATAGCTACTCATGAATCAAAAAAAATGAGTCCAGTAGCCTAAGCACATTATTTTCTCAACATTTAAATAGTTATCGTCACTACTGTGTAGAACAGAAAAGAAAATGTAAAAAGTAAGTTTTATCCAAAGTAGAATAGGTTAATTTTCCTTGAGAGTAATAGGATTCTAGGAAGACTTTTTTTTTTTTTTCAGCTTTACACTGTCTTAATGGTCAAAAGTGTTTTGCAAAACTGAGTTTTATCAAAGTGACCCATGTTAATAGATTAGGAACTAAGTGAATCAATAATAGAATCAGAATTTAATTGAAATGCTTACAAATTAGGCAAAAGTTTATTCTATGTAATCCCTCATAGACTGACAGTTTGGCAATTTTTCTTAAATGCGAAACAGTATTCAATTATATATCCAATTGTTTATTTATTTGTTTATTCAACAAAACTATATTGAATACCTCCTGTGAACCAGGCCCTATTTAGGAGAGAGAAATGATTCCTTCTTAAGAAGTTTACTATGCAAACACATTTTTGCAATGAGTGGGATACAAGTTATAATACTATGATAGTACATATACAAAAATTCCTATAGCAATAAACAAGAAGAAATCAGCTGTTTTAGAAAGGATTCATGGGAGAAATGATATGAGCTTTATAATCAATGGTGAAAAACATTTTAATAAGCCGGAAAAATATGGTTGCCAGACAGACCATTTAAAGAAGTACAGAGCCTCAGAGACAGGATATCACAGAGGCAGTGCCATGAGGGTGAGAGGGTAAATGACAAATACAACCTTCTGGTTATTGTTTTTTATGTATGTGCAATTCTATAATAAGTGGAATTATGAATCATATTATTTTTCCTCTTACAATGACCCCTGAGAAAAAGGATTAATAAATACAAAATAAAATTCCATCCATCTATATAGTCCCTTTTACTTTAAGGGATGATAATTCCTAACGTTACTCCAATAGACTGTCTCGTGGGCACCAGTTATTCATAAAAATAAAATAATGAGTTAGTATAGAACAGAAGTAGTTCTCGCTGATCAACATATAAAAATATGCGCATATACATATATTTTATAAATATGCATAAGATGCATATGCAAATGGATATAAGTAGAAATGACTCACTTAGGGAATTCAAGGAATATGCTGATATTCATCTTTGAGCATCATTCAAGATTCTCTGACACCGATCACATTTTGGAAATCACTGAGTAGAATGCTACAGAAGGAGAGGAGGGGAAAATTAACATGTAACCCTGGAAATTGTCTAGGAGAATTTACATGGATTAATTAATATTTTCCTTTCAATATTTGAATGAGAAAACTGAGACATGGTTCAATTAGATAAATCTGTCTGAGGCCACACAATGGGAATAAGACAGATATCTGGACCCCACTTTATCTACTTTACAGCCTATGTTCTTCTCATCGCCACCACTGTGATTATCTCCATGAAACTTCAGTAGTATATTAAGTATTTTCTATTTAACAGATTGAAAGTTCAGTTGCAGAAATTTCAGATCTCCAGTGTCCACTTGGAATTAATTCACAAACTACATGTTGACAAGTTTGCTATGTGTGGTTTACATGCAACCAGTTATATTTTAATAATTTAAATGGGTATTTATATTTACCAGGATAAAAATTTTAATTTATGGATTAGAATCCTTTTTCTTTCTCTAAAAGTTCTTAATTCCATAAAAAATTAAACAGGCATAAAACAACAGAGCAAAAAAACAATGGGCAAAATATGTACACAATAGCATGTCTTAAAAACGTGGCTCTATTGTCCAATCTGCGTTGTCAATGGATAGCTCTCTTGTTCTTTAAAAAATAATTATTCAGATATTTTCTATGAAGAAAGCTTAAATGCAGAGATCCACTATAAAGTTATCTAAGTAGGTCCATGTATGTTTAAATTCATGTAAAAATACACCACTACTATATGTAAAAGTTCCTCTTGGCTATTTTTAATACTTAATTCTTAACCAATTAATAAATTTTACTAAAATTGAATAGTGGAATTTTATTTGTCTTCTTGCTCTCAGAATCTTCTATTTTCTTTATAGAAATATTTTTTCCATTATTGAAATATAATCTAAATCAGGGAAATGAAACTCAACGTGATTTTTCTTTTTATTTCCCCTTTTTTACCTTTTATATCTTTGTAGTATCTTTTCTTTATTCAATTATGAATTGATATTTCATTTTTTGGTTTATTTTTCCAGATTTATGTATACATAAAAATACTCTTCAGATTAAACATTACCTACTGGGCAAGAAGTTTTAGCAAAAAAATGTGCATCACCTCCACTTCTATTCTCTCATCAGCAATTTATTTACTTTACACAATGATAGCGATTCCTATAATTTATAAATCTCATTAATTTAACCAAGAATATATGCACTTTATACACATATATCTAAAAAAAAGATACAAAATAGGTATACCGAAGAGCTAAGCCACATAGAATCTACATATCTGTTTCTGCATAGGAAATAGATTTGTGTCTATAAAAGAAGGGGCTACGAAACTTGTTAGTGAAATAGGAGAATGCTCATATGGGGAAGAATTCAGAAATGAAATTCAAAGGGGCAGAGGAGACTGGGTTAGAAAATCTGGAATTTAAGAATCTGGAATACCTGGAAGCCAGGCACAGTGGCTTGTGCCAGTAATTCTAACTACTTAGGAAGCTGAGGTGGGAGACTCTCTCGAGGACAGGCCAGCCTGGGTAACATAGTGAGACCCCCATCTCTATAAAATATAAGAAACAAAAACAATTAGCTGGGCATGGTGGCAGACATCTGTATTACCAGCTACTCGAGTGGCTGAAGTGGGAGTAACCCAGGAGTTCAAGGCTTGAGCCCAGGAATTCAAGGCTGCAGTGAGGCATAATCATGCCACTGCACTCCAGCCTGGGTGACAGGGCTAGACCCTGTCTCTAAAATAGATAGATAGATAGATAAATAAATAAATAAATAAATAAATAAATAAATAAAAGAACGCCCAGAAAGTACTAAGTACTGAGACCATAAGAGTAAGCTTTCTCAGTGGACAAGCTGAGATAGCAAAGTTTAAGAAAAATTCTCAGCGAGGTTAGCTTAAAGAAATATACAAATTGACCTAGACATTTTATGTTTATTTCTCTGTGTCTAGAAGGGTGCACTTGCTTCCAGAAATTGGAATTAAAGTTTAAAGGAGAGCCAATTAGCTCCAGCCTAAATGCAAGGTGTGGGAGAAGCAAGGAACTTGGTAAGTCATTATAACAAAGATGGTCATGGAAACTAGCCAAAGAAGTTTTCTTTGTTTATTAGGCTCTAGATCATCAAATAATGTGACCATAAAGCTATAGAGTAATAATGTGGATGCAATCAATCTTTTCAATTTACTCTTACGTTGCAATCATTTAGTGACTACATTATTTGTGGTTACAGGCCAGATGATATAATTGAATAGACTCTGATCAATTTCAATAGCTATTATTATATCTGCTGCTATGTCCTAAAGGAAAGGCTAGTAAATAAAACAATTAAAAATACACATAAGTATTCTAAAATTTATGTAGTTCTGTTTAAAAATGAAAATATGTTAAAAAATTTCTATGATTACATTTGTTGGTAAAGTCTTCAATAAGTATCTTGAACATTCAAGTTAACAGTTCTGCTTCGTCAATTCTTTTTTCCCTCATTTTAAACTATCAACCACCAATGTGTTCCTTTGAGCATCTATAATGTGAAGCTGATAAAGGCAAGTTGGGTTTCTGAAAAAATTCATAACATCTTATTGATTGAGGTCATTTCCATTAATATTTTATCTTAATAACTATTCCCCATATAAACCAGTTAGGAAGCATGATTCTGAATGCATTGCAAACTTGTCACCATGATTTTTCCAAAGGTTAACCTATGAATTTGTAACTGAGTTCTAAGAATGAGAACTGATGCAACTAAAAATTTACAAGACAATATTCTGCACAAAATATTCATGAGATAGTACACAAGAAATTAAAACTTTATTATCAAATACACAATGTTTCACAAAACTAAAAGAAAACTTGCTGTTGACACAATAGAAGAAAATTTGCAGAAGAGGAAAAGCACAGTCATGTGCATTTTGTAGTATCCTAATATAACTGGTCTCTTGGCCAGCCATGTAGTAGGGCCAGACCTTTGTAAGTAGGATGTGAGTTCTTTCCCACAGGAGGCAGTGTTTGGGAATATATTATACTGAGCATCAATCTTCTCAAGGGAAGGTAAATATTCAGAAAGAAATTTAGAGTTTGGAAAGGACATATTTTTTTTTCTCTCTGCACACTGAATTGTAAAATATAGACGCCAGAGATGATAGCTGACCAAGTGTGGGCTTCAGTAGTAGTAATGCCCTGAGGTCCACAGAGAAGAGCAAAATTAATTATGTGAATCAGATTATATAATTTTACATGACTCTCTGTATTCCCATCCATCTATCGTTTGTCTTTCCTCTAGTTATTATTTAAAGGAACCAGGACTATTTATCTGTACCATGGAGAATTTAGGATTGAATAATATTTTCACCTTTGGGCATTAAAAGAAGAGCATCCCTCATCTTGGCCACGGTAGCTACAACAGAAATCTGTGTGGCTCCAGGAGCTCCAGCCACTCTTTTTTTTTTTTTTTTTTTTTTGGAGACAGGGTCATGCTCTGTCGCCCAGGCTGATGTGCAGTGACACATATTAGCTCATGGCTGCCTGGATCTACCTAGCTCAAGTAATCTTTCCATCTCAGCCTCCAGAGTAGGTGGGACTGCAGGCGTGTGCCATTATGGCAAACCAAAGAGTCTACGCAGCTAATTTTTTTTTCTTTTTTTTTTTTCAGAGAGAGGCAAGGTCTCACTATGTTGCCCAGGCTGGTATCAAACTCCTGGGCTCAAGTGATTGTATCACCTTAACCTCCCAAAATACTGGGTTTGCAGGTGTTGAGCCACTGTCCCTGGCCAGCCTCTCCTTTACAAGTAGAGCTTCTCCATCACTATTATCCATTATTAGTCATAGATAACCACATTTTGGTTTATCATGGAAATACTAGATTCCTCTGACAGAACCATAAGGAGAGGCTAGATGATCTGAAGAGCTGGCTTTGAAAGTACAATGGCATGGTGTATGCTATAACTAGCTGTGTGGGGGTTTTGCATGGACATTTGCCATAAATGCATTTTGTTGTCCAGACAAACAGAAAATTCAAGTATTGTCAGAAGCCTGACCTAAAAGAATTTTAGCCTAGCTATGCAGGAGAGAAGTTGAGTTATAAAATCTTGTCTTTGATGGAAAGATTCAGTCAATTCTTGAAGAAAGCAACTGGACTTAGACTGATCAAATCTCTAAGAATTTCTAGTCCATTGAGTTAGACAATAGGATTGCTTAATCTCCAAAAGTCTAAATCCATCCCATGATAGCTGAAGCTTCTGTGAGCGGAGGAGCTCACACACTTCACATGTGACTCAAAAATAGATACTTAAGAGAATTTCACATAAGCCATGCATAATGATGTCAGGATCTTCTTTGTTTTGACTCTTGTACATCTGCTAGGTTTTATTTCCATGAGGTCCTCCCTAACCAGAGATGACTCCTTGTACCGCTTTCATTCTTCTCTCAACTTTATCCTCATTAAAAATGCCACTTCTGACAGTATTCATAATTTATGCAAAACTGCAATTGTGAGCGGCAGAGCTCCAACTTTAATTATAGGGCTACATGTGCTTGAGGTGTGTGACTGTGGGAATGCCTGGCTTGTCACGTGGTCTTTATGACAGTTATGACAGTTGTATTATCTGTAACTACATTAAGTACAATGCAGTTCCTGAGGCAGCAACAGAAACATTACGACAGCCATAAATGTGAGAAAATATTATGTTTGCATAATTTAAACAGCAAGTCTTCAGAATTCATTCAATTAGTTCTGAAGAAAAAAATAAACTGTCTTCACTCATTTAAGTCGGAAGTTGTGATGTGGGAAATAAGACTACATAAATACCAGTAAAAATACTTTATCAGCCAATAAAATATCTATAATACAAGAACCATTGCTGTGTACGTGGAGAAAAGCTTCCTAACATCCATAGTGCTACACAATATATTAGTCACGAATATTAACTGGGAAGCATAGATCTGTGTAGGTGAAAGATTTTCTACTCTAATGATATTTACTCCTGTCAAAATTGCTTATGGCAAGCCAAAGACTATATAATTATACACAGCTATAAATAAAGTTCATATTTAGTGACTCACAATGACGAATAAAGGGATTTATAGTCCTTATTACATTTTCTGAATTTGAATTTACGTCAGAGTTTGGAACATATAAGCTTCTTCCATTTAGACTTCATTTAGGTCAGCAGAAGCCAACTAAGCCGTGCAAACTGCATAGAGAAATTCATTATTCTTTTTCTATATTTTTCTATTCTCTTATGTATGCAATCATTGCTAACTAATTAAGTGTAAGATACAGAAAGTTGTAAAGTTGTTTCTGTATGTAGAAACAGAAAAAATTGCAAGAGGATTTCATTTAAGAAATCTCTTAATCATCATGCTACTTGCTGTAAATCTCTTGGATAATCTACACAAAATCTTCATTAATTTGATTGCTTTCAATTTCAGTACTCACCATGAACATCAATAAGGTATCCGTTGTGTTCCAGTGATGAACTTAATAATATTCAAATACAATACAGGAAAATCATGTTAAACCTAATAAATAAATGAAATGTGAGATAATGTCTGTAACAATGGTTTAAGCTCAGATAATATTTAATGTGCCTAGGCACATTAGTACATAGGCACATAATATTTAGTGTGCCTATATACTAAAACAAAGATACGTATAAAAACACTCAAAACAAAAACAAAACAAACATACAAAAGCACTATAACCATTCTTTATTAATGTACTTCATTTTCTAATCTACTCCCAAAATCAACCAGCTTGGCTTCCAGTCATATATGAGTATGATACACACACACACACACACACACACACACACACACACACACAGAGTTTCTAAATTGGCTATGATTGAGAGACAGTTTGATCAAATTTGGGGATTATAAAGCATTCCTAAAGGAACACTTAATGGAAACATATCAAGTATGTCATGTATATCGTTCTTATCTGAGCAGCATTAGAAGAATCAACCCAATTCCAATGTTATGTAGTCAAACTTAGAAATTAAAGCTAACTTTTTAGATTTGGCAGATTTGGTTTGTTCTCTACATTTTGTTTTGCAAATTTTATTAATTCACTGAAACATGATTGCAACTTTATTATTGTTTTGGGAGACACTGAAGTATTCGGCAGAATCAAGAACCTCAATAACTTATAATTTAGTGGGTACACTACTACATACTATATATAAAATCATATACACACATTATTCAACATATGTTGAAATTTGAGATTTTGGTATACCAATAAATGGTGAACAAAAACAGAAAAATCATGGGAAGCAGCCACTCTTACACAGAAGCTTATTGCTATAAACATCAAAAATTTCCAAACATGTTGGTTGCAGATTCTTGGAATAACTTATGAAATTAATACATTGCCCAAGCACTGTAGTAAAAGTCACTAGCCTCACTTAATGTTGCAATTTAATTGAAGCAAGGTGCTAAATAACATATATTGACAAGTATTTTGGGTGCTCAAAGGAGAAACTAATTGATGAGAGCTGGAATATTTCGGATGTTTCATAAAGATGATTGAACGTGAGTCAAGCTTTGAAGGTAGGTCAAAATTTACACAAGTGGTTTGGGGGCCACTGACTTAAAGTCCATCAGAAACAAAGCATTAATTTATCACTGCAGTGACTTTTGATAACAACTAACCCAGAGTTAGGCCAACCCCCCCAACCCCACGAGACTGCCCTCGCCTTTAACACCAGCCACAAGGTCAGTGGTCCTCAGGTCGTTCTCACTTCTGACCAGCTGGCTACAAATTCAGGAGTTCCCACTACTCCTTGTTTGATAATTTGCTAGAACAACTCACAGAACTCAGGAAAGCCCTAACTTACAATGACAATTCTGCTACAGCAAAAAGATACAAATCAGTACTTGCCAAAGGTGGAAACACACATGGCATGGTCTGGGAGGGTCCCAAAGGGGAAGCTTTGAATGTCCTCTCCCTGTGGCGAGGATGCACCACATTGATGGGTGACTACAAACAAATTATTGCCAACCAGGGATGCTCACCTGAGCTTTGGTGTTCATAGTTTTTATTGAGACATCATTACATAGGCTTGATTGTTTGACTGACCTGTTATGTAACCCACTCTCCAGTCTTTTTCTCATCCCTGGAGTTCAGGCTACTATCAGCTGGCCCAAATCCCTAACTCTAATATATAGTCTTTCTGGTTTGACCAGCCCTCATCCCGAGTCATCTCCTTAGCACAAGCTATCAAGTAGGGTAATGAAGAGGGGACACCATGAATAACAAAGACACTCCTATCACTCAGGAAATTCCAAGGATTTGGAGACCACCTCCCAGAAACTGGCAAAAGAAACCAGCCAAATTTTTTTCTTACACACTCACTCTTCGTTCTTTTCCTCTGTTTCCTTTCTACTAGTTTTTTTTTAAACTAGTTCAGGCTTCACAATTCAGTTGAAGACAGATTTTTAGCTTTCTTTCTATTGCTTTTTGAAGCAAGGCTCCAGTTCTGCTGGCAAACAGGTGTGCTCAGACAGTAATAAGGATAGGAATCCGTTGTAATAATTTACTTATACTGAATGATTAGGGAAAACTCTAGGGCTGGGAAAGGAGAGAGGTGAATGATAAACTAGCTTTAGTTGCGAAGTTTTAGAGGATGCCAAAAAAACAGTAAATCAGGACACAACACATCTCATGTTATATGTTAAAGTCAAAATTGACACAAAGATATCTATGGTGAACAAAATATCAAAATTAAAAAATAGAGACTGTATCAGCATTACTGATTTTTTTCTTTTATTTCTGCCACGAATATGGCTTGTCATGGCACTGGGACCCTGATTACTTAGAAAGTATCTTGGTACCCAGAATATAAATTCAGACTTTCTAAATTATCTAGGATAGTAAGCAATGACCGACTCCACCAAACGAAGACAGGAATCCTAATGCATCTGCAATCTGGAACATGAATTGGCCAGTAACTAGCTGGCAAACCAGTGGGTCTGGTCCTCATGACTCCAAGAGGTCAAGTTGGGAGGAAAGCCTTTTCTGAGTGGAGTGGGTCCACTTTATTTCTCTAGGTTTTGAGACGAACTATCAGTGAAAATAAGCTCTGATGCTCCAGCCCCACCAAATTCCTTCACTGTCCAGAATTTCTCTTTATATCCAGTATTTTCATTGTTCACCACACTGTCCTTTCTTCTTTCTCTCTTCTTTTATTGACTTTCAATTATTCCTCACTCCCTTTATCTGCTCTGACTTGTCCCCTATGTTTTTATCTTCTATCAACATTATAACTCTTCTAGTCACCACCCATTCATCACTGTTGTTCCATGTGTTCTCCCTCCTTTTCCTCTGCCTGTGTTTCTCGCTCTCCCTTAATTTTTATTCCATTCTCCTTCTCAGTTACTCATCTTTTTCTACTATTTTGTCCCAATTTTATTAATAGCTAACATATACATATTTGCTATATTTTTACTGCCCCATATAGAAAAGCAGAGGCAAAATGCGTATCTCTATACACCTATTTCTTCTTGAAAAGTAAGAAATGAACAAGTTATATGTCTGAGAAATAAAAAAGGAAAACATAAATTTTATCCAAGAGAGCAAATTTTTTAAAACAAATATTACGGCTAGTGAAAATAACTAAAATTAGATTTAAAAAATAAATGTGTGCTAAGGTCTAAAAGCTTTCAGGAAATTTTCTGAAATACCTTCCTCAAGAAAGACAATCTCAGGTAGTAACAAATTATGACAGTAAAAATATTGTCTTCTGAAGAATACTTTTAACCTATGAAACACTGTCAACAATACGTTTCAAAAGTTTCATAAACCGTGCAATAATTATGAGATTACCGAAAGATTTAGTTATTCTAAGCATTTCTGTGAAGGAAATTCTGTGAGGTGACGTTGCAATTTGCAAGTAATGAAAGAATATTTCAAGACCGAAGGCTCCCAAAAATCTATTCTGTTTAGACAATAAACAAATATTCTACAAATTTTGGGCTAGAGGATAATCATAATAAGTTAAAATAAATTCTTCCTTAACTGAGTTAAAGGTACAGGCATCCATTGCTCTGCACTGTGTTGTATTAACTGGAGCTCCTGCATAGGGGAACCACGTCCTCTCTGTACCATTGTCCAACATGCACATTTCTGCTCTCTTGTAAAATGAGACCTAAGTGCACTTCAAATATAGTGCTCTGGAGAAACAGAGTTTTTAAAATGGAAGATGTAGCCTTGGATATCTATGTTTTTACTCTTTTTCACAAAGACCACAGTTTTATAATAATTATTTTTCAGCTTACTAAAAATGCTATACCTTTGATTTCTAGTGGATAAAGAAAGAGCTATGTTTGGATGATCAAAAAGTCTGAGTTCCTAAGAAGAAATATTAATTCATTGCTTTGTAGTAAATATACTTGGTCAGTATCTACTGGGCTTCCTGCTTTCCTGAACAAGTAAGAATATTGTCATTTAAAAAATAAATCCAGTCTAAATAAATCCGGTCTTTGTTTTTTTGTTTGTTTTTTTGTTTTGAAAGTATGGTACTTAATAGTAAGTGGATACTCCCAAAGTAATTTTAAGATTTATTCTCTGAAGACACAGTATCATTTAATGAATCCAAAGTCAACAAATGAAACATTTTACAATATCATTATCTGTTTAAATTATGTGCTTAGCAAACACAAACACAAACAAAACCCTCCAAACCCAAAAACAGTAATCCAAAACTTTAGGTATCCAGCCTGTCATGGAATGAATGGTGAATGATTCCAAGTCAATACATCCAAGAATTTTGGCTTTATGAAATACACCAGTCTTTTTAGGAGCGTCAGTATAAATGAAACCTAGTTTCATTTTAAAATAAAACAGAAATGCTATGTAGTCATTAATAGCATGTTAGGAACTAAATGTTTGTTTCCCCTCAAAATTCAAATGTTGAAATCATAATTCCCAATGTAATGGTATCAGGAGGTGAGGAATTTTGGAAATGATGTGTTCATGAGGATGGAACGCTCATGAATTGATCTGGGCCCTTATAAAAGAAGCCTCAGAGAACTTTCTCTGCTCTTTCCGCCATGTAGTTAGTAATCTGTAAGCCAGAAGAGAACACTCCAGAACCTAACCATGCTGGCACACTGATCTCAGTCGTCCAGCCTCCAGAATTGTAAGGAAAACATTTCTATTGTTTCAAGCCACCCAGTCTTTGGTACTTTGTTATAGCAGTCCAAACTGATGAAGACATAGCTCATTTATAGTGACTCATTGTCAGATTTGGGAAGAAACTCCAAATACATTTAAACAATTAATAGTTATAATTCTGTGCTTATATAGGAAGGAAAACAACAACACAAGTATTTGCTCTAATAAAGATGAGTAATAAACTATTTACCTACCTTTGTAATTTAACAAAGCCATTTTCTAATGCCTAAGCATGTGAAGATTATATAGAAATAAGTGTATTATTTTGTTTAATGAAGTACAATTTTAGGAAATTAACTTTATATTATTAGTAGATATAAAGTATCTACTAAGCAGCCATTATCAACTGGGGTAAACTTAGTTGGCATATTGCATAGATAATAACCATATGTTTAACATGTGTACAGAAAACAGGAGGATGTATGAATTGGCTTTTTGCTTATGTACTTATTGATGTTACTGCTTTGACTACTTGTTATATTTTATTTATTTATTTATTTATTTTGCAATACCGGCTGATGATACAAAAGTGGTTTAGATATCAGTAATAGCTCAATTCTGATTATTTTGTTCAATTAGCATCCAAATATCTAAATAGAAAAAGTTGGGTATAGACAGTAAAGAATACATGCACAATATTTTGGGTTAAATGTAAAGTAATGATTTATTTAATTTTGTATGTACTTGATTAAATACGTGGTAAATACAAAGTTTATTGGTCTTGGTCATATAAAGTAATTTTAAGGTGCCCCAACTTAATTCAGAGCACATTTGCTGGCCAAGAAAGGCAAGTCGGACTCCATAATCTCTTTATAGAAGTTGCCAAAATCATTCTTTCTACATTCTAATTCCACCCTCATTTACTTCTAAATTTTTAGCTACCCCCTTTGGCTTGTTAACTGATCTTGGTCCCTCTGTCTCAGCTCCCATCCTATTCTGCTTCTGGCTGCTCTCTCTAAGATGACCAAAGTTCCACTACTTGTGTAGGACCCAGATTACACATTGGCCTGAGGAAGGATATTGTACAATATTAATGTTTGGGATAGGAGGGGAATCTATTAGTGATCTTCAGTGATCACCAGATACATGAATATTAAGGGTGAGATGAGTGAAAGGACAAATGAACAGGTGTTAAATACACATAGAGAGTGATCATTAGAGATAATAAGTGAAGAAAAAAATGAGCATTACTAGACAACAGGCCATCCAATAATTTTTATCACTTTTCAAACAGTGCTTGTGCCATATTTTTTCATAAAAGTATATTAAACCTGTATCATTAAAATCCTCTTGAAAGCAAAGCAAACAAAAAATCAGCAAAATTACAAAAACTGACACAAATACAAAGAGGTACAAATGGTCATTCTAAATATTTTTGGATTTATTAATAATGACATTAAAAATACCCAAATATTTTGTTTCAATAATTGCCCATTGTTAGTGTAATAGTGAGCAGAGTAGAAAAAAGGAGACTGTGGTGATGAGCACGGCAAGTAGTGGATATTTGACAGTATGGTTGACAGTTCTAAGGGTACATATCAATCTTTTGTTTCCTGCAGAGATACTGAGGATTGTAATTAATTAGCGTTTGAAAAGTACCTAGCAAACATTTGTTAAAATGCTCAGACAATTGCAGCAATGTGCTATTATACCTGCTCAAAACATTTCTCAACTAATGATTTAGGTTGCTCTTCGCTCTGCTGGTTCCTGTGTCATTTTCTGATCATCTCGCTCTTCTTCTATATGAATATTGTCTATTCTCTTCTCAGTTCTGGACCTGATATCCACTTCCTGTGGGATCTGATTCTTAGTACTAGTATGCTTCATGGTAACATAAAATTAATCTCTAATTACATTAATCGTATTTACTAAAATTTTACCTAGGTAACAATTAATTTATTAATTCATTCTTAAAATTAAGCACCTAGATATTCATATGAGTAGTATTAGAACATATGGCAAATGGCAAGTTTTTCAGGAAAATAAGTCATAAAAATAGGAATAAACAAATAAAACACAAAAAAGCAAATATGTAGATACAGAGTAAAATACAAATAAAAATATTTATGTGCTATTAGAATGAAAAAAATCAAGTAAGTAAGGATTGTGCATATCTCAACATTTTTGCTCCCTTGTTACATCAATATTTACTAATAAAGAGTGAGTTAGTTAACATAAAGCATCTCCAAAATATATGTAACAGTGCCTCAAAATAGGATACTGATTTCCATGTTAGCACAGAACGATGTTCAGGAGAAGGATGCAAATCATTTTAAGAAAATCAGCTTGTAGTTTCTCACCTTCTATCTGTACTATATTCTTAAATAGACTTTTTAAAATTTGCACATAATTGACTTTGTAGTTTACAAAAGAAAGCCACACCCTTTACAGATTCCATGTGTTCCTGCGATGCACCTCCCGAGTATGAAAATCTCCAGGGCACAAAACAAAGTGGAGCTTCCTCTAGAGATCAATCAACACACCATAAGCCATAGATTCCTAAATTTCTCTTTATTATGCATATTTCCGTGAAGGATAATATGTCCTCTTAGAATATATTATTTCAGCTCACATTGGGATAACCTGAATTCATCAATATGGTGAATAATAAAATGTGCCTGAACACTGGCATATTTTTAATCAGTTCTCACTAGAGGAATAACATACTATACGAAGAAAATTATAGCTCATTTCCATTACTATTTCAATTCACTTTAGGCTCAAATGAAATCTGATTATTTCAGAAAGTTATTTAGATTTTCTCCCAGTTTGTAAATTTATAGAAAAGTTCTTTATAACATTGTTATTTTCAGGCAGTAGAATTTTACCACCACATAAAAACAGAGATTAAAAGTTAGTTGACTGCTTAGTGAAGTTATAATTTTAATAATGTAGTGCCTAAAGCTAATAGAGATGCCTGCTTATAATGAATGAGTATATTTGTGGATCATGTAGGCATTTTTTTCACCAATGGCTTAATAAAGAAGAATAGTACTGACATTTTCTATTTAATGGGTAATAATCAATTTATGCTTCAAATGCTATTGTGTCTAGTACCAAATATCTGCCATTTTTTCTAAAGATATATTCATTCTTTTCTAATGCCATACATGTAGAGCATATGTACATTATATATATGTGTGTGTGTATTCATTTGATATTGCAATAACATATTTGATTTATTTATAGATATAACATGAGAGTCAAAGTACTATTTTGAAAAAAGAACATAAAAAACACCAATGTCTTCTAAATAGCATGGCTATAAAAGATCAAAGTGGATGTCATTATAATTAGAAATACATTGTGAAATGGGATTAAGTCAGGTTTATGAATAAGAAATAGGTACAGTATCTGTGATCCATAGATTGAACTCTGCTAGGATTAAATTTCATCCTTATTATATAGAATAAATAAAAAGATTTGTGTTTACCCTAAGGTTGAGGACAGTAATAGAAATGTAGTCCCTGGCTTTTTAAGTGTAGGCCAAAGCTACAAGTATATGAGCAAACATTCTCAAGCCAGAATTCTGGATGTCAACTCACCACTTCACCACTGAGCAACTATTTGGTCTTGAAAAAGTTACATGACTTTCTCTTGTTTTTATTTACTCATCTATGTGGATAATATTCTCCACTTCATAAAAGTGAGGCAATAAATAAATAAGTTAATACATGTAGTAGTTGTTGTCAAAAATAAACAAATCCAGGCACTAAAGTGGAAACAACAGGTTTTATTCAGCAATAACTATTGCGATAGAGAAGAAAGCCCAGTGTAAATGGAACTCAACTTTAATTTGAGCAGAGATGACTGGGCATTTTAAAGGAGAATGAGAAAATAGGGAGGAGCCATGAGGGAGGACTTGATCAGACGCAGTAGTAGAAATTTACAATAAGTGGAAGTGGAGGTTAGTTAAAACAATGAGGCCCTCTGGATTTGCCAACTGGATGTTATAGAAGTCAGGCTTCTATCTGCCCAAAGAGACTGGGAGACGGGTCTGATGTTCAGGTATTGGCTGGAGTATTTTGGCAACTTTGAGCTTCATTTCCCAAGCAGGAACTTAAGGGGGATGGAGTAATTATCTTAGGGATACAGCATTGAGCTGGTGAAAATTTTATTAATGTTTGTTCAAGTCCCTTAGCATTAAAGGTAGACAAAATCATTTGTGCTGAAAGTCTGCAAGTTTTGCAGGCCAAATTTGGGGCCTAATCAAGAAGATGGAGCCTGACTAGAGTTTGGTTGAAAAGAAAGCCTTTGTCTTACTATGCTGGCACAGAATAAACACTTAACATGGCTAGTTTCCATTACATATATTTTATCGAAGGCAAAATCAGGACACATAATAGCATAAGTTCAAATGTGTCTAGAAAAATGAAACTTGGATTTCTAGACTATTTTGAGAAATCTGGGAACTGATTACCTACTAACTTTGGATGATAATTTTTCCTGAGTTTTAAAAAAACAGAGAAAATAGTATCTTATTTTACAAAGAGGTAACACATTTAACGTTGAAAACCAGAATTTTGCTTTTTCAGCTGTGAACGTTGTTTTCAGAATACACCTCAGGGTATTGTTGTTTACAAAGAAGGAAGGACAAACACTTTGACTTCCAATGGGAATGAGAGTCTCTAAATATGTGTCTTTATCATACAAAGATTTGTAGTGCTTTGGGTATATGCGCAGTAATGGGAAGGCTGGGTCAAATGGTATTTCTAGTTCTTGATGCTTGAAGAATCATCATATTGTCTTCCACAATGGTTGAACTAATTTACACTCCCACCAACAGTGTAAAAGCATTCTTCTTTTTTCACAACCTCTCCAGCATCTGTTGTTTCCAGACGTTTTAATGATCACCATTCTAACTGGCGTGAGATGGTATCTCATTGTGGTTTTAATTTGCATTTCTCTAATGACCAGTGAAGATGAACATTTTTTCATATTTCTGTTTGCTGAATAAATGTCTTATTTTGAGAAGTGCTTGTTCATATCCTTTGCCCATTTACTGATGGGGTTGTTTTTTTCTTGTAAATTTGTTTAAGTTCTTTGTAGATTCTGGATATTAGCCCTTTGTCAGAGGGATATATTGCAAAAATTTTCTCCCATTCTGTAGGTTGCCTGTTCACTCTGCTGATAGTATCCTTTGCTGTGCAGAAGCTCTTTAGTTTAATTAGATCCCATTTGTCTATTTTGGCTTTTGTTGCCATTGCTTTTAGTGTTTTAGGCATGAAGTCTTTGCCCATGCCTATGTCCTGAATGGTATTGCCCAGGTTTTCTTCTAGGATTTTTATGTTCCTAGGTCTTCCATTTAAGTCTTTGATTCATCTTGAGTTGATTTTTGTATAAGGTGTAAGGAAGGTGTCCAGTTTCAGTTTTCTGCATATGGCTAGCCAGTTTTCCCAACACCATTTATTAAGTAGGGAATCTTTTCCCCATTGCTTGTGTGTGCCAGGTTTGTCAAAGGTCAGATGGTTGTAGATGTGTGGTGTTATTTCTGAGGCCTCTGTTCTGTTCCATTGGTCTATATATCTGTTTTGATACCAGTACCATGCTGTTTTGTTTACTGTAGCCTTGTAGTGTAGTTTAAAGTCAGGTAGTGTGATGCCTCCAACTTTGTTCTTCTTGCCCAGGATTATCTTGGCTATGTGGGCTGTTTTTTGGTTCCATATGAAGTTTAAAGTAGTTTTTTCCAACTCTGTGAAGAAAGTCAGTGGTAGCTTGATGGAGATAGCATTGAATCTGTAAATTACTTTGGGCAGTATGGCCATTTTCACGATGTTGATTCTTCCTATCCATGAGCATGGAATGTTTTTCCATTTGTTTGTGTCCTTTTTTATTCCCTTGAGCAGTGGTTTGTATTTGTCCTTGAAGAGGTCCTTCACATCCCTTGTAAGTGGGATTCCTAGATATTTTACTCTCTTTGTAGCAATTGTGAATGGGAGTTCACTCACGATTTGGCTCTCTGTTTGTCTGTTATTGCTGTATAGCAATGCTTGTGATTTTTGCACATTGATTTTGTATCCTGAGACTTTGCTAAATTTGCTTATCAGCTTAAGGAGATTTTGGGCTGAGATGATGGGGTTTTCTAAACAATCATGTCATCTACAAAGAGAGACAATTTGACTTCCTCTCTTCTTATTCGAATACCCTTTATTTCTTTCTCTTGCCTGACCGCCCTGGCCAGAACTTCCAATACTCTGTTGAATAGGAGTGGTAAGATTGGGCATCCTTGTCTTGTGCCAGTTTTCAAAGGGAATGCTTCCAGTTTTTGCCCATTCAGTATGATATTGGCTATGGGTTTGTCATAAATAGCACTTACTATTTTGAGATACATTTCATCAATATCTAATTTATTGAGAGTTTTTAGCATGGAGAGGTGTTGAATTTTATCAAAGGCCTTTTCTGCATCTATTGAGATAATCATATGGTTTTTGTCATTGGTTCTCTTTATATGATGAATTACGTTTATTGATTTGTGTATTTTGAACCACCTTGCATCCCAGATATGAAGCCAACTTGATCATGGTGGATAAGCTTTTTGATGTGCTGGTGGATTTGGTTTGCCAGTATTTTATTGAGGATTTTCACATCGATGTTCATCAGGAATATTGGCCTGAAATTTTCTTTTTTTTTGTTGTGTCTCTGCCAGGTATTGGTATCAGGATGATGCTGGCCTCATAAACTGAGTTAGGGAGGATTCCCTCTTTTTCTATTGTTTGGAATAGTTTCAGAAGGCATGGTATCAGCCCCTCTTTGTACCTCCGGTAGAATTCTGCTATGAATCTGTCTGGTCCTGGACATTTTTTGGTTGGTAGGCTATTAATTACTGCCTCAATTTCAGAACCTGATATTGGCTTATTCAGGGATTCAACTTCTTCCTGGCTTAGACTTGGGAGGGTGTATGCATCCAGGAATTTATCCATTTCTTCTAGATTTTCTAGTTTATTTGCATAGAGGTGTTTATAGCATTCTCTGATGGTAGTTTGTATTTCTGTGGGATCAGTGATGATATCCCCTATATAACTTTTTATTGCGTTTGTTCTTTTTTTCTTTATTAGTCTGGCTAGCAGTCTATTTTGTGGATTTTTTCAAAAAAAAAAAACAGCTCCTGGATTCATCGATTTTTTTGAAGGGTTTTTCGTCTATCTCCTTCAGTTCTGCTCTGATCTTAGTTATTTCATGTGTTCTGCTAGCTTTTGAATTTGTTTCCTCTTGCTTCTCTAGTTCTTTTAATTGTGATGTTAGGGTGTCAATTTTAGGTCTTTCCTGCTTTCTCTTGTAGGCATTTAGTGCTATAAATTTCCCTCTACACAGTTTTAAATGTGTCCGAGAGATTCTGGTACATTGTGCCTTCATTCTCATTGGTTTCAAAGAACATCTTTATTTCTGCCTTTATTTTGTTATTTACCCAGTAATCATTCAGGGGCCTGTTGTTCAGTTTCCATGTAGTTGTGTGGTCTTTAGTGAGTTTCTTAATTCTGCGTGCTAATTTGATTGCACTGTGGTCTGAGAGACTGTTTGTTATGATTTCCATTCTTTTGCCTTTGCTGAGGAGTGTTTTACTTCCAATTATGTGGTCAATTTTAGAATAAGTGCGATGAGGTGGTGAGAAGAATGTATATTCTGTTGATTTGGGGTGGAGAGTTCTGTAGATGTCTATTAGGTCCACTTCATCCAGAGCTGAGTTCGTCCTGAATATCCTTGTTAATTTTCTGTCTCATTGATCTGTCCAGTATTGACAGTGGGGTGTTAAAGTCTCCCGCTATTATTGTGTGGGCATCTAAGTCTATTTGTAGGTCTCTAAGACCTATCATTATGTAATGCCCTTATTTGTGTCTTTTGATCTATGTTGGTTTAAAGTCTGTTTTATCAGAGATTAGGATTGCAACTCCTGCTTTTTTTTTTTTTTTTTTTGCTTTCCATTTGCTCCTCCATTCCTTTATTTTGAGCCTATGTGCCTCTTTGTACGTGAGATGGGTCTCCTGAATACAGCACACTGATGGGTCTTGACTCTTTATCCAATTTGCCAGTCTGTGTCTTTTAATTGTGGCATTTAGCCCATTTACATTTGAGGTTAATATTGTTATGTGTGAATTTGATCTTGTCATTATGGTGCTAGCTGGTTGTTTTGCCCATTAGTTAATGCAGTTTTTTCATAGTGTCAATGTTCTTTACAATTTGGTATGTTTTTGCAGTGGCTGGTACATGTTTAGTGATTCCTTCAGGAGCTGTTGTAAGGTATGGCTGGTGGTGACAAATCCCTCAGCATTTACTTGTCTGTAAAGGATTTTATTTCTCCTTCCTTATGAAGCTTTATTTGGCTGGATATGAAATTCTAGGTTGAAAATTCTTTTCTTTGAGAACATAGAATATTGGCCCCCACTCTCTTCTGGCTTGTAGGGTTTCTGCAGATAGATCCGCTGTCAGTCTGATGGGCTTCCCTTTGTGGGTAATCTGACCTTTCTCTCTGGTCTAACTTTTTTCCTTCATTTCAACCTCGGTGAATCTGACGATTATATGTCTTCGGGTTGCTCTTCTTGAGGAGTATCTTTGTGGTGTTCTCGTATTTCCTAAATTTGAATGTTGGCCTCTCTTGCTAGGTTGAGGAAGTTCTCCTGGATAATATCCTGAAGCGTGACTTACAACTTGGTTCCATTCTCCCTGTCACTTTCAGGTACACCAGTCAAACGTAGAATGAGTTTTCACATAGTCCCATATTTCTTGGAGGCTTTGTTCATTCCTTTTTATTCTTTTTTCTCTAATCTTGTCTTCTCTCTTTATTTCATTAAGTTGATCTTCAGTCACTGATATCCTTTCTTCTGCTTAATCGATTTGGCTATTGATACTTGCGAATACTTCACGAAGTTGTTGTGCTGTGTTTTTTCAGCTCCATCAGGTCGTTTATGTTCTTCTCTACATTGGTTATTCTGGTTAGCAATTCGGCTATCCTTTTTCCAAGGTTCTTACCTCCTTGCATTGGGTTAGAACGTGCTCCTTTAGCTCAGAGGAGTTTGTTATTACCCACTTTCTGAAGCCTACTTTTGCCAGTTCATCAAACTCATTCTCCATTCAGTTTTGTTCCTGTGCTGGTGAGGAGTTGTGATCCTTTGGAGGAGGAGAGGTGTTCTGGTTTTAGAATTTTCAGCCTTTTTGCACTGTTATTTTCTAATTTTTGTGGATTTCTCTACCTTTGGTCTTTGATGTTGGTGACCTACGGATGGGATCTTTGAGTGGATGTGCTAATCCTTTCTGTCTATTTCTTTTCCTTCTAATAGTCAGGCCCCTCTGCTGCTAGTCTGCTGGAGTTTGCTGGAGGTCCACTCCCGACGCTGTTTGCCTGGGTATCACCAGCAGAGGCTGCAGAGCAGCAAAGATTGCTTCCTGTTCTTTCCTTTGGAAGCTTCAACCCAGAAGGGCACCTGCCAGATGCCAGTCAGAGCTCTCCTGTATGAGGTGTCTGTCGGCCCCTACTGGGAGGTGTCTCCAAGTCAGCATACACAGGGGTCAGGGACCCACTAGAGGAGGCAGTCTGACCCTTAGCAGAGCTCGAACACTGTGCTGGGAGGTCTGCTGCTCTCTTCAGAGCTTCCAGGCAGGGACTTTTAAGTCTGCTATAAGGCCCTGACTGGGACTGCTGCATTTTTAAAGAGGTACCCTTTCCAGAGAGGAGAAATCTGGCAATCTGGCCACAGCTGCCTTGCTGAGCTGCTGTGATCTCTGCCCAGTTAGAAGTTCCCAGCACCCTTGTTTACACTGTGACCTCAAACCGCCCTACTTGAGCCTCAGCAGTGGCGGACGCCCCTCCCCGTACCAAGCTGGACTGTCCCAAGTGGATCTCAGATTGCTGCTGTGTTGGCAGTGAGAATTTCAAGCCAGTGGCTCCTAGTTTCCTGGGCTCCATGGGGGTGGGACCCACCAAGCCAGACCACTTCGCTCCCTTGCTTCAGCACCCCTTTCCAGGGGAGTGAACAGTTCTGTCTCACTGGCATTCCAGGCACCACTGGGGTATGGAAAAAAAAGAGCTCCTGCAGCTAGTTCAGTGTCTGCCCAATTTGCCACCCAGTTTTGTACTTGAAACCCTGGGCCCTGGTGGGGTAGGCACAAGAGGGGATCTCCTGGTTTGTGGGTTGCGAAGACCGAGGGACAAGCGCTTTATCTGTGCGGGAATTCCTCAGGCTCAGACCTTGACGGCTTCCCTTGGGTAGGGGGAAAATTCCCCGACCCCTTGCGCTTCCCAGGTGAGGCGACACCCCACCCTGCTTCAACTCACCCTCCGTGGGCTGCACTCACTCTCCAACCAGTCCCAATGAGATGAAACAGGTACCTCGGTTGGAAATAAAGAAATCACCCATCTTTTGTGTCAGTCTTGCTGGGAGCTGCAGACCAATGCTGTTCCTATTCAGTCATCTTGCATCCACCACACATAAACTTTTTAAGGAATTAAATTTTAATTTTCGTTATGTTTAAAAATCTACTTATCACTCAACATTTATTTTAAACTGATAAATTAGATTTTTGTATTGTTTGGACAAGCTAATGGATATGATTGCACAAAGTCAGTTGTTCAAAAGTTACTGGATACCAATGTCATTTAAGATCTAAAATGTGATGTTTGCATCGTTAATCAGTGAAATTATATATTTGAAAAGGGAGGATGTGATCTTCAGAATGTCCTGCAAATCATTACTAAAAAACTCTCAAAATATTGTCTGAGGCCTGATAGATATTTCAGATGGATATTGGTTATTAGAATCTGTCAACAAAAGTAAGAACATCGTTTTTGTTTGCAGGGTATACATATTCCTGGGGAAAAGTACAAAGATATGGCATAACAGATTTGATGAAATTCATTTGCTTTTGCCAAAACAAATCTACAACATGATACAATGAACACCTACCCCCAAATTATTTTTCTTAACTACTGAAGCTTTTATATCTTGTGTGAATCAGTCATCCTGCCAGAACTGTTTAAGATGCTATATTTGGAGTTCAATATACATCGCTTGTCCACGTTTCACAGATAACACAGCTTTTCACCGAATTAAAGGATATGATAGCGATTCAAAGTGTTGCTTTGTTCTACATTTATATTCAAAATCCTTTGGGTTGCTTCAGAGCCTGAAATAGCTCCAAAAAGGCTGTAAAGAAATATAGATACTAAAAAAATACCTGAAATTAACTTAAAATTTTTTTTGAGACGGAGTCTCACTCTGTCGCCCAGGCTGGAGTGCAACGGCACAATCTCAGCTCACTGCAACTTCTGCCTTCTGGGCTCAAGCAATTCTCCTGCCTCAGCCTCCCAAGCAGCTGAGATTACAGGCCCCTGCCACTGCCCCCAGCTAATTTTTGTATTTTTAGTAGAGACGGGGTTTCACATGTTAGTCAGGCTGGTCTCAAACTCCCCACCTCAGGTGATCTGCCTGCCTCAGCCTCCCAAAGTACTGGGATTACAGGCGTGAGCCACCAGGCCCGGCTAAAATTTTAACTTTGTTTTGGAGCAAATAAAAGTGTTCATATAAACATTTATTTTGTTTGCATTTCTTCAGTCTTTGCTAGATCCTTCCAACCCTCTCTCCTCTCTAGCACTTTCTCATAATCGCCATCCTTCTGTTATGTTCAGAGGTTGACTGACATTGTTCAGTCTCCACAGAAAAATGGGGGAGAGAAAAAAAGAACAAACCAGAATCATCTTTAGCTAGTGGAGTGTGGGAAAGGAAGCTAGAAACACTCATTTATTATTACTCTTATGATGTAGGAAATTGAATAGCAGAAACTACACATCAAGCTGCTGAAAATAAATGCCAATACAATCTATGATTTTTCTATGGTTTTATGATCACTTTTCTGTGATGATAATACATTTTTCATATTTTAATTATGAGTACTCAGTTAATAATATTATCTGCTTTCAGCCAACATGAATATGTTTATGGCTCTCTCCAAGTAAGACTTGGTCTTGAGTTCTTATTTTTGAAATATTTTCGATAGCTAAAATGTAGCAGAGCTCCATTCATCATTGTGATGTGAAGTTTCACTTCAATTCAAAACTCGAAGCCACTAGAAAAATTCACATAATAAATAAACTAACATGACTCACGTTTAAACAGAAAGAAAGTAAGTGCCTGTCTGTCCTGTTGTGCTGATGCCTAAGAATTATTTTGAAATGAAAACTTAAAGCTTCTCTCTATATTAAAGCTTTATTTAACAAACTTAAATTGGGCTCTTTTGATGTGAGAGCACTCTTAAAAACGTTTGCTGTTTGAAGAAGAATTAAATATTTTCTTTTGCCACAAGGAATGCACAGTTCAGTACATATGTAGTCTATTAAAATGATCTAAAAGAAAACAACAAAGAAAAAGAATATAGGCTTCATTTTGACTTTTTATCATCTGGAATCATTCTCCAGAAAATAATTTCTGTGTTAGTTAATCAAAATTCGAAAAGAAATGCAATTCATGCAGTTATGTAATAATACCTTGCATTTTAAGATGCTATTAATACTTCTTGTTAACAAGAAACATCACACAGAGATCTGGACTCTAGGCTTAAATTTAACAAAAGTGTGACTTTCAGACCTGTGAACTTCATTTTCATCAACACAATCTTTTATTGCTTTGAGTGTAAATTATTTTGATCAATTTTTATGATTACTTTTTAAAGTATGTATTTGCCAATATTTTTTCCTATACAATTCCCTCTGAAGCGGCATCTTGAGGACAGTAAAGTGCTTCAGGTCTATTCATTCCAAAAACAGTGGTCATATTGTTTGCATTAATATATTTTTGCACTTTATCCTTGCCAGAGCCTCTTTTCTCAGTTTCATGACTAGTCTGTGAAGACTCATTGTCTCTCAATATATTTATTTTTCTTAATTGGATTCAGCTTCTGTTGCTGGTAATCAAAGAACCCTAATGAATGCAAGGTCATTAGGAGACCAAATATTTTGAAATGAAAAGAAATCTTGAAAAACAGAAGATAAAAAACAGATTGGTTCAGATTGACAGAGGAAACCAAAGCATATTTAGATGAGACTGTTTAAAAAAGTGGATGATTTCTAGGGAATGCCAAATCTGAGATAACAGATTAACAACAACAAAAAAACAGTAGGCTGCTCTAATGACAACCATCTGGACATTGTTTGGGGAACCATATTTACAGGACGCAATGGAACAATTAGATAGAAACGGTTAATTCTAGAAGATGTACATAAAGTAGAAAAGTGTTTTACATAGTTTTGTTTACACAGGCATATGAAGACATAAAAATACATTGGATCAGGTCAGGAAGGAGGCTAAGAAAAAATGATAGCAGTTGTTAATCTTGAGGGAAAGTGGAAAATGAAGCCATTCAGATGTGACATGAGATGTTAGATTTACATAACATATTTTGTACTGTTTGATATTTTAAAATGTGAATGGGTTCATCTTTTTTGGCATAATAAAAACCTCACCTTTTAAAAAATAAAAAATGTTTTAATAATTAAAAAATCAATATAGTATCTCATCTAGAGGTTTTTCTAGAAAGTAGGTGTTAATTATTACTTGTTACAGTGCATTCTGTAGGGTCTTTTGATTTTTTTACTTGCTTTTTAAAATTTTTTTATAAACATCTTTATAGATGTTTGTTATACAAAACACTACAGACATCTATGCAATTTGATGGGTTTGAACATACATATACAACTATAAATCATCATTACAATCAAGGTAAAAAAAAATCAAAACATATCAGTCATTTCCAAAATTCCTCCCTCTTCATCCTGTTTATTTTGTTGTTTGTTTGTCTGGTAAGAACACTTAGCTGGAGATCTACCCTAACAAATTTTTAAGTGTATAAAGCAATATTGTTAACTATAGGCATGATGCTCTACAGAAAATCTCTATAATTTAGTGATCTTACATAACTGATACTTTATACTAGTTGAACAACTCACTTCCTCCTCCTCTCATCCCCTCACAACCACCATTCTGTTCCCTGCTTCGATGATTTTGACTATTTTAGATAGCTTATATAGGTGGGATTATACAATATTTCCTATGACTGGCCTAGTTCACTTAGTATAATGTCCTCTAGGTTCATTAATATTGTTGCATATGGCAGAATTTCCTTCCTTAAAAAGGCTTAGTAATACTGTATGTACATACCATGTATTGCATTTTCATTATTTTACTTGACTTTTCTATTCAAATTGGACAGTTTCTAGCTATATACATAGATTCTCTGATTTCTTAAAAGTATTTTTCTCTTAAACAGTGTTTTTCATGGAATTGTATACAGAGAAGATGACAAATGAACTTTTAAATGCACCTAAATAATTTAAATCACCCCTTCCCCATTGAGGAATAATATTGCTAACACTGTTTAGTAGTTGTAGGTCTTAATTATGTCATGGAGATCTCACATATGTGACAAAGAAAGTGATTACAGATATTTTAGGTACCTCATGCCATTTGAGTCACAGAATAATTAACAAATAAACGACTGAATTCCTTTTCTACTGTAACTGTTTGCTGGAAATATTATATAATGATGTGCCTCTGTGCATATTTACTCAGCTTTGCATTCAGTGATGTCACGCTGGTAACTTGAAATCATGGTGGAAGCATTTATGCCTCAGCAATTAGAAAATACTATGGATCACGTCTTTTCCCCCTGAGAGTCAGTTATGAAATTTTACCAGCACCCCCCTGATCCAGCCTTGTCAAAATTCCCTTTTCTAGAGTGTCTTCTCTTTTCATTTCTCCCAGCTATAGGTGCTTGGCTCCATCTTCTTGCCCCATAGACTCTCTTTTCATTAACCTCAAATCTTAATTCTCTTATCACTTGTCACTTTGCAAGGAGGGCTACTCTGACACTCAGGTTGACTTAAGACCACCAATTAAATCTCATAGCACCAGGTATTCAATACAAATAATAATTGCAATTAAATATTTCTATGCAAATTCACTTTAATAGCATTCAAGAAATGTTATTGAGAATCTCTTTTGTGCCACACGCTGTTCTTGGTGCTGGGGGTAAAGCAATGAACAAAAGCAACACTGCCTCTATAGTCGTGAAGATTTTATACTAGTGGAGAAGGTAGGAAGACATCATGAAATGTATAATCTTTGGTGGAATTAAGTGCTCTGACAACCATAAAGCAGGTATCATGACAGAGATGCATAAGGATGATTCAGAAGTATTTTCTTCGGAAGTGGCATTTAAACAGAGAGGTGAATAAAGTAAGGGCATGAGCCAAATATACACTTTTGAGATCCGGCAGTCCTCCCACCTCAGCCCCTGAGTAGCTGGGACCACAGGTATGTGTTAACATGCCCAGGTTATTTTTATTTTAATTTTTGTAGTGACAGAGCCTCTCTTTGTCGCCCAGGTTGGGTCTTGAACTCCTGGCCTCAGGTGATTCTCCTGCCTGGGCCTACCAAGGTTCTAGGATTACAGGCATGAGCCGCCACAGCCCATCATATTTGTTGTTATGATCATTTGACTTTGGGATAATACATGCATTAAAGAAGGTTTTATTATGTGCTGCTGAAAGCGCTTAGCCTCTGAGTTAAATGGGATGATGCGCTTTTTAACTTTTGAAGCTGACTTTTTAAAAATAATTTTTATTTAGTAGAAAAGACCTGGAGATTATAAATAACAATAATAATAATTTGTTAAAAACAAGCACCCTGCCCAAATATAGAGAAAACCACTTTTGACATGTTGGAAAACAGCATTCTCCACCTGTCTGACTCTCTAACATTCTCATTTTCTCATCTGCCTCTATCTTTCTCTTTTTCTTTTTACACACAAACATATAGATACACAGACACACCTTACATGCACACTCACACACAGACACACATGCACATTCTGTCTTTATTTCCTTCTATCTTCCCATACCCATTTTTTTCATCAGATAATATTCGGACTCTTTTTATAACAAAGTTATAGACATGAATTATCAATAAAATATATTACATGTGTAAACGACACACAGCCCTCCCTTGGCACTTATGGGGGATTGTTTTTAGGTTCCCCCATACATATCAAAATCCACAGATGCCCAAATTTCTAATATTTTCAATGTTTGGCTGGTTGAATCCATGGATGCAGATGCCATGGATACTGAGGACCAATTGTACATGTTTTCATGTACCTACTGGGATTAAAAAATAATTACAAAGCCAAGTCTCACATTATTTACATTTGGAGCAAATTTTAAAAATAGAAATAAAAACACAATCCACCTAAAAATACTTCTATAACAGTAGAGCACAATAAAGTCTACTCTTTCCCATATTTTTATTATAACTTACTTTCTCCCATAGATTTCAGAGTCCATAGTTGGAAAAATACCTAGATGGTGAAGAAACACTTTAGAAAATTAGCAACCAAAAATCTTGATTGAATCTTTTATTTCAACATTTATTATTTCTTCTGGTCAGAAAATACTATGTATTTCTAACTTTCATTGGCTGCCTCATATTAGTTTGGTGAAAAGCGGAATTAAAGGAAAAACTGCATCGACCAATGCAAATGTTTTGGCATCGTAAGAAAAGAGTAGGCTGGGTGCAGTGGCTCATGACTGCAATCCCGGCTCTTTGGGAGGCCAAGGTGGGAGGATGGCTTGAGGCCAGGAGTTTGACACAAGCCTGGACAACACAGTGAGAATTCATTTCTACAAACATAAAAAATAAATTAGCCAGATGTGGCAGCACAGGCCTATGGCCCCAGCTACTCAGAAGGCTGAGGTGGGGGGATTGTTTGAGCCTGTGAGGTCAAGGTTACAGTTAGCTGTGATCACGCCACTGCAGTCAAGCCTGGGCAACACAATGAGATTTTGTTTGTTTGTTTGTTTAATAGAAAAATTAAAAAGTCAAACATAGTGCTACCAGAAAATATAGATTATTCCCAAAACATGACTCTTAATTCTTCTATAGATGAAAGATTTCTGCAAAAATAAGTAGCCAGCCACATAAAACTATGTATAGCATACAAAGCTACATAAAACCTATTGAAAGCCTCTGTTTTATTTGTAGGATAGGAAAATTCAAGTAAATGTTCAAAAGACATTTTCATTTGTATGTATATAAAAAAGCAACATAAATGTCTCTCATATCTGCAAAAGTATATGATTTCATATGTTGAAATAATTCTCAGAATTGTCATTTCCTTCCTATTCTTAAAATAATTTCAAGCTAAATGTAGTCTTAATAAGAATTAGCCAGTTTATTCATTAAAGAAATTTAAGCAACATTATATTCCTTTTCTTATCAGTATTTTCATTAGCATTCAACCAAATGAAAAAAAGTATTAATTAATTATGATATTTTGTATAAATGGCCTAATAACAGAAATTAAAATACCATTTACAAAGATGCTCATTATGATATTCATGGTAATTATTATCACAATGATGATAAAGTCTTCAAGGGAAAGTTGCTTATGTAAATTGGTCTCTGTTTGAGAAAGGAGGAAAGATGTACTGCATTGATAAAAACTGCCACACCAAAAGTTAAAACTGAGAAAGTTGTGGTTGCTAAAAAACAAGACTGAGGTTTGTGGACAATTAATTTGTCTTGACTATCTCATTCAATAACGTTGCCAGATTAATGAAGCAGTTTTTGCATTTTTTTTTTTTTTGAGAAGGAGTCTTGCTCTGTTGCCCAGGCTGGAGTGCAGTGGCTTGATTTCCGTTCACTGCAAACTCTGCCTACCAGGTTCAAGCAATTCTCCGCCTCAGCCTCCTGAGTATCTGGGATTACAGGTGCTCACCACCACGCCCAGCTGATTTTTGTGTGTTTAGTAGAGACAGGGTTTCACCACGCTGGTCAGGCTGGTCTCCAACTCCTGACGCCATGATCCGCCCGCCTTGGTCTCCCAAAGTGCTGAGATTACAGGCGTGAGCCACCACACCTGGCCAGTTTTTGCCATTCTTAATGAGCAAAGACCTTTTATACTGATGGAAAGTCCCCAACTCTAATTCTTTTCACAACTCCTGTTTGTTAGCAAGAATGTAGATGGAGTTACCCTTATGAGTGAAAAAGGAGACAGAGAGAAAGAGGCAAAGTATTTCCATTTACGAAGTCTCCCATATAAAAGTGTATAGATGCTAATTTTCATGTTCATTTTCTATTTCTTTTTCTGGTAGTTTTATATTAGTGTGAGAAAGTTCTAGCTAATTTATTCTAAAGAGACTTTTTCTTAGCACGTTTGAAAAAAATTACTACAGACTTGCATAAATATCTTTAAATAAACATTATATTTTACACTGAAAATTTAGAGATGTTTGTTGCTTACTTCCTTATATTTACTTATCCACCTTTGGAAATTCTGTTATTACTTTGATGTTTCAGAAAACAATTTTGGGGCATATTCACCTTAAAAAACTATTTCTTTCTTAGGTTTTCTTTTTAGTGAAATTATATAATGAAACTAATATTTGTTGAACATCATGTTTGAACATATTTAAAATAAATTATTACATTAATGATAGTTAGAACTACTATATATATCCATGAAATATAGTTCTTTAAAGGATAAAGAACTATATTTGTCATGTTACAATTTGATGAGAAGTTTTGTAAATAGCATGAAAAACAGTGTCTTTGTTTTTCTATCAATTTCATGGAAGCAATAGCTGGAGTTTTGCAAGATATAGATTTTTATTGTTTAACAAAACTGAAAAATTCAATAACTGCAAAATAATTTTGAATATACAGGGATGTTTCATTTCCAAAATGTCAGTTGAAAAATAAGACAGGAGCTGAATAAAAGAAGAATGACAAATGATTAAAAATTTTGAATTAAGTATGATTAGTTTTAAGAGCAACCACGACTCCACTTTGGATTTATACCCTTTGAAATTTCTCCCTCTGTTGATGCTATGGGCTTGGTTAATGGAGGCTTCTGTGAACAGAGATCAAGATTAGGTTATTCAGCAAAGGATTTATAGGTGGATACCTTTAAGATTAGGTTTCTGAGTGATAACTTGGGCTTTTTTTCTAGGTTTTACACCTAGTTTGAAACTTTTATTCTTTTTCTGAGAACATGACTCAATATTAGAATGCTGCCATTTTTAAATATTGTGGATGAAATGATGAGGATATAAACATGAAAAAATGTAATATTTTAAAAATCGAAACTGGTCAGGCGTAGTTGTTCACACCTCTAATCCCAACAATTTGGGAAGCTGAGGTGGGCGGACTGCTTGAGTCAGGGAGTTCAAGACGAGCCTGAGCAACATGCGAGATCCTGTATCTGCCAAAAATACAAAAAATAGCCAGGCACGGTGGTGTGCGTCTGTGGTCCCAGCTACTCCGGAGGCTGAAGTCTCTTGAGCCCGGGGACGGGGTGGAGGTTGCAGTGAGTCGAGATCACACCACTGCACTCCACCCTGGTGAGAGAGTGAGACCCTGTCTCAAAAGAAAAAACAAACAAAAAAAATCTAAACTTTGATGTACAGAAATTCTTACTCCAGAACTTTAGAAAACAAAAAAGGAAAAAAGAACCAGGTGACAAAGATTAACAATTCCAGAAATTCTGAGAGGATCTTGGGGACAGAGATCTAGTGGTATGTCAGTTAAAGGACTTGTGCTGATTTATTAATTATGTAGCAAGTACACAATTTATATTTAAATTGTTTATTTTTAATTGATGTGAGACTAATGGAGATTAATTTGTAGTAGCCAGGTCAGGAGTGGAGGAGCTAAATTCCTGCCATCCCTTGCTGAACTGTTCAGATAACATATTTTGCAAGTACTTACCAATTACTGTTTTAATTTAAATTAAAATGCAACTTTAGCATTTAGAAAGTTCTCTCTCTGATATTATTTTTATTAGGATTTACAAGAACTCTGCGATGATGTAGGGTTATTATTAATTTAGTATAAAAGTGAATAGAATCAGTGATAAGGCCACCCGAGTTCTTTCCCAATTCAGGGTTTGCACCAAACGTCTTTTGTCTGTATTGTCGGTATCATTGTGACTCGTTAAACAAGTGCTTTTTGTCTCACAACTGTTTTTAAATTTCATGGAGGGGTTTGTATTTCTTCCATTAGAATATTATTTCGATTTCTGCTATTTTACTTCATTGATCTTAGACTGTCATAAATCCAGGATACTTAACATGGAAAAAGACAATCGTCCTTTTGTAATGTTTAGAGGCAGAGTGGATCCAGAGAAAAATATCAAAGCCTTCAAATTTGTCAAAGATATTTTTTTTAAGTCCAAACTCTCAAGGGGCTTGTGAAAGCTCATCTGTTCCTTTCAGCAATCATGAAGATCAATACTTATTTCAGGTGCTGCTGATCGCGTGGTTATCTGCATCAATCATCAAGATGGTCACCAGGAACAAATCAAGCACAAGGGAGCTATTTCATTTTACCTGTGATTTAGAATGAAATATGATGCATATCAATCTTTGCGTTCATGCCAAAGGCTGCCATTACAAGCACCAGTCATATTTTAATAATATTAAATGCAGTTTTAAACTTCCACCACCAAAACTGTAAATGTTCACATTAACCTTGGTTAATAACCCAGAGGTAACTGTGATAGTAACTAAAATAAAGTATTTTGTTCAAAGTTAGAAAGAAGGTAGAAATGGAAAAGTACAGCTAAATTTTAAAATCCTGATACACATTCTTATATATTATTTACAGGTATATAGAAACATTTACTAAAATATTTAAGAAGGTTACATGCCAAATATCAAATAAGGTTCTCTAAAGCAAACTCACAAATGGGGAGGAGCGAGAAAGTCAGAGAGAGACACAGAGAGAGAGACAGTCTGTGGTGAAGTCAAATCCACTTATACATTATGAGAGCATCTTTTCTCTTGGGTGCTAGTCTCATATTTTAGCAAAGTCATTCTATACGGTTTTCTTCCAGATATACATAATATGAATGATGTTCATGTGTTTATATGGGGCACATATTCATGGGTATCTCTGGAGTATATAAAATATTTGAGCTTTCATACGTTTTCAAAACAGCATATCAGAATGAAAGTGGGAGAGAGGCAGTGGTTTTTCTTTTTTTATTCTTTTTCTTTTCTTTTCTTTTCTTTTCTTTTCTTTTTTTTTTTTTTTTTTTTTGAGACGGAGTCTCACTCTGTCACCCAGGCTGGAATGCAATGGCGCGATCTCTGCTCACTGCAACCTCTGCTTCCCAGGCTCAAGCGATTCTCCTGCCTCAGCCTCCAGAGTAGCTGAGATAACAGGCGTCCACCACCACACTTGACTAATTTTTTGTATTTTTAGTAGGTACAGGGTTTCACCATGTTGGCCAGGCTGGTTTTGAACTTCTGACCTCAAATGATCTGCCCGCCTTAGCCTTCCAAAGTGCTGGGATTACAGGGATGAGCCACTGCGCCCGGCCAGCAGTGGTTTTTCTAAATAAATTTGGTATTTGATTCACTATAACAAAAATCATTGTAATTTTAACAACATTAACATGTGGTATGTACACACAATAGAATACTATTCAGCCATAAAAAGAAAAAAATCCCGTCATTTGCAGCAATACAGATGAGCCTGAAGGACATCATTGAGCAAAATAAGCCAGGCACAGAAGGACAAATGTCTCATGTTCTCAGTTGTATGTGGAAGCAAAAAGAAAATGATCTCATAGAAGTAGAGCATAGACTAGGTAGACTGGTGGTTACTAGAGGTAGGAAAGGTTTGGGGTGGAGGATGGGGACAGCCAGAAGTTGGATAGCAGATACGGCTAGTTGGGAGGAAAAAGTTCTAGTGTCCTATAGCACTACTGGGTGACTGCAATTAATAACAATTTATTGTATATTTCCAAATAGGCAGATAAGTGGATTGTGAATGTTTATACACCGGCACTTTGGGAGGCTGAGGCGGGCAGATCAAGAGGTCAGGAGTTCGAGACCAGCCTGGCCAACAGGGTGAACCCTCGTCTCTACTAAAAATATAAAAATTAGCCCGGCATAGTGGCACATGTCTGTAATGCCAGCTACTCAGGAGGCTGAGGCAGGAGAATTGCTCGAACCTGGAAGGCGGAGGTTGCAGTGAGCCAAGATCGTGCACTGCACTCCAGCCTTGGGTGACAGGGCGAGACACCATCTCAAAAAAAAAAAAAAGAATGTTTACAACACAAAGCAGTGATACATGTTTGAGGTAATGCAACACAAAGCAATGATACATGTTTGAGGTAATGGGAATACTAATTATCCTGAACTGATCAATACATGTTGTATACATGTATTGAAATATCACACTGTACTCCATAAATATGTATAATTATTATGCATCAATTATATATAATAATTTTTAAAGAAATATAGAAAAGCAATGAGATCTGTTAGATGAATTTAGGGAATGTAATTCTATAGTAACAAATGATCTGAATGTAACACTGCTGTCAGAGTTTCTAATTTTCATTTCTGTCTTCTCCATGGTTATTCTTTAGAGGTATGCTAGAGTCAGAAAAATGCAGGTCAGCAATGAATTAGCATGGATTAAGTTGTCAATCACAATAGATACTAGAGTGAAAAAGGTTCTAGCATGTTGAAAATTATTCCTTTGAGATATTTGAAACAGAAAGGCCAGACAACAGCAAGATATAGCTACAACTCTGTGAGATGTATAGTCCCAGGGGTTCACTTTAGTATTATTACAAGTTATTGTGAAGAAGATGCTGTAAGTATTACACTGGAGGAAGATGAAAATAGCCCATTTGGTTATGAGTGAACAATTCAAATGACTGTGAGCACACACTGATTAAAGTGATATCAGACTGTCAAATGCTTTTCAGCTGCAGCATATTTATATTACCTACTTAGCTTTTTTCAGTGTGAAAATGCAGTTCACAATAGTGTATGAATTAATGACTTTTGTTTGTTATTTTTCTGATTTTTGGCATTTTCCCCTTGCTTGGGTCATTTGTGCACTATTTGGAAAGACACACAAACACAGACACACACACACACACAGGAATTATCTATGTTTTCTTCATCTCCAGATGATATAGACTTCTGACTCATATCTGCAAATGTAATGACCAAAAATAAGGAGAGAAGTGTTAAGAGAATGTAGGTGTAAGCTTTTCTATTTCTCACAAACAAGTTGCAGAGATGTGGCATGTGTTTTCCCACATTGCAAAATGTAAATGGGATTTTTTTTTCATTAAGTTAAAAACAAGAAGGATCTTACACCATGCTTTTACAACTTGTTGGAAATAAACTTCACTTATTACCAGAAAAATGCTCTGTGAAGTTCTGGAGACAACAATAATATCGAGTTGTGACTAAGTGATTGCATTTAACATGTCTGCATCAAAGAAACTAAAGCCATAGCATTTGGCTTTGAATGTAAAGGTAGAAGGATAAACAGAAAGGATGAAGGAATCTCATTGTTATCTTTAAAATAATTTTATCTCCAATTAATTGTCCTTATTTCTGACTATACTAAAAGGAGCTGGGCAATTTCTGTCTTGCAAATCCCTGTGGAGCCCTGCCCACGTTTATTGACATTAAAAAAAAAAGTTTTGGTTTTAATGATCAAATGTGAACTTTGTTCTGTTGTTTTTTGTTCTCTTCTTATAATTTATTTTTAATTTTATTAACTTATTTTCAACTTTTTTTGTGTTTCTTATCTAGTTCCTTGTTTCAATTCCCAGCCATTTTATTTTAATCTTTCAATTTTATTTTGATCGCTATTTATGTTTTCATTTTATCAAAGTATTCATATATTTCATATTTAACAAAGAAAAGAAGCTTTTTCCTTCCATATTTTCTCCACTCCAATTCTACTTTCTAGGGGAAAAAAGTCACTTTTAACTTTGTTAAGCTATTTTTTTCTTATATTTTTATTTGGGTCTCTCCTTTTTGATCAAGTATTACTCACTTATATCTCATACGCAAAACTGGAGTTTCTTCCAGATGCTGACACACAGTCTGATAATCGATAATTCTCTATTTTGTTATTGTTGTTTATTTCCTGGAGCTATCCTTCTTGAAGTCCTCTGTCGCCCTACTTCAATCTGGACTCAGCCTCATAGGACAGCTGAACAGCTGGAATCTCAGAAGTTTGCATCACTTCTCCCCTGGTTGGAACCTCTTATATTTTGGGTTTCATTTCTTCCTGTAAGTTACAGTCTTGTTTTTCAAAAGCACGTCTACCAGCAGTCTCCTAAAAATAAGTTGAAAGGAGGCAGAAGTATTTGTTCTTGATATTTCTGAAAAGATCTGTATTCTGCCTGCACTTGGATTAATAATCTGGATGTAGAATTATACCTAATACTTTTGTTCAAAAATTTAAAAACATTGCCTTTGTTTTCTGTTGGAAATGTGATACTATTTTATTCTCATTTCTTGATATGTGATCTGTTTTATTATCCTTTTATTCCCTCTAGAAACTTTTAGGTTTTTTTAATCCACACAGTTCCGAAAATTAACAATATTTTATCTTATTAACATAAGGCTTTCCTCATTCACATTATTGGAAAATGTGACATTGGTTCGTTTCTAATGAACCTCCGCCTTGCAGACACTGTGTGTTACCATTTCCTTCACTCTGCTAAACAAGTTAATACTTTTCCTATGAATTTGTATCTTCTAAACAGGATAGCATACTAATTTTCCAGGCTAAAGTCCCCTCCAATTCCAGATTTGGAAGTGTCCCTTGAGGAATTTTAGCAACTAAGTTTTGCTAGCAACTAGGATGGTTTGATAGTTTTTGTTTACTTAGACTCAAGGTGATTGCAAAAGGAAAATGAGGAATGGGCCACCTCAGCAAAATTCTTGAATGACACTGACCCTTGTCTAAATTGGACTGACCCAGGTCTAAAGAGAATGGATACAACTGTAGACTGACCAAGTTTATTTTTAATGTTCCACCACTTATCTGTCAAAGATGCCCCCTACTTTAAAAATTATTATTTGTCCTGCGTTCTTAGTTCTTTTTAGGTTGGAGAGGGGAGGATGAACATATGTAATAGTACCTTGTACAGTTTAAGCAGCACTTCGTGTGCAGGAATTTGGCTTTCTGTTTCTTATATTCTTGAAATGTAAAAGTCAAACAAAGCAAAACAAATGACAAAAAGGACAAAAAAATGCATACACATCCACTTTTATAATATATGTGGTTTGTTGTTCTTTGCTATCAGAAAAGACTAGTAGGATAAATAAAAATCCATAAGAGGTAGATTAATCAGACAAATTGATCATTTTGGCTAATGTTAGATAATAAATTATTTTTCTTCAGGAAAACAAACAAATAGTTAACCTGGGTGAAATGTTCGTATATATCCAAACAATAGGTCCATTACAGTTAATAAACAAGTAAAGAATATTTAACATAACAAATCATCAAATGAACACAAATTTTAGCAAACAATTTGTAAAAAGAATTGTGAATAATGAAAATATTGTAGTTAAGTGGTGCAATATCAATAAATAGCCCTAAACAATTAAGTATTTGTTTAAACAAACTTTTAGAAAAACAATTGGTGATTTAATTCAAGATTCTTTAAAACTTTCATATACTTTGAACAATAACTTTCTTTTCTAAAGTAATATTTCCTAAAGTAATATTCAAAAACGAAGACAAATATAAAGATTGTAAGATATTCTTTGAGGCATCACTTGTTATTGGAGCCACCTACACATGTAGAGACAGAACTAGAAGAAATAAAGTTTGGTAAATCTATGAAACAGAATATCATTACACAGCAATCAATGATGTTTATGAAGAACAGTAAGTGAAAATAAGCAGAATACGTCTGTGTATATAACTTCTAGCAAATTGATTACCATAAATAGATGATTTTTTCTTCTTTAAAACTGTCTATATGTTATATATTTCTTCAATGAATCTTAATGTCTTTTCCAATAAAAATAACTTTTTAAAAGGGAGAAAAGCTGGTAGGATAAATACAAAACTATTACTTTTAAGGGACTGAAAGTGTGTCATTAAAGAATGACATTTCATGTTTTATATACTATATGTTTACTGATTTATTTATAACGATAATATATTTATTCATTGCTTGTATAATTAATTTTTATATAAGAAAAGAACGTGTTATACATTTTATAGAGAGAATATAAAATTTAATCTTCACTGGCCTGATCCAAGTATATTTTTATATGAGTTTTTTTATATATGTGACATATTTGATACATCTTAATATTTGAGGATAGTTTCAATATAATCAACCTGTCCATGAAGGATCATTTATTTCTACTTCAAGGCAGCCTTCCTATGAATACTGAATATTCTATTAATTAAATGAATTAAATCCTTTGAGGTCTGGAGAAAAGCCAGAGATAGAAAGAGATGATTATATTAATCTTATGTTTGAAAAGATTCAGAAGACAAACCATGAATATAAAACGTGTAATCTCTATGCATCTCAAACTACTCTTAATAGAGAGGAGCAAGGGAATGGACAGATAATTCAAAAGGATTAGATGATTTCTGAAAGAAAAATCATGTACTTAAAAGAATTTTTGATGAATATACTGTTTTATCTGATGAATTCATTGGTCATAAAACTTCCGGACTTCTAAAGCCAGTGTCATGCGTATGAAGGAGTGGAGCTATCTAACACCAAACTTCCTGTTCCTCGTTATCTGTCTCCTCTAACCCATCAAACCACTGCTTTCCGAAGCATCAGCCATGTTTCCAGCTGAAATTGCTCCATCCTTTAATCTCCAAGCCATTTATCTCATGTTCAATCCCCAAACCCTATCCTTCTGTCTTGAATCACCACTGCTATTTTTAGGATGGCCTGTTGACTTCTCTATTTGTTCTTATTCCTCCTTATTCTACCGTATACACTTTGGTTCCTAGTAATTTTAGAAGCAATGGGAAGTAACTTCAATTTGTATTCTGCCCACACCTTGAGAGCCCAACTTGACCCAGCTGTGGACAAAGCTGACTATTCATCTTCTCAATGCCTGCATCTTGGTTGCTGAGCCAAGGCAGAGAAAATGAATCAAAAGGGCACTCTGATTGTCCCTAACTATTGGTCACTGATGTCCACAGGTCACAATGTTCAGCATTGAAATTTACTGTTTCTTATTTCTACCCAATAATCACATCCAGAACTGACTAGTTCAAACACTGTTGGCTTATTTCATACATTTAAGCCTCTCATACTTCATAATCCTACCCCTGTCTGGTACCTTACAGAGACAATAGACATTATCACAGCAAACAATTTAATTTTTTTAAACTTCATCAAATGTTCCCACTTTTGCACCTACTCTTTTCCTATCTCTGGCTCTAATGGAAGAAACATTTCTCTCAAGGGCCAACTCTGTCACCTGTGCCTCCTTGTGCTCTGGATACAATTCTGTCACCTTCTCAGGAAACGTATTCCCAAACCTCACCTCCTCTTGCCCTCACTCTCAAAGTTTAAATATTCTAATTTTTTTTCTGAGAATGATATTTCCTTTTCCAGAAGTTCCACTGTGCTCTGAATCTCCCTCCTACTACATTTCTTTATCTCTCAACTTCTCAGTGTCAAACTTATGTTTTAAAAAGGAGTAAACTACACTTGTCTTGATTTACTCACCTCTCAATCTAGCTACTTTCTAAATCTACTTCAAAAAAGGGATTCTACTCCCATTAGGCCAGGGAAAGTGCTCCTGCCAAAGTTATCAAGAACTCCATGTTGCTAACAGACATGTTTCTTGATCTATCCTACTTGATCTCCCAGCAGGACTTGACACAGCTTTTCACTCCCTTTTTCTGTAAAATATTTCCCCCAGGTTTCTGTAACATTTTCTTTTATTCTCTTTCCTTTTTCCTTTACTAGGTATTCTTATCACTGTATTCTTTGTGGGCTTAGGCAATTCTAGGTGAGTATTTATGACTTCTCAAGGACTTTGTTCAGTGGTTTGTCATCTCTTTTCTCCCCTACATTCTCACCCAAGTCTCTCTCATGCACTAAATAGATAGATAGATAGATAGAGGAAAGAGAGATTAATACAATATTATATGCACATAATACTATACATATATATTCCTCCTGAATGCATATGTCATCTCCTGTAAGCATTTATCTGATTTCTTCTTCAATATTTCCCTTTAGAAGCCACATATTCAGAAGCTGAATTCACTAATTTATCTATTCAGAGTCTCCCAGTGTTCTTTACCTCAGTAAATGGTGTTGATATCTACTACCACCCGTGTACCCAAGTAAGCAGGGGTCCTTTCCAAGCCTGGCTGCTGAAGGAGCCTCACATATTTGATCATCTTCCTCAAATTCTTCAAATTATTTCTCTCTCCAGTGCTGGGGACTGTCTCAGTGTCAGCAGTGTCATTTGGGCAGAATGCACTGAATCTGAACCTGGCTTCACTGGACCTCATCAGACATGGGTCCCAGCGTTCCTGTCTCAGCATCTTCATCTCTGCTTCCATAATTGACCTTATGCCATAAGCAACTCAATTCCAGGAGGGCATTCATGTAAACAGACCACTCTTGCTATCCCGTGTAGTTATTTGTTTTATGGGATTGTTTGACACTAGACTGCCAGAATGGTACTGACAGGCTGATTTTGGCTGTCTGATTTTGGTGATTCTCCTTCATGTTTCACACCAGGATAAGTTCAGGGCTCTGAATACCCATGATTCATCACCTACTTTTGAATTTAAGTTGCATGTATGTGGACCCATGGGTTGGTTCTCACCCATTTGTGTTCCACTGTGGTGCTGTCTCTGGTCTTCAGCACCCCAGTGTGGCTGGGAAGGTGGCAGACATCCTTTACCATGTGAGCTCTCAGCTGCCTGCACCCAGGATGCTCACCCCATTCCTGCCATGGGCTCTATTACCACAAGTAATCTCTAGGTACAGATGATTTATCTGGTAGATTCTAATTCTATCAAATCTTTAAGTGATAAAAGGTATTAATCTTAGACAAACTTCCAAGAATAGAGGAAAAAAACAGAAAAAAGTCATTTTCTGTTTGCAGTCAGTGTTTACCTACTACTGAAACTGAGGAATGTGTTAAAAGGAAATTAAGTTGCATAACAATATTTCTCATGATTTAAAATGCATATTTGCTTAAAATATACTAAGGAATCAATTGAAATTAATTACAATTATTTCAAAAAAATGATACATGTGGTTTGTCATAGGAATGTAAGCTTGGTTTAACCTTCAAGAAATTAATTGACCATGTTAATATAAAAAAGAGGTAAAAATATATGCTAGTTTGAATAAATGTAGAATATAATGTTATTCATTTAAAACCATCAATAACAATAAACTTAGAAAATAAAGAACAGAGTCAGCCTGAAAAAGGATATCCACAACAATCTCACTCTTGCCAACATACTTAATGGGGGAATGAATGAATACTTTCATCATAAGATTGAAAAAAAGGAAAGGATATACACTTTCTCTATTTCCAACGGAATCTTGGAGGTACAGTGCAATAGGTCATAAAAAGAAATAAAATTTGTAAAAATTAGAAAAAAATAGGTAAGTATATCTATAATTCTATGCATAGAAATTCTAACAAATGTACACAAAAGAAACTAGAACAGTGAAGCAAATTCAAGAAGGGCACAAAATACAAACTCGATACACAAGTTTATTTTTAATTTATATATATGCTAGCATTAATAACCTGGAAGATGAAAAGGCTTACATTAAAAAGGCTTACAATGGCATCAAGAACATAAAATTCTTAAAGATAAATTTAACAAAATATCCACCACACCTGTGCATATAAAACTACAAAGCTTTGCTGAGAGAAATTTATGAAGACCTAGAAATCTGAAAATATGCCACATTCATGGATTCGATGACTCAGTATTGTTAAGGTATCAATTCTTCCCAAATTGACTTAGAGATTCAATGCAATGCCAATTAAAATCCAGTAAAAAGTTTTCATAGAAACAAGCAAACTTATTTAAAAATATGTGATCACACAATGGAAACTAGAAGAGCACAAATGATTTCAAAGAAGAACAAAGTTGAATGACTTAAATTGCATGGTTTTCGAGATTAGGTACAAAGTTACTGTAATAAATGCAGTTTGGCATTGACATAAGGATAGACATATAGATCACTGTAACAGAATAGAGAGTCCAGAAATATACCAACACATATAAAGTTGATTGATTTTCAACAAAGGCAGCAAGAAAATGTAATGGTTGAAAAATAATATTTAAGGAAATAGTACTAGAACATCATCATAATTTAAAAGTAAACCTCTACCCTTCTCTCAAATAATATACAAGTTTCTCATGAAATGAATCATAGATGTAAATGTAAGAGATAAACTTTTTACATTTCTAGAAAAAACCATAGGAGAAAAACTTTACAACTGTAAGCTAGCAAAAAAATTTTAAATATGGCTAGCAAAAATGTCATAGAATGAACTGTAAAATAAAAACTAATTGGATTTTATCACAATTATAAACATCTTTAAATGTTACCTTTTAATATGAAAGGCAGAAGGCAAGTTACAAATTAGAAAAAAATTCATAATTTATATATCTGACAAATAACTTGTATCAAGAATATACAGAGAATCCTTACAATTCAATCCTAAGAATTCCATTTCAAGAGGAAAAATATTTAAACATATGCTTTAAAAACAGATGTACAAATCAGCCAATAAGCATATGCAAAGATATTCTATATCATCAGGGAACTGCAACCAAAAATATGGTACAAGTTCACACCCAGTACACTGGCTAAAACTAAAAAACACTAGCAATACCAAGTATTGATAAAAATGTAGAGCAACTGGAACTTCAACATATTTTTAGCAGGAGCACAACGCTGTATAATATTTTAACAGTTCTTATAAAGTTAAACATAAATTCAGCATATAATACAAGGACTCCACACCTAGGTATTTGCTCAAGATCCATGATGGCGCATGTCCACACAAATACTTATAAATGATTGTTCTTTGCAACTTTATGTATAAAGCTGGCAAAAGTGGCCATAACTCAAATGCGCAACAACTGAATGGATAAAAATGTTGGTACAATCATGTATGAGAGAACTGCTCGGCAATATAAAAACGTGCAGTACTGGCTGATACACACAATAATATGAATAAATATTAAAAGCAATATGCTGAGTGAAGGAAAACAGATGAAGAAAACTATATAATCTATAGCTTTCCTTTTATATGAAATTCTAAAAAAGATAAAACCAATCTATATTTACAGAAAGTAAATAAGTAATTGTCTAAGACCGGTGGTAAGGGAGAATTTACTACGGGGGTCAGTAGGAAACTTTGGTGGTGATGGAATTGTTCTATAATTGATTGTGGTGATAATATTGCTAGAAATTCATTGATCTGCACAACTAAACTGGCTGTATTTTCTTGTATGTAAATTACACCTCAATAACATTGATTAAAAACAAAGGAAAGATGTAGTAAGAGAGCTAATAATATATATCATTTGAAGATTTTTTAGTTTATTTTAAAAGAGAACATGATCTTCTGGTGATGAATTTCAAGTTTCAGTTGTTGGGATTCTATTACCAAATATCCAACTAGCTTGGGATATGACCTGTACAAAACCGCTTAACTGCTTTCTTTCTAATTTCTTCCTTTCAATAAGAGAAAATTTCTAGTCTTAAAAATAGACTCATGATTCCTTTAGTAATTGAAGTCACAATATATCCTGTAATGTCAGCTTATTTTCTATGGCATCCCAAACATATTTGGCAAGCAGAGTCAATAAAATACTTTTCCCCATGTGGATGTAGGGAACCAGAGCATACAATTAAAGTGTAGATTAGCATGAGGCACTTCAAAGAGAAGTTTAGTATTCATCATAATTTCCTTTTTGTCCCTTAAACTATATTTCCAATGATGATATACTCTCGATAGTGTGCTTTGTCCTCATATAGAACAACTCTCAGTTATCCTTTATGACATAAAGCACCCTGAAAACACATTGCTCTATGTACTAAAACTGTGTGCATTTAATGGGCACAATTTTGTTGTCATGGAGGTTACAATGATCTAGGAACTTTGATTCACTAGGACTTGAAAGAAGAGACTAGGGCAAAAACAAGCAGACATACAATTTTAATCTTATCCTATGCATCAAGATAGAAGGTTCATAAGTTTTTTATATTATAAACATCTAAAATTCATAAAATCCAAATAACTGGATTAGATAACTGGATTCAGTCAATTCAATGTATGGTATTTTAGAACTTTAATATCTGAAGTTGTACTTAAAAATAGTAATTGTTGTATTTTTCTGATAAATGATGTCAAATTATGCCTTAGGTAGTCTACGGCCGCCCTATTTTCTCTTCTATATAGAAATCCCTTCCCTTCTTGTTTAGACTACTGCAATTACTTACTTCCTAACTGGTTTTCCAGATTTCAAATTTGCCCCTCCTTACAATGCATTTTCCAGGCAGCAGCAGGAGAAATCCTTTTAGCATGTAAATCAGGCCATGATAAAATTTTGATTATACTCGCTTTGCAGAGTAATTGAAATACAATACAAACTCATCATTTTAGAGCCAATGATCTGGCCCCTGCCTGCATTTTGGAATTTATCTTATATCTGTGTACTTCAGGTCCACCGTTTAAACCACATTTGCTTGTGCCCACCTCATGGCCTTTGAATTTGCTATCCCATCTACCTTGAAAACTCTTTCCCCAAATTACCTGGCATTTGTTTATTGTCATTTAGGTTGCAGCTTATATGTCACCTCCATCTATTATCCTCTTTTGTCTACTTCATGAGGTTTATTGCTATACAAAATTACACTTTTTGCTTATTTACTGCCTGTAGCATATAAACTTGATAAGAACAAAGTCTGTGTCACCTTTATTGCTGTTACTGCCTCAGCTACATTCTCCTTTCTTTCTTTCTACTCCTTATTCCCACGATTTCCACAATTTTTATAATGAAAATTTAAATAATTCTATTATTTTCTAAATAATTTTGCATGCTCTTTTGTACTTTAAATGCAAACAACTTTCTAAAAATATTTACAATTATTTACGGAAATCTAATATAAACCTGGAAGATAATTTAGAACAATTAAAATTCTTCACATAAAACTGAAAAATTCCATATAGACCAAATACAACATATCCATTGCGATTCAGATCATTACATTTTTAATTCAGAACATGATTTTTCATTTTTTAATATCACATTTTAGAACAATTTGAAACATTGAAATGACAACATTCCTAATTCTTAATGGGGGTATCATTTGAATTTAAGTATATTTAGCTGTTGACATGATTGTATTGTATGCAGAATGTCACCAAGAACAAATAGCTGGCACAAAGTGAAAACTAAAAGTTTTAAACTAATGAGAATCTAACCATATTTTCCAACTTAATTCAATTTACTTTTGTAGCATATTCTAGTTTATAGCTCCAAGAAAATAAAACCAAGTAGATGAATTTTATATTATAATTTAAATCACAGCATAAGTCACAATTGAAAATGCAAAAATATAATTTTTCAGGAACTTAATGCCAAGGGAATTCAAGAAATACTCCTTCAGTACATTTATTTCAATAGAATTTCAAAATTACTATACAGCTTACTCTGTTACAAGAAAATTCATTAGGCATACTGCTTAGGGCCACAGACAAAATCCATGGGCTGATCTATAAAGATATTTTTTAACCATGTTGTACATAATATGTCTTGTGTTTAAACTACATAAAATTTATAGGTTCTGACCCAGTATCTTTGATAATTCCAGGAATTTGGAATGTAAAACTGAGGATAAAATAATGAAGACCTTTGCAATTTTCATTCCCTATAAAATTATGTAAAATATTTATATGTCTATTATATAAATATTTCCCAGGAAATTATTTTTATGAAGTATTTTCAAGTAGCCTTGAATTTTCTTTTACCAGAATTCCTGAGATTATGTGGAATGTTAAGAAATATTCCTTCAACATATTATATTTTATTCTAAAAAAATGTTCTAAGTATATTGAAGAGTAATTTGTAGACTTCCTAAATACTGAGAACTCGCGATATCACCTGCTTAAAATGTCCATTCACTTCATTCAATATTATTCCTACAGGATTCCATGTACTGACATTTGTGTCTTACATGGGTTACATGGCCTCCCAGCTTTTCAGAATGCCATTCAATGTTCATTCTGTAAAACCCACTCAAGCCATATCCTAACACATATAACTCAGTTCTTCCAACACCTACTAAGTGTTTGTGGCAGATAGGAAAATCTACTCAGTGAAACTACTTATCACATTTTGTGCTGCCAGCACCACTCCTACTTTCTTGTAGAGAGTCAGTTCCATAGGAATGTGTAAGACCCAATGTCATAATTAACTGTGTATTTTCCACTCAGAACCTTATCAATGAAGACAATTCTTGAAAAGATTGTCTTTTCTCCATTGAATTGATTTTGCAACTTTTCTGCAGGCCAGTTGAGCATATTTGCGATTCTATATCTCAGTTCTGTGTTCCATTCCACTGATTTCTTGTCTATTTCTCTGCCGGTACAATCAGACTTGATAACTGTAGCTAGGTGATAAATGTTAAAGTCCAGTTATCAGTTCCCTCCAATTTATTCTCTTCGTTTTCAACATTAACTATTCTAATTCCCTTGCTTTTCCATGTAAATTTTAGAATAATCTTGGACATATTTACAAAAAAAATCTTGCTAGGATTTTGATAAGAATGGTGTTTAACCTACATTTCATTATGGGACGAACTGACACCTTTACTGTGTTGAATTTTCCAACCTGTGAGCATAATATGTCTCTCCATTTGTTTGGGTCTTTGATCTCTTTCATCAGTGTTGTATAATTTTCAGCATATAGATCATGTGCATGCTTTGTTATATTTATACCAAACATATTGTAATGAGTGCTAATAAATTGATTTTTATTTTTAATTGTTGTGCATATGTCTTTATCACTAGTAGATAACATTTTTTATGTTTATCTTGTGTTCCATGACCTTCCTGAACTCAAACATTCACTCTAGGTTTCTTTTGGTAGAATCCTTGGGATTTCCAAAACAGCAAACTGCAATGTCATCTGCAAATAGGGGCAGTTTTACTTTTTCTTATTTGATTTATACGCCTTTTCTTTTTCCTTTCTCATTGCATTGGCTTGAATTTCTAGCACTATGTGGAATAACAGCAGTGAGAGTAGACATCCGTGCCTCTTTCCCAATCTTCAATCTTCGCCTATTATGTATAATGTTTGATGTTTTCCGAGCTTCTTGTATCTGCTGTTTTGTATCTGTCAACAATTTTGGGAAATTCTCAGCCATTATTGCCACAAATATTTTCTGTTCCTTTTTCTCTTTCCTTTTCTCTGCTATTCCCATTATGCATATATTACAACTTTTGTAATTATCCCATAGGTCTTGGATTTTCTATTTCATTTTTCTTTTATTCTTTTCTCTCTTTGCTTTTCAGTTTGGGAAATTTCTATTAACATATTTTGAAGCTCACTGATTCTTTCTTCAGCTGTGACAATTCTACTGATGAGTCCATCAAAGCCATCCTTCATTTCTGTACATTGCTTTTGAATTCTATTATTTCCTTTTACTTTTTTCTTAGGTTTATTGGAGGCAAAAATCACCAATAATATTTATATTACCTCTACATTCTTGCATGGTGTCTGCTTTTTCCATGATATCTTTTAGTATATTAAAGACAATTATTTTAAACTTGTGGTCTTATAATTACAAAGTCTCTGCTATATTGAAATATGATTCTGACTCTTGATTTGTCTGTTTAAACTGTGTTTTTGTCTTTTAGCATGCCTTGTAATTTTTTGTTGATAGCTGAACATGACATATCAGGAGAAAGGAACTGAATTAAAGAGGACATTAATGTGTAATTTTATTTTTATTTAGCTAGTGGTTATGCTGTGTTTACTGTTTATTTTATCTGTTAATAGCAGAGGCTAAAACTTTCCTCTAATGTTTTTCTTTTTACCTCTCCTGTTGGCTTTGGTTTCCCCTAGAGACCCCTATTTAGTAGTATCTGAGACTTGCAGTTCTTTGCCTTGTAATCCCGTTATTATTCCAGAGCTTTATTGGTGTAGAAGGAAAGGCAGTGTTCTGTAGTCCTATGATTAGTGATAATTCAGTCTGTTAGTGATAATTGGCTCTTGGAATGTGACCTTTGCAACTCCTTCTACGCATCTCCACCACCCTGAGATGAGACAGAAGGATTGGAAGGGTCTGAAATTGCGTATTTTCCTTCCCTCAAGTCAGTTAAGCTCTGGTAATGTCCATGTGGGTTAGACTTTGGCAACATAGTTTATGATAAATGCAGGGTTTGCTAAGGAGAAGAGAAGGCTTTGTACTTTTTTCAAAATGACCACTTTTAGTCCTCTTTCTGCCAGAAACACTGGGGAATTTTTCTTTGAAAATATAAACGGGCTCCCAGAAGTAAAAGATACAAAACTGTGGTATCCCCCTTAATGCAATATCCCTACACTGGGAGTTTTTTAACCATCTATTCTCTCTGAAGTCTGTTACCTGAAGCCTTTATCTACATAATGAGAACCTTGGTCTCTACAATCCCTTATCTTAAACTCGTTATTTCTTTTTATTAATTCCAGGTCTTTAGATAATAACTTAACTCTTTCAACCAATTGGCAATCAGAAAATCTTTGAATGTAGCTATGACCTGGAAGCTTCCACTGCAAGTTGTCCTGCCTTTCTGGACAGACCATTGTACACCTTACATGTATTGATTGATGTCTGCCTATAACTTCTGTCCCTTTCAAATATATACAAATCAAGCTGTATGCCAACCACCTTGGGCACATATTCTCAGAACCTCTTGAGACTGTTCCTCAAGCCTTGGTAACTCATTTGCGTTAGAATTAATCCTTTCAAATATTTTACAGAGTTTGACTCTTTTTTGTCAACAACTTTAATTCATTATCATCATCTTTTATTTTGTTATTATTATTATTATTATTATTATTATTTTGAGACAGAGTCTCACTCTATTGCCCAGGCTGGAGTGCAGTGGCGCATTCTCTGCTCACTGCAAGCTCTGCCTCCTGGGTTCACGCCATTCTCCTGCCTCAGCCTCCCGAGTATCTGGGACTACAGGTGCCTGCCACCATGCCAGGCTAATTTTTTTGTATGTTTTTAGTAGAGACGGGATTTCACCGTGTTAGCCAGGATGGTCTCGATATCCTGATCTCATGATCCGCCCGCCTCGGCCTCCCAAAGTGCTGGGATTACAGGCATGAGCCACGGCGCCTGGCCCGTCTTTATTTTTATAAAAAATTTAGCTGCCTTTTTGAAAAGATAATCTCAAAGTTTCACAGATTTTATCTTATATTACAAAATGGAAAAAAGCTGAGAACCACAACTGATGAGAAATTTAGCAACCTCTCCTCCTGTGAGGACGGGATTCAACCCAGCCTTTTTTGAAACTTCTGCTTTCCCATTTCTCTGTTTTCTTAAATTTGATTCACATTTTACTGAGTCTAGGGAATTTTTAAAACTTATAAAAAAACACTGTGTCAACTTGGATTTGAGTTGCTATAAAACTTTAATGGGTCTGACCCTTTTATTTCACCTCTCTAAATATAAAGCAAAACAAAAATATAGTGCAATGCAATGGCACTTTAGTTAGCATACATTTTTATCTCATTTAATTTTATTGCAATTTTTTGAACCCTCTAAATTTTATAGAGCAATTAAACTATGTTCTCAGTCAGGAAAAAAATACACACATAAAAGAGCAGTAAGCTAAGTAGTAATTTCCAGATACCAGGCTCATTTTTACTACTACTTATTCACACTGAATGTGTGTTTGTTCTGTAAAATAAGATGTAGCTCCTGCTGCAAATGAAAATTGATTTTTGTTTGTCAAAGAAATGTTAATATTTTTGTTATAACAGAGAATGAGAGAGCAGCTTTATCAGATCAATTAATGAATTAAATTGATTGTGAATTTAAATGATCTTTTACCATTATTTTTCATTTGAATTCCTGCTGATTTTGCAACATAGAATATTAAATTAGATTTAATAAAATACATCATTATTAACAATGTCTTTAAGTGAAATATAGTAATACCTAAGAAATCTAATCAAATATTGAATCTGTTGGAATTGATTTTGTCTTGTAATATACTTGAGAATACCTTCAGAGATTACTAAGTAGATGAAAGTATTAAAATTATTTTAATCTATAACTTAAACATGTAAGTATGAATTCTATATGTATAACTACAAACATGTATATGAAACCAGCACAAACATTTTCAGTGATTTCTTTTTCAAAAAATTCCAGCAAAATTACCAGAATGTCTTATGTATGATGTATGGAATGATACATAAAATATGTATGCATTTATTTATAGAAATAGATAAATCAGAGCTACAATTATCACCTACATAAAAATTCAGATCTCCTTGAAAATCAGTGAGAATTATTATTTTATATCATTATTACTATCACCTGGAAACACATTTTAAAAATTTGTGTGTTTGAAACTGGGAGAGAGGAGACCAGTGAAATTTTTCTGTTTCCAAAGTATAACTACGTAGGTACCTATTTTTGTAGCCTTCTTTCCAAAACACTCGGAATTTTTTTCATAAAAAGAATACAGTGTAAAGTTTTCTTTCATCAAAGGTGAGTATTATAAATACTATAATCAGTTTGGAACAACAATAAATAATGTCTGATTAAAGCTAAGCCCATACTCAAACAAAATGCATTAGAAAAATACCTAATATAAGTTTTCTTGAAATATATTTATCTATTTTCCCAGAAATTAGAAGGAAGGAATTCAGTTGTGTGATATCTAATAAAATGTCTAATCTTATTTTAAAAGAAGTGTCTAATATTACTATAATAAATTAAAACATTTAAGAAATTTTTAATACTATCAAATTTTCAAGTAAAATATATTTTTTGAAAACCTCAGTTGCAACTGTGATTTGTCCATTTTCCCATTGCTGATAAATATATACTGGAGCCTGGGCAATTTACCAAAGAAAGAGGTTTAATGGACTCACAGCTCCACATGGCTGGGAGGCTTCACAATCATGGCAGAAGGAAGGAGGAGAAAGTCACGTCTTACGTGGATGGCAGCAGGCAAAGAGAGAGAGCTTGTGCACGGAAACTCATTTTTAAAACCATCAGATCTTGTGGGACTTATTCACTATCAAGAGAACAGCATGGGAAAGACCCACCCTTATGATTCAATTATCTCCCACCAGGTTCCTCTTACAACACGTGGGAATTATGGGAGCTACAAGATGAGATTTGGGTGGGTCACAGAGCCAAACCATATCATTCTGACTCTGGTCCCTCCCAAATCTCATGTCTTCACATTTAAAAACAAATCATGCCTTTCAACAGTCCCCCAAAGTCTCAACTCATTTCAGCATTAACTCAAAAGTCCACAGTCCAAAGTCTCATCTGAAACAAGACAAATCCCTCTCACCTATGAACCTGTAAAATCAAAAGCAAGTTAGTTACTTCTTAGATACGATGGGGGTACAGGCATTGGGTAAATATAGCTGTTCCAAATGGGAGAAACTGGCCAAAACAGAGGGGCTAGAGGCCCCATGAAAGTCCAAAATCCAGCAGTCCAGTCAAATCTTAAAGTTCTAAAATGATCTCCTTTGACTCTCACATCAAGGTGATGCTGATGCAAGAGATGGGTTTCCATGGTCTTGGGCACCTCCACTCCTGTGGCTTTGCAGGGTACAGCCTCCTTCCCAGCTGCTTTCATGGACTAGCATTGAGGGTCTGTGGCTTTTCCAGACACACGGTGCAAGTTGTCAGTGGATGTACCATTCTGGGGTTTGGAGGACGGGGCCTTCTTCTCACAGCTCCACTAGGCAGTGCCCCAGTAGGGACTCTGTGTGGGGACTCCAAGCCTACATTTCCTTTCTGTGCTGCCACAGCAGAAGTTCTCCATGAGGACCCTGCCCCTACAGCAAACTTCTGCTTGGGCATCCAGGCATTTCCATATACCTTCTGAAATCTAGGCGGAGGATCCCAAACCTCAATTCTTAACTTCTGTGCACTCATAGGCTCAACACCACATGGAAGCTGCCAAGCTTGGGGCTTGCACCCTCTGAAGCCATGGACCAAGCTCTAAATTGGTGCTTTTCAGCCATGGCGAAGCAGCTGGGACACAGGGCACCAATTCCCTAGGCTGCACACAGCACACCAAGTCCTTAGGCTGCACACAGCACGGGGACCTTGGTCCCGGACCACAAAACCACTTTTTCTTCCTAGGCCTCCAGGACTATGATGGGAGGGTCCTCTGATAATGCCCTGGAGACATTTACCCAATTGCCTTGGGGCATAACAGTTGGCTCCTCATTACCTCAGCAAATTCCTGCAGCAGGCTTGAATTTCTTCTCAGAAAATGGGATTTTCTTTTCTATTGCATTGTCAGGCTTCAAATTTTCTGACCTTTTGTGCTCTGTTTCCCTTATAGAACTGAATGCCTTTAACAGCACCCACGTCACATCTTGAATGCTTTGCTGCTTAGGAATTTCTTCTGCCAAATACCCTAAATTATCTCTCTCAAGTTCAAAATTCCACAGAACTCTAGGGGAGAGGTGAAATGCCACCAGTCTTTTGCTAAAACATAACAAGAGTCACCTTTGCTCCAGTTCCCAACAAGTTCCTCATTTCCATCTGAGACCACCTCAGCCTGGCCTCTATTGTCCATATTACTGTCAGAATTTTGGGCAAAGCCATTCAGCCAGTCTCTAGGGGGTTCCAAACTTTCCCACATTTTTCTATCTTCTGAGCCCTCCAAACTGTTCCAACCTCTGTTTGTTACCCTGTTCCAAAGTCACTTCCACATTTTTGGGTATCTTTTGAGCAGTGCCCCACTCTACTGGTACCAATTTACTTTGTTAGCCCATTTTCACATTGCTGATAAAGACACATCCAAGAATGGGCAATTTATAAAAGAAAGAGGTTTAATAGACTCACAGTTCCACATGGCTGGGAGGGCATCACAATCATAACAAAGGCAAGGAGGAGCAAGTCACGTCTTACATGGATGGAGCAGCCAAAGAGAGAGAGTGCTTGTGCAGAGAAATTCTCATTTTTAAAACCACCAGATCTTGTGAGAGTTATTAACTCTCAGGAGAACAGCACAGGAAAGACCCACCCCCATGATTCAATTATTTTCCACTGGGTCCCTCCCACAACATTTGGGAATTATGGGAGCTACAAAATGAGATTTGGGTGGGGACACAGAGCCAAACCATATCAAACTACAAAACTCAATTTTAGAGATATCTACCCCTGTACATTTGCATTCTTACAAATGGTTGAGTCTGTAATTGTAATTAATATTTTTATACATATATTTTTAAATTTATCAACATAAATATTTATTTTCCCCTGCTATAAAAGAAAAAAATTACCTCAATATCTTCACCTTCCTTTATCCTCTTTCAAGATTTGTTATTTTTAAAGTCTCTATCAGTTTTCTTTTAAACATTAATTTCCAGTTGTAAACCACTATTTCTGCTCCATAAGTTTAAGAAGTAGACTTTCTTTTTCTCATTTTTTTTAAATATGAAAAACTTCCCAGTTGCCTTCTTTCCTTTGTCTAACTTCTTTTTTTTTAACTTTTAAGTTCAGGGGTACAAGTGCATGTTTGTTACATAGGTTACTTTTGTCAAGGGGGTTGTTTTCATATTTCATCCCCAAGGTATTAAGCCTAGCATGCATTAGTTATTTTCCTAATCTTCTCTCTCCTCCCAACCTCCAACCTTTTAGAGACCCCAGTGTGTATTGTTCCCTTCTAGGTGTTCACATATTCTCATCATTTAGGTACTACTTACGAGTGAAAACATGAGATAGTTGGTTTTCTCTCCCTGTGTTAGTTTGCTAAGGATATTGGCCTACAGCTCCATCCATGTCCCTGAAAATGAGATGATTTTATTCTTTTTCATGGCTGCATAATATTCCATGATGTATATGTACCACATTTTCTCTATGCAGTCTATTATTGATGGGCATTTAGGTGGATTCCATGTCTTTGCTATTGTGAATAGTACTACAATTAATGTATGTGTGCATGTGTCTTTATAATAGAATAATTTATATTTCTTTGGGTATATACCCAGTAATGGGACTGCTGGGTAAAATGGTCTTTGCGGACCACTTGTTTTCCTCAATGGCTGAACTACTTTATACTTCTACTAACAGTGTACAAGTATTCCTTTTTCTCCACAACCTTGCCAGTATCTGTTATTTTTTGCCTTTTTAATAATCACCATTCTGACTGGTGTGAGATGGTATCTCATTGTGCTTTTGATTTGCATTTCCTTAATGATCAGTGGTGTTGAGCTTTTTTCCATATGATTGTTGACATATGTGTATGTCTGTTTTTGAAAAGTGTCTGTTCATGTCCTTTGCCCACTTTTTTATGGGGCTGTTTGTTTGTTTCTTGTAAATTTATTTAAGTTCTAATGATATCCAGTGACCAGAATTTTTACATTTTAAGGTCTATAGTATTTGCAATATGGACTCTATACTTTTTTGCAACTTTTTCTAGTCGGTGATTAGGAATATCTTAATAATATAAAGGGCATTTATATTTATGATTACTTAAATATTAGCCTTTACAGAATTAGTGAATCTGAGTATATCTATTAAAAAGGGAATATAATAATGAGATTAATCCCTCCAAATCACAAAGGAATTCAGGAAAAGGAAGACTAGTGGTTACAGAAATAATAGAGCCTGGGCACAGCAGCTCATGCCTGTAACCCTAGCACTTTGGGAGGCCTAGGTGGGTGAATCACTTGAACTCCACAGTTCAAGCCTGGCCCAGGCAACATAGTAAGGCCTCATCTCTACTAAAAATACAAAAAATTAGGTGGGCATGTTGGTGCATGCTTGTAGTCCTAGCTGGTTTGTAGGCTGAAGCAGGAGGATCGCTTGAACCTGGGAGGTCAAGGCTTCAGTGAACCGAGATCATGCCACTGCACTCCAGACTGGGCAACAAAGTGAGACCCTGTCTAAACAAACAACCAAAAAAAAAAAAAAAAAGAAATAATGGGAAGAACCCTGGAAAGCTTTAGAAATAATTCAGATTACCATTAAGTAGCGTTGTTTTACTAGCAATGTAAGAGTAAAATGTGGCTAATGTAGGACAGATGTGATAGTTTTAAAAGTCTTATAACACTGTAAAAGAGATAAATATAGTTAGAAATATACAGATCTTACATTGAATTACTAGTTTTAATATAGTATGTCTCAAATTGAAAAGCCCAAGAAAAAGTCTTAATAAAAAAACATGCAACACTGTAAATTACTCAATTAACTTATTCAATTAACTCTACTCAATATGGAGTAGAGAAATATGGTTTTTAGAATACGGAGTGGAAAGATATGTTTTTTAGAAGATACTGGATCTTTGATTTTTTTCTTCCAATTTTTATTTTGGATTCAAGGGGTACATGTGCAGTTTTGTTACATGGATAAATTGTGTGCCATGGAGGTTTAGTGTACAAATTATTTCATCACCCAGGTAATAAGCATAGTAATCAATAGGTAGCTTGTTGATCCTTACCCTCCTCCCAACTTCCACCCTCAAGGAGGCCCTGGTATCTATTGCTACCCTCTTTATGTTCATGAGTACTCCATGTTTAGCTCCCAATTATAGGTATTTGGTTTTTGATTCCTGCATTAATTTCCTTAGGATGATGGGCTCCAGCTCCATCTATGCTGCTTCAAAGAACATGTTCTCATTCTTTTTTTATGCCTTTGTAGCATCCTGTGGTGTATATGTACCACATTTTCTTTATCCAGCACACACTTCATGGGCATTTACTGTTGATTTCATGTCTTTGCTATTAGGAATAGTGTGTGCATGTGTCTTGATGGTAGACCATACGTGTGCATGTGTCTTTATGGGAGAACAATTTATTTTCCTTTTATATACCTAGTAATAGGATTGCTGGATTGAATAGTAGCTCTGTTTTAAGTACTTTGAGAAATCTCCAAATTGCATTCCGCAGTGGTTGAACTGGTTTACATTCCAGAAGCAATGTTTAAATGTTCCCTTTCCTTCAAAGCCTCACCAGTATCCGCTATTTTTTGACTTTTTGATAGTAACTACCCTGAGTGGTGTAAGATGGTATTTCATTGTGGTTTTGATTTGCATTTCTCTAGTGATTAGTGATATTGAACAGTTTTTCATATGCTTGTCGGCTGGATGTATGTCTTCCTTTGCAAAGTATCTGTTCATGTCTTTTTCTTCATATTTTAATGGAGTTGTTCACTATTTGCTTGTTGATTTATGTTTTATATAAATTCTGGATATTAGACTTTTGCCAGATGCATAGTTTGCAAATATTTTCTCTCATTCTGTAGGTTGTCTGTTTACTTGTTGATAGTTTCTTTTGTTGTGCAGAAGCTCTTAGATCCCATTTGTCAATTTTTGTTTTTGTTGCAATTGCTTTTGGTGTCTTTTTCATAAAATTTCCATCAGGACCTATGTCCAGAATGGTATTTCCTATGTTATCTTCTAGAGCGTTTATAGTTTCAGATTTACATTTGTCTTTAATCCATCTTGAGTTGATTTTTGTATACAGTGAAAATAAAGGTTTCCGTTTCAGTCTTCTTTATATAGCTAGTGAGTTATCTCACCATCATTTCTTGAATAGGGAGTCCTTTCCTCATTACTTGTTTTTGTTGATTTCATCAAAGATCAGGTAATTGCAGATGTGTGGCTTTATTATTGGGTTATCTAATCTGTTCCATTTATCTATGTGTCTATTTTTATTTATATTTTATACAAGTACCATGCTGTTTTAGTTACTGTAGCCTTGGAGTAGAGTTTGAAGTTGGGTCATGTGATGCCTTTGGCTTTGTTCTTTTTATTTAGGATTGCTTTGGCTCTAGGGGCTCTTTTTTGGTTCCATATGAAACTTAGAATAGTTTTTTCTTATTCTTTGTAAAATGTCCTTGGTAGTTTGAGGGAAATATCATTTAATCTATAAATTGCTTTGGACACCACAGCCATTTAACAATGTTGATTCTTCTTATCTGTGAGCATGGAATGTTTTTTTATTTGTTTGTGTTGTCTTTGATTTCTTTCTGCAGTATTTTATAAATTTTGTTGTAGAGCTCTTTCATTCCCTGTTTAGATGTGTTTCTAGGTATTTTATGTTTTGGGGGTCTAATATAAATGAGATTGCATTATTGATTTGGTTCTCAGATTGGATGTGGTCAGTGTATAGAAATGCTACTGATATTTATACATTGATTTTGTATCCTGAATGTTTACTGAAATAGTTTATCAGATTTAGAAGCTTTTGAGCAGAGACTATGCGGTTTTTAGGTATTCCAGAGATTATATTATCTGCAAAGAGATATATTTTGACTTTCTCTCTTTCTCTTTCTATTTGAAGGCCTTTTATTTCTTCCTCTTGTTTAATTGCTCTGAGAAAGCCTTCCAGTACTATGTTGAATAGGAGTGGTAACAGTGTGGATCCTTGTCATGTTCCAGTTCTCAAGAAGAATGCTTGCTCCTTTTGCATGTTTGGTATGATATTGATTGTGGGTTTGTCATAGATGGCTCTTACTATTTTGTGGTATGTTCCTTCAATACCTACTTTATCGAGGGTGTTTAGCATTAATATATTGAATTTTGTTGAAAGTCTTTTCTGCATCTGTTGAGATAATTATGTGGTGTTTGTTTTTAGTTCTGTTTATGTTGAATCAATCTTGCATCCCAGGAGTACAGCCTACTTGACTGTGAAGGATTAGCTTTTTGCTGTGCTCCTGGATTTGGGTTGCTAGTATTTTGTTGAGGATTTTTGCATCTATTTTCACGAGGTATGTTGGCCTGAAGTTTTGTTGTTGTTGTTTTTCTGCTAGATTCTGGTATCTGAATAATGCTGTCCTCAGAGACTGAGTTAAGGCAGAGTCCCTACTCCTCAAGTTTTTGGAAAAGTTTCAATATTATTGGTACTAATTCTTCTTCATATGTTTGGTGGAATTCAGTTTGAATCTGTCTAGTACAGGGTTTTTTTTCTGGCTTTTTCTTACTTAGTCAATTTTGGAGCTAATTATTGGTCTGTTTAGAGTTTCAATTTCTTTCTGGTTCAATCTTGGGAGGTTGTGTGTTTCCAGGAATTTACCCATTTCCTCTAGGTTTTCTAGTTTCTGTGCATAGAGGTGTTCATAATAGTCTCTGAGGGGTTGTTTTCTTTTGTATTTCTGTAATGTTGATGGTAATGTCCCCTTTGTCATTTCTGATTGTGTTTATTTCGATTTTCTTTCTTTTTCTCTTTATTAGTTTAGCCAGTGGTCCATCAATTTTATTCTTTCAGGGAAGCAACTTTTAGTTTCATTGTTCTTTTATGTGGTTTTTCACATCCCAATTTCATTAAATCCAGCTACAATTTGGTTATTTTCTTCTGCTAGCTTTGGAGTTGGTTTGCCGGTTTGCTCTTCTTTTTCTAATTCCTTTAGGTGTGATATTAGTTTGTCAATTTTATACCTTTCTAACTTTTTGATGTGGGCATTAGTGCTATAAATTTCCTTCATAATCCAACTTTAGTTGTGTCCCAGAAATTCTGATATATTATGTCTTTGTTCTCATTATTGTTAGTATGGAGAACATTGATACTCCTTGGCATGAACTGCTTAGAGAGTTATGCACAATAATGCATTTGACACTCCTGTTTCACTGCTCATGAGGGGCAAAGAATTTAGTGACTCTGTACATAATACCTTTGACCATTTGTGGAGAACCAAGAGACATAATGAAGCTGGTTGGTTGCTTCTAATTTCAATGGACAAAGTGATGAAAGAAAATGATGAACTCAAGGATTCTGTCTCAAGGCTTCAGAAGCAGATACTGAGCCTCAAATCTGCTAAGATTGCCCTGAGTGAGAGTCTAATCTCCTGAAGAGAAAGAGATGGATTTGTGGAAAAAGAAACAAACTCTTATTATGAGAGTGGCTGACCTGAACGAAAGATGCATGCACAGCATCACCAGGTGTCTACTGTTAAAGTGAGGGCATTCATTGGAAAAGAATGGGACCCTGCAACTTGGAATGGGGATATGTGGGAGGACCCTGATGAAGCTGCAGATACTGAGTTTGTAAACTCTGATGAATCATCTTTGCCAGAAGGAACATCCCCATCCCCAGTAGTGGCAACATCCCCTCCCTGACTCATGCTGCCATCAGCCTTTCCACCTTTGTCTGAGGAGAAAAACCCTGCACTGCCTGAGGCAACAGTGATGCCCTCTCCAAAGGCAATTGCCAGGCAAGATAATGTTGATTCTCCTCAGAAGTCACACCGAACACCTCTGTTTGCTTCTAGACCTGTAACTAGACTAAAGTCCTGGTGGGTCCCCAGAGGTGAGGTTGACAGTGTGACCCATGAGGAAATGCACTACATTCAAAAAGAACTGTTTGAGTTCTCTAATTTATATAAACAGCAATCTGGAGAACAGGCATGGGAGTGGATATTAAGGTCAATGGGAAAGTACAACAGCCAAATCCAGGCAGGACTACAAATGTTCCAGACTCTTCAGGAATGAAGGTTTGGGTCACTCCACCAGGAAGAAAACCATGACCTGCTGAGGTGCTTGCTGAAGGCAAAGGGGATACAGAATGGGTAGTAGAAGAAGGTAGTCATCAGTACCAGCTATGACCACATGACCGGCTGCGGAAATGAGAACTGTAATTGTCATGAGTATTTCCTCCTTCTTTTGTTGAAAACATGTTTGTGCATGTATACACTTGTACTAAGGAAATATCTTCATGTTATTTCCTTTTCCTTTATCATGTGACATAAGATTTATTGACTTCATATCAGCATTTAAGTATTGTTAACTTTATGTAATAGTATTTGGGTTGGGGATTAGTGCATTTCCCCTTGTATGAAGGATAGTTGTTTTTATGTTAAGCATAATTATGACCTCAATATTGTCTTTATTTGAAGAGTACGTATGATCTCAGGAGATGTAGGGGTGGACTTGCAGGGTTAATACTGTCAATTTGATTGGATTGAAGGATGCAGAGTGTTAATCCTGGGTGTGTCTATGTGGGTGTTGACCAAAAGAGATTAACATTTGAGTCAGTGGGCTGGGGAAGGCAGATCCACCCTTAATCTGGTGGGCACAATCTAATCAGCTGCCAGCAAATATAAAACAGGCAGAAAAACATGAAAAATAGAGATGGGCCTAGCCTCCCAGCCTACATCTTTCTCCCATGCTGTGTCTTTTAAGTGGGGCATTTAGCTCATCTACTTTCAAGGTTAATATTGATACGTTCAGATTTGGTCCTATCTTTGTGTTGTTAGGTGGTTATTTTGCAGACCTGATTGTGTAATTGCTTTTTAGTGTCAATAGTTGTACTACTAAGTGTTCTCCAGAGGGACAGAACTAATAGGATATATGTATATATAAAAGGGAGTTTATTAAAGAGTATTGACTCACACGATCATAAGGTGAATTCCCATAATAGGCCATTTGAAAGCTGAGGAACGAGGAAGCCAATCTGAGTCCCAAAACCTCAAAAGTAAGGAAGCCAGCAGTGCAGCCTGCAGTCTGTGGCTGAAGGCCCGAGAGCCCATGGCAAACCACTGGTGTAAGTCCAAGGGTCTGAAAGCTGAAGAACTTGGAGTCCAATGTTGGAGGGCAGGAAGCATCCAGCACAGGAGAAAAATGAAGGCCAAGAAACTCAGCAGGTCTGTTCTTTCCAACTCCTGCCTGCTTTATTCTAGCCACATTGGAAGCTGATTTGATGGTGTCCACCCAGATTGAGGGTGAATCTGCCTCTCCCAATCCACTGACTCAAATGTTAATCTCCTTTGGTAACACCCCCACAGACATACCCAGGAACAATACTTTGCATCCTTCAATCCAATCAAGTTGACATTCAGTATTAACCATCATAATGGTCTATGTGCATAAGTGTGTGTGTGTGTGTGTGTGTGTGTGTTTCTTTGGTGACTGATAATGGCCTTTCATTTCCACGTTTAGCACTCCATTAAGAACTACTTGTAAGTTAGGTCTTATGGTAACAAATTCTCTTAGCATTTTCTTATCTGTAAAGAATCTTATTTTCCCTTCATTTAGTTTAGCTGGATGTGAAATTCTTGTTTGGAATTTCTTTTCTTAAGAATGTTAAAAATAGGCCTTCAATCTCTTCTTGCTTGTAGGGTTTCTGCTGAAAGATGTGCTGTTAACCTTTTGGGCTTCCCTTTGTAGGTGTTCTGCCCTTTCTCTCTAGCTTCCTTTAATATTTTTTCTTTGACATCGTCCTTGGAGAATCTAATGACTATGTATCTTGGCAATGCCTGTCTTATGTATTATTTCTTAGAGCTTCTTTGCATTTCCTAAATTTGAATGCTGACCTCTCTAGTGAATTGGAGAAATTTTCATGAACAATACTCTCAAATATTTTCTAATTGCTTGCTCTTTCCTCTCATGTTTGAAGGATGCCAATGATTCATAGGTTTGGTCTCTTTTCACAATCTCGTATTTCTCAGAAGATTTTTTCATCCTTGTAATTATTATTTCTTTATTTTTATCTGAGTTCATTTGAATAACCTGTCTTTGAGCTCTGAGATCCACTCCTTACCTTGGTCTATACTGCTGTTAATACTTCTGATTGTATTACAAAACTCTTATAGTGCATTTTTTCAGCTCTATTAGTATGGTTTGGTTCTTTCTTAAAATGGCTATTTTATCTTTCAGTTCTTGTGTCATTTTATTGGATTCCTGAGATATTTTGGCATATGTTTTGACTTTCTCCTGAATCTTGATGATCTTTGTTCCTATCCAGATTCTAAATTGTATGTTTGTTATTTCAGCCATTTCAGCCTGGTTCAGAACCATTTCTGGGGAGCGAGTGTGGTCATTTGGAGGTAAGAAAACAGTCTGGTTTTTTGAGTTGCCAGAGTTCTTGAGCTGGTTTTTTCTCATCTACATAGGCTGATGATGTTCCTTTAATGTTTGAATGTTTGAAATTGCCATCTCTTGGATAGTTTTATTTTTTCTTGCCTTTATATTCCTTGATGCCCTTGAGGGTTTGACTGTGGTATAAGGTGAGTTTGGCCAACTGATTTCATTTAGGGAAGATTTCAGGGGGCAAGTCTCAGCTCAACACACCTGCGCTGTGTGCTCTAACCCTGTGGGCCTGCCACCAGGCTCACAGCTTTGTTCTCTATGTCCTTGATATTAAGCACCTGTTGTGCTGGAAGGGTTAAGGTGTTCCCAATCTGCTGGCAACAATACTCTGATGAAGGGTACCAGCCAAAGTACTTTGTTGCGGCAGTGGCAATGGGACCCAAGCTTGAACATTCATGAGAGCAATAGAAATGTGCAGCAGGGTAACACATGTCAGTGGGGATGGGGTGGTGGGGTGCATGCAGGGATGGAGTGCTGGTGTCCGCATGTGCTCATGCTGAGAGGAGTAGGGTGGTGAGTTGTTTATGCATGCACAAGCAGAAGCAGGGCAGTGAGGTCTGCCTATGTGCATAAACCATCAAAGTGGTGGGGGTGGGGGCTGTGGATGCATGTGCACCAGCAAATTGGTGGGCAGAAGTTGTGGTGGGTGAAAGCTGCAGGTTAATTGGTATGCATTGATGAGGGGTGCCTGGCTGAAGCTCCTTGATTGTCAAGTGTAGTATGCCAGCAAAGGAGCTATGATGTTAGCTGCCAGGAAATAGCCTGGTTGGGCACCTGAGGCTGCCCTGCAAGTGGGTACAGACAGGCAGGAACTCTGGGAGAGGCCAGCATTCAGGGCAGTGCTCAGATAAGACTAGCCCCATTATATTGGCAAGACTGTTCTGCTCTGTCAAAGTCTGACAGATCAAAGGCCAAAACCACCTGGGGGAGCATGGCAAGCCTTAGGAGACAGACATTCTGGCTGTGCTTCACTGCAGCTATTCCCATGCCAAACCCGCTGGGCTCTGCTCAGGGTGGAGTCCTGTCCCTGCCACCTCTCCCTGCAGCTCTCCTGTCAGCTCAGATGTCTGTGGGTGGTTGTGTGGTCTCCTGCAGGTAGGATTCCAGAAGTCTGTGGTGAGACTAGGCCACTCCTACCTATTTAACTCACCCCTTTCCCAGGAGACACTTGAGACCAGGAACTAGTCCTAGTGCTCAGCAGCCCTGTGCAGAATTCCCAGCTTTCTCCCACTTCATCCCAGTGTCTGCATCCTCTGTCTGATTATTCTCAATGCTTTCCTTCTGAAGATCTGCTTGGAGTGTGCCAGCCTTCTTTATGATCTGTTCTCTCAGTGGGAGATACTCTTCCTGATTGCGTCTAGTTGGTCATCTTGTCTCCCCCTTAAAACCCTTTTTTTGAATTTTGAAGTTTCCCATAAGGACACACTCAGCATTATAGTTTAATTGTATAGTATGAGTGCTTAGCTAAAAATCACTCACAAATCCACTCTCAAAATGACCAGTTGGGTCTGTCTTTATATCTACATATTTATACATCTATGCATTTATAATCCTATATATTAATATAACTTCATATATATCCATCTATTTATCTATATCTATTATTTATCTATTAATCTATCTATATTACTATATATATGTCTCTAACCTCCAGCTCTATCTCTAGCTCTATTTTTATATTAGCTTATTTTTCCCAGGGCACAATTATGTGGGGAAATACATCAAGTCAAAATAATGATAATAAATCAAATCTCTATTTCTGGCTCTAACTGTATTCACTCTGCTAGAACTACAGCTTCCTCTAATTTCTCTCAATTACTTCAGGCATCCTCTGGGAGTATATCATATTTACACAAGGAATGCACCTATTATGACAATGGCATTTGTGATTTTCTTCTGCTTCCAGAGCTGTAGAGAAATGTCACTTATTTCTGCTGACACTCCAAAGCTGCCAACAAAACCATTTCAAAGCCAGATGTCTTTGCCCACTGTAATTTTTCCACTCTAGATATAGGATATTTATGCCATTGTGAGAGTACTATATCTTTTGAAGAATTTATAGTCATCCTGTAGAAATCCTAAACAGAGAACAAGTGTTCTGTTTCTCATTTAGGGAATGCAATTTAATGTATAAAGCATTCAGTGTAGTGCTCTTTTTGTCATTCCTTAAGGAGGTTTTATAAATCAACTTTATTGAGGTATAATTTGTATTCAATGAAATGCTCCCATCTTAAATGTGTAGTTTGATGAGTTTTGGCAGATGCTTAGAGCCATGCGTATTAGTCAGCTAGGGCTGCCATAACAAAATAGCACAGACTGGGTGGCTTACACTGCAGACATGTGTTTTCTACAGTCAAGATTGGAAGTCTAAGGTCAAGGTGTCAGCAAGGTTGGCTTCCCCTGAGGGTTCTTTTCCTGGATTTAAGATGGCCACCTTCTTGCTGTCCTCACATAGCCCTTTCTCTGTGTACTGCACTGCTAGTGTGTCACTTTCTTCTTATAAGAACACCAGTCCTATTGTATTCAGGACCCACACTTGTGACCTCATGTTATCTTAATTACTGCTTTAGTGGCCCTGTGTCCAAATACTGTCACATTGTGGATTATTGATTCAACCTAAGAATTCTGGAAAACATAATTCAGTCCATAACTCCATGGAAGCACCATTACAATGTAAAGAACAATTTTATCAACCCAAAATGTTTTCCCGCTCAGATTTGCGGTTATTCACACCAAACTATCATCTATTGCTGACCCCAGATAATCACTGACATTTTTAGAATGTCATACAAAGAAATCACTGAGTATATACTCTCTTGGTCTAGTTTCTCCAAGTCAGCAGTTATCTATGTTTTTGAGATTTACTCATGATTTTACTTACATTAGTAGTTTATTGATTTTTGTGACTTAATGTTACAAGATCCTTGAGGTGTCACTTTTCTGGGCAGAAACCTCTGTGGCCACTAGCACCTTTGCCCAAGGAAAGCTTGGGTCCACTGGGCTTGTTTCACCCACTCAGCCTGGCAGGCTGTGCTTGGCTAACACTATCAGCCTGGATCCCACACCTGCCAAGGGCTTGGATCCCATGCCTGCCAAGGGTGAGTCAGGTGTGGAGCAGAGAGGGGTGTGTGAGTGACTGTGGGGTTCAGCCACTACACACAGTCAGACATGCTGGCTGCTGCAGCCAGGCAGGCAGCTCCAGGTGCTGACACAGGCACTGGCTCTCTGTGAGGCTGTGGCCAGACCAGGCACGCCACAAGCAGCTTCCACAGCTGGCATGGGGGAATCTGGTGGTGCCCAGAAGCTTGGAGATGCCAGGGACCATGGGGCCCCAAACAGGGAATCTCAACCCTGGTTCAGGGAGTTCCCAGGGCTGGGCTCCCCAAAGGGCCACAGCTCTTCTCTTCTTCTCTTCGCCTGCAATGTGGTGAGCAATGGGCATGTTTCAGCCCTGTTTGTTTTATAGCTCTTTTAGCCTCGCCATTCAGCGTATCCGGAGTTCTTGTCCTGCAACCAGGAAGAATGAGATACGCAGGCAAGTGAAGAGTGAGCAAGATGAAGAGAAGTTTTATTGAGCAATAGAACAGCTCAGAGGAGGCCTGCAGGGGGAAGCTCCTTTCCACAGCAGGGTGTTCAGCTCCTAGCAGAGAGGGTAGCTCCTCTCTGCAGCTGGTCATCTCGATGAGTGTTCAGTTCTGGCTGAGCCTAGGGCTTTTATGGGCTTCAGAGGGGAGGAAGTGTGCACTGATTGGTCCTTGGGTGGCCATAGGTGTGCATGGAAAAGGCACCACAAGTTCCCACTCCAGTCTGTGGGACTGGCAGCCTGGCCCCCAGCCTTGAGGCCCTCCCTGGCCTGAAGGAACCACCTTTTTCTGCCCAGGATCCTGTCTGCCTCCTGCTACTCTCCATGATGCCCAGGCTGCTCATGCCAAGGGGTACCTGCAGGCCAGCACTGAGCTGCCCTCAGCCCCTCCTCAACTTCCCCCAGTGCTTGTAGGCATTTAAAGTCTGAAGGGGAATGTGGCAGGAGGCTGGTGTGTCAGTGCTGCCCTGAGTGTGTGCACACCCAGCCATGCTGTGACAGTGTTCAGGCTTGGCCCCAACCCTGCTCCAAGGTCAGAGTGGGCACCGGGATTGGGGAGAGGCGAGACAGTGGGAGCAGCAGACACTCCAGAGCCTTCGGGAGCAGGGGTCCTTCCCAGGCCCCAAGGGTGCAGATTGCAGAGATGCCTGGGTCCTGCACTTGGGAAGGCAGGGCTCCTGCCCATTCCATGGAGCATGCAGGCAGCCCTGGCTGCACCTCCTTGCAGCCTGGGGTGACGATCCTGGTCCTTACTGGGCCCCTCTCTGCCCATCCTTCTGTGCCTGACCACACTGCTCCCCTGCCTTCAGGCTGCTTGACTCAGCCCCATGGCAACAGCCCCCAGGGCAGCAGCCTTAGGGAGGGCTCCTGCTTGTCCCTGGCTCCTGCTAGCTCTGTGGAGTGCAGGCCTAGTTCTGCCTCCTCCCTGTGCCCTCCCTGCAGTCATGGCACAATGGCAGCAGCTGCTCCAGACAGCCCGCCACTGCCATCATTAACAATATTCTAATATACGAATATATCACAATTTGCTTATCTATTTACCTATTGGTGGATATTTGGGGAGTTTCCAGTTTTGGCAAATATTACTAAAGCTTCTATGAATATTTATGTATAAGTTTTTGTCTAGATATAAGTTTTTATGTCTCTTGTGTAAATACCTTGAATTTGTAGTTCAAATGACTAGTATATATTTAATGTACAGATAATGTCAGTTGAGTACATGGTTAATTCATGCTTACATTTCCATATTTAAAAAGCTTCCAAAATGCTTTTAGAAGTAATTGTAACATTTTGTTTATTTTTTAAAAAAGACTCGTTTTCTCACAAAATTAATGATATATTTATTAAAAATCTATTGACCATATATGTGTTAATTTATGTCCTCTTTTTTTATTGATCTGTTTTTTATGCTAGTACTACTATGGCTCAATTGTTTTTTTTATAATACATCTTTTAGTATGATAGTGTAGATTCTTTAGATTTTTCTTTATTCAAATTTTTTTGACTATTTTAGATGATTTGCTTTACTATGGAAATGTTCCATTTAGATTGTCAACTTTTATTTAAAAAGTCTGATAACAATTCTGATTGGAATTGTGTTAAATTTTCATCTTATTTATATGATAAGAATATATAAATAAAATGTATCAGCCAGGTGCAGTGGCTCACACCTGTAATCCTAACACTTTGGGAGGCTGAGGTGGGTGAATTACCTGAGGTCAGGAGTTCAAGATCAGACTGGCAAATGTGGTGAAACTCTGTATCTGCTAAAAATACAAAAATTGACCAGGCGTGGTGGTGCACACCTGTAATCCTAGCTACTCAGGAGGTTGAGGCATGAGAATTACTTGAACCCAAGAGGCAGAGATTGCAGTGAGCTGAGATCATACCACTGAACTCCTGCATGGGAGACAAAGAGAGACTCTGTCTCAAAAAAAAAATGTATATCTTAAAAATACTGGGTTTTTGAATCCAGAAATATATATTTTTCCATTTATTTAGGTCTTTTAAAATTTTCCTCACAAATAGGTAGTTGGGAAAGAGAGGAGTATTTTAATAGCCTTACCAGATAATTATGGCTGAGTTTCTTTGATGCACAGCAAAACTAAACAAGTGGTAATTATTTACAGCTTAGAGTTAATGTGTAATATGAAAACATATAAGGTAATATTTTAAAATGAGGTATATTAAAATTTGTTGATCTATTTTGCAGTTTGAATAGATTGTTTTATGTATGCATTGGTCACTTAGGAAATGTTGGTTCACAGAGTAATGCAAATGTTGGGAGAAGCTGTAAGGCCTTGAGAGCTTAGAGAAAGGGGGAATGTCATCAACGTAATGCCATTCCTGAGTTCTTAAAATAAGCTGCATAGAGTCGATATCCTTCCTGTGAAGATTGCATGAAAAGGCTGGGCTATTGAGATACTCCATGGGGAGGCCAAAAAACTATAGTGTGTATTCTTACATAATACAAACATTTGCTTGAGCTGTCAAAAATTTTTCAAACTATTAGCAGTTTTTATTTCATGGTATCATTAAGAGGCAGTCTTCCATGAACCTCTTACACTCCTATGCATTTTTTCTGAGTGTGTAAAAATTGCAAAGCTATGACCTCAGCTTCTTTCATACAAGCCACTTTTCAGGATTGTTTAAGCAGATGAAAACCTGAGAGGTGAGATAATGCATCAGGAGAACGTACCACTTAGTATCATATTAATATTTAGGAAATGTATGACAGTGGATTTCATAAACCCATTTTTTTTCCCGTGGTGAACCCTGTCCATACACTGGCTCCCCTGACACACTGCATCATCAGGTGGGAGTTGGGACACAAAAAACACGTGCGACTATGCTGATATTCTTGCTACTGTTTTTTCCTGAGTGATAGTCTACTGTGGCTGAGACAGTAGTCTCTTGTCTTTTGTCAACATCCACAGAATGTTTAGAGGTAATTTACTAGCTGATATAATTATTTTGGTAGGAGAGATTCTGCTTCTAGCTCCTCTTCACATTGCTGAACTTACGCAAATAGGGTAAAATCCAAATAGTTCTGGCCACGAAAATAGGATGCTGATACAACCATGGCTTTCTGGTAAGTGCAGAGAAGAGGCTGCTCAGTGGAATTTGAAGGAAGACCCAGGGACTCAGTAGCAGACATTTTGACCAAACTATATGTTCAATTGGCAATAAACAGTTTTCTATTTCTTGCCTATTATTGAGAAAGAATTGAGGACATGTTTGTAAGACAAGAGTCAGGGAGTAGGCTCAACAACAGCTGCCCAGATTTGGACTGGTGGGTCAAATGAAATACTCTGAATTATTTGCTATAAATGTGTTCTATTACAGGACATCTTAACCTGGTATCACAGAATTCAGGGGAAATTTATGGATGAGCTTCATAGGCTATGAAACCATGAAATTACATATAAAATTGCTTGATGATTCTGTTTTTTTGATAGAATACAATCTATAAATTTTATGACATTAGCAAAGAGATCCATGATCCCAAAAAGATTCAACAAAGCATTGACTCTTTATATGAAACACAAAATAATTTGCAGCACTTTTATGAATATACTTGAAATTTGTTTAACTTCATCAAAGAGTATTGCCCTTACATATTAAAAAAAACACACAAGAACCCCAAAACCCCTCTTCTTCTACCTACCTCAATTTCATTCTCATATGTCCATAATGTAACACAGTTTCTCCAAAAAATCTAGTAATTTTAGTGAGTGTGGGAAATCAGAATATTAAGTATTTATTTCTGATTTTACTATAAGTGAGTAGACAGCCCATAAGTGAGCCCTATAAGTGAGTAGAAAGTAAGTAAAGACTTACTTTCAAAATTTTTAAAGCAGACTTTTATTTTTCCAAATTATCATTAACTTACAAATATTGGAAGCTGGAGTGAGGGTCTTACTGTCCATGATAGCTTCCATGGGAGCTCTGGGGCCCCCTCTAAAGAATTTATATGTCCACTTTCCAAATCATTTGACAGGGTTCGTCCTCTAAATAATTTATATGTCTGCTTTCCAAATCATTTGAATATCTCTACATGATAACAGTACCCATGCAAGGATAAAACACTTTTAAACTTGTGAGTCTCTACATGATAACAGTACCCATGCAAGGATAAAACACTTTTAAACTTGCGAGCAGAAAAAAAGAATACTGGCATAATAAAGAATTCTAGAGTCCTCTATTCTTATAGTAGTCATTTATTCCTTTCTCTCTGCTCACCCTCATAAATCTCTCATTTTTGCTAAATTTATTAACTAATATTTATCTATCTAATATTCCCTTTTTTATCCTAATGTCTCCCAATTTAGGCAAATTGCTAATAATTCAACATTGGACTTCACTTTGATGAATAATGGCTAGTTGCACAGTTGGTTCTATCAAGGACTAAGATAAAGTGTATTGGATGGTAAGGCATAGGAAGAGAAACTGTGTGTTCAAGTTCAAATGTCTGTATACATAAACTTGAAAATAATTTGAAATGTCTATGTTAATTTTTAAAGATAAAGATAATGCTTATATTTCCATGTTTCAAATGAAGTCTCTCTGTGTCTGTTGACATTTATTCGAATATTGTGAGAAAAGTATTCTACGTAAATATTCTTCAAGATTGTGAAGTGGCAATTTTGGTCACTTTCCTCACAGTTTGTGACTGAGCTCTGCCAACATTATTTGGATCAAATTCAATTGTGTTTGTGGATCCAGTGGCTGACCATTTGCTCTCCTGATTTCCAGTGCTAATGCAATTGAACACAGAGTTAGCCCCTGTACAAGGCAGCATCTTGGTCAGTAGCTTTTAAGTGAGAGATGAGAAATTGCTGTGAAGTCTTTGTAGAGAGAGAACAATGGGGCACCTGCTGCCCTATGTGCTGTCATGGCAACCTCTCACACAAGGTGTTCTTATTATTTTGAGACGCAGGCATTTCCCATGGGGTTGGAACACCCTGGAAGGCATGTGAAAGAGTGCCTTTAGTTTTAATCCCAGTGTTTCATAATTTCTGTGTGAAAGTATTTGTTTTACTTGTTTTTAATTTTTTTCAAGTGTAACGTTTAAAAATCTAGTATAATTCAAAAAAATGCAGGTTCCCATATTCCACTATCAGAACTCTTCCAACATTCTTTTGATATTATTGTGCTCTGATTTTTCCATACTAGAAAAAATGTCTACTAACATATCAATAAGATATCTAATGTTGTTATTATAGATTAAAGTTGCTTTTACATGCATAATGCACCTATCCATCAAAATAAGCTGGTATTGGTATTAATCTGACAGAATATATTATTTTTGCTGAAATAAAACATCTTAATGTTAAATTAGAATTGTGCATATTGAAATGTCTTCTTGGTAGCTTCTTCAGACTTCCCGCTAAAATACCTATAAAGATGTGAAGTGATCAAGATTCACAGTGATATGGAAAACCAAGACTTAGGAAAAAAAAAAAACCACTAAAACCAGAATTGTGAAAAACTTTTGGCCGGGTGCGGTGGCTCACGCCAGCACTTTGGGAGGCTGAGATGGGCGGATCATGAGGTCAGGAAATCAAGACCATCCTGGCTAACACGGTGAAACCCCATCTCTAATAAAAATATAAAAAAAAATTAGCAGGGCGTGGTGGCGGGCGCCTGTAGTCCCAGCTACTTGGGAGGCTGAGGCAGGAGAATGGTGTGAACCTGGGAGGTGGAGCTTGCAGTGAGCCGAGATCGCCACTGCACTCCAGCCTGGGCGACAGAGCGAGGCTCCGTCTCAAAAAAAAAAAAAAAAATTTACTAATTTCAAGTTGATGGATAGGAAGAACAATCTGGGAACCACACCATGCTATGCCCATTCCTGGAAAACAATCAGCCCAGCTTCGTGAAAGTGAGTAGAAAAGCCCAGATGGATCTGCAGAGAACTAGGGTAGGGCAGAGTGCTACCCTCCACCTGTTTATCCCACCCTTCCCCAGTCAGTGACTTAAACATTACAAAAAAGTTTCTCCAGCCATTTTCAGAATTAAACTCTTATTGATTATTAAACAAAATTATTTTACCTTCTAAGAGCCAGGCTCTTCTGGGAATAAATTATGTTCAGAAAAAAAAAGTCTTTTGCAATGCATTCTGGTGTATGTAGCTCCCACAAATAAAGTGACATGAGTAGTTTTGAAGCAATAAAGCTTTCTTTGCAGTGCAATATATGGAGTAGAGATTTTCATGTATACTTATGTCGAGTAAAGGAAATGACAATGGTTAGGATGACCTTATTGTAGTACTATGGAATCAATTGGATGAAAGGTTGTGTTTCACCGAACTCGGCTAGAAGCTCGAGATTTCCAGTGGCATGTGAGTAGGTAATTATACTAGCCCTGCTGGAACAAGAGGAACTGTGTTGGTAGGCACCGGCTTACCTTCAACTGAGAATGAATATAGGAAAAAAAAGAACATGTAAATTATAAATTAAGCAAAATACTAAGGTTTCAGAGGAAAAGTTGATTTGAAAAGTGTGTGTATGATTGGATTGTAAATTTGACTATAATAAAAATCAACATATTGGTACATTTCATTATTCAGCTTAAGGTACTTTTTTTTTATTTTAGAAATCCCTTCGCTTATTTATCCATATCTTTAACATTTAAAAAAATAAGTTAATCTTAACTGGTTCCCAGCTCCCTTACCTTGTAATGGTGTAATCTTGAGAGCATTTATTTATTTTAATGTAGCTAACTATATGCCAGGGTTTAGATATACTAGCTAATTTAATATTTACTTTATATAAATATTAGTATTCATAATATTCATTTAGATATACCAGCTAGTTTGATATTCATAAGCATTTGAAGTATTCTGAGATATACTAGCAATTTAATCTTCACAAACATTTGAAGTATTTTTCTATTTTACCTATGAACAAACGAAAGCAACAGACATGATATGTAACTTGCCCAGGGTCACACAGCTAGTGAAAAGTGGAGTTTGGCTCCAAATTTCGGGGTAACAATGATGATATGCTGCTTCTTACATCAGCTATACTTATCTGTGTCATACAGACTATGCGAGCATTGAAAAGGCACGCAACTTTTGTGGATTATATCTTGTATACTGTAAATTTGCAATGAATGCTAGCTTTAAAAATAAACACATTTTAGAATAAAAACATAATTTTAAAGTCAGCATAATATTACACGAGTAATAGAATAAAATTTATGTAAATGTATGTGCAGCAAAACCAATTGAATGGGCTTTGCCACAATGTGTGATAGGACTATAGGTGATAGATGTGAATAAGCATGTGTGTATGTATATATATACATTTGGAGTTTGTTTTCCTTATAGATTTGTGACAAGTTGAATAGAGACAGCTAGATTATTAAAGAAGATGGCCAGAGAACAATGCTTTTGACGTTCAGTTTCTGTACAGACTTTTCTGTGTATAATTAATAGAAGTAATAGCATAAAATTTATTGTTTAGAATACATGAAATAACAAAGGAGTTGACACTCCTGCTCTGCTCTCTGTTTTTTTCTATCATCTATCTATCTATCCATCTATCATCTACCTACCTACCTACTTACCTATCTGATAACACATCTGAAACATTTTGTTGAACAATGAAAAAAATACACAAATAGACTGATAGGTGCATGAATGGAGTGGATAGATGAAGGATGGATGGATGGATGGATGGATGGATGGATGGATGGATGGATGGGTAGACCAAACTGAACTGTAAATTATTAAGTTTTTCTTTTTGCCATGTCCTAATGTACACCTAAATAAAATGAAAGACTTCCAAATAGCAAATTGTATTTCTGAAAATATAAAATTACTTTATAAGTGGAAATCATTTTTTTTTTTTTTGAGGAGGAGTCTCGCTCTGTCCCCCAGGCTGGAGTGCAGTGGCATGATCTTGGCTCACTGCAAACTCCGCCTCCCGGAGTTTCAAGGGATTCTCCTGCCTTAGCCTCCCGAGTAGCTGGGACTACAGGCACCCAGCACCACGCCTGGCTAATTTTTTTTGTATTTTTAGTAGAGACGGGGTTTTACCATGCTAGCCAGGATGGTCTCGATCTCCTGACCTCATGACCTGCCAAGTGTAAATCTTAAAGTAAGAGACATTTAAATTAGAAAGAGAAGCCCCAGGAAGGGCCTGAACTCTTTTTATTTTTAAATTATTTTTTGTGACATTCCAGTTGATACTTTGTTCCTATTATAAAATCGACCATTTATAATTATATAATTTTTATGGCATACAAAGTGAAGTAATAATCAACAAGATGTGAAATAATTAAAAATCAAACTAGTTAATACATTCATCACCTCAAATATGGAACATTTCTGTAATGAGAACATTTGAAACTTACTCTCTTATCAATTTTGAAATTTACAGCACTCTTACTATTAACTATATTCAACAAGTTGGGCAATAGAACCTCCAAAAAGGGGGGAAAAAACACCATGTTCCTCTTGTCTAGGATTTTGTACCTTTTGAGCATCATCTCTCCATTCTCCCACCCGCAGCCTCTATAAACATCATTCTACTCTCTGCTTCTATTAGTTAAATTGTTTTTGATTCCCCACATTCTCATGAAGAAGACATACAAATGCCCAGTGGATACATGAAAAAATCCTCAACATTGCTAATCATCAGAGAAACACAAATTAAGACCACAATGAAATACCATATTTCACCTGTTAGAATGGCTTTTATCAAAAATGCAAAAGGTAGTAAGTTTTGGTGAGGGTGTGGAGAAAAGGGAATCTTATACACTGTTGGTGTAAATGTAAATTAGCACAGCCATTCTGGAAAATGATACAGAGGTCCCTCAAAAAACTAACAATATAGATGTGTAATAACTGTTTTTATTAATATATGGGAATATTTATGTGACTATTCATGTAGAAGAAAGATTCCTAAGTTGTTCCCAAAATAAGTCAACCAGATAGAAACTGGGAGCAGTAAGACTCTCTCATTGGAGGAAATATTTAAGTCCTTTATCACTAGGGACTTAGGCATTCGTTGAATGAATGATCTCTTGTCAGGAATATGGTAGAACTGCCAAGTACTTGTGGTGGCTGAACTTTAAATTTCCTTTAAATGTTATCATCCTATAGTTCTGTAAGAAAAATGGAGAAGGTGAGAAAACATGTTCTGGTCGCTTCTAGACTCATTGCTTGTATTTTTGGCTTCATTGTCCTCTGCTACTGTACTTTGTCAGGAATTACAAAGCCTTTTACCTGCAGATAATCCAACATCTTAAATCTGGAATACAATTGAGATATTATTCAACCAACAACTTTATTTAATAGCAAAAAATGCTTGGAAAATTTTATTTTCAAAAATTAATCAGCGAGTGACCAATTCGTGAATAGACTCTACATATCCTGCATGTCTATGATTTTCATTCTGTTCTGCTCCTGGCTAAAAGCCGTTTCTGACTCTTCATGACATCTTCATATGATGCCTAGAAGTGCAAAAGTTATCTTGGCTCCCTTTAAGTAAAAAGCAAAAGGTTTAAATAGTAGGAATAAAAAGAGGATAAAGATTAGCAAATACGTGAGCTATGAGATCAATTGTACGTGGTTCACTGCATGTCATGAGAAAAAGGAAGACTCAAGCCTGCTTCAAATTTCTGGTTTGTGTAGTGAAATTTAGAATTAGGGCAAGAATAGTAGAAGGAAATTGACAAAATATTTTAAGGGCACATGAGGATGGTCATTCTGGATGTATTTAGTTTAAAATGTTGATGAAAAAATCCAAATCAGGTTATCATGTCATCGTTTAAATACATGAATCTGAAACTCATGTTGGAAACTAGCTTTGGAAGTAATTGTTTGATAGCTATAAGTATATTGTTTGATTGCTATAATAGGCAAAACTATGGGTCCAGCCCTGACTACCCCAGAAAAGTAGCATGGAGGGAGGAGAACAGTGGATTGAAAACCTGGGGAACTCTCTTAGTAGGGGGCAAGTGGAAGAAATTTTTCTCTCTGCTGATGTTTTCTTCCACATGGAAGGAGTTCATCTCGCCTAGCACTCCCTCCTCTTTCTGCCCTCTTCACTCTTCCTTGATCAGATTGGTGACTTTGGAAAGAGAAGTGAGTATGCATATCTTGGGTATTTGGTCTCTTTTTCTCTTTCTTTTGGGTGCAAGACTAGCTGTAAAGGACATATATTTTGCCCTGTTCTATGCATGGGATGGCAGAGTCCTGACTCTCCAGGAAGTGCCTACTGATAAAAAGCCACACCTTCCAAGACTATATTTATCAGTAATAAATGTTTGATTGCTTTTCTTATGCCTGCTTGACTTAATATTTTTTGTCACAACAATGTCATAATTTAGAAAAGATAGAGAACTATTATTTACTGGGCTCCTGCAAACTCCAAACAAACAAGAAGTATTATTATTGGGCTCCTGCAAACCCCCAAAAAGAAAATGCAGGACCCATGAAGCAGATTGGGGAATTTTTGTTACAGAGCCAAGGGCTATAGGATCTTATTCTGTTATAGTAGCAGAGACTCTGGGATAAGAGAGCAAGAGGATATACAGCAACCTCCTGCTGCTAGTCTCCAACACATTCTCTCCTAGAAGGGTTGTGCCCTAATAAAGAGGTCACTTTTCAAAATTTACATGTTAGGGCAATTGCTAAGTTTTCTTAAAATCAGACAGCAGTTAGTGTTCTGTATGGCATATAAAGAATCCTATTTGCCTTCTACGAACTACTTGAGCAGGAACATATTAATTTTATGTGCATGTGCTTGGACAAGTACATCTTAATTAATTGATTTAATAAAAGCTTATACATTCTATCAAGCACATAGTATTCTAAGTATTAGATATGCCATTGTAGATGACTCTTCATTCCAGATAAGTGGAATGCCAAGTAGGTATTTGATGTGCTTACATCTATTGCCTTTCTAGGAGATCAATAAAGACTGTGTTACCAGCTGTACTCCCAGGTGAAAAGAGAATGAGCGAGCAATTGACATCTCATATTGGATAGTCACTTACAAGCTCAAGACAGCTATTATTTTCCATTTCTAAAAGCATTATACTGCTAATATAGAAAAAGGTCAGGGTCTCATAATACATCTGAAATTAGAGTTCATTTTAATCATAATATAATAATCTAAATGCCATTATACTTACTCAAAGGTCAGTTTTAACACTTTTCCCTTTGGGGCAAAACATGGAGCTTTAACTTCTTCCTCCTGAAAGTAAGGGCAGTATGTTATGACAAAGTTAATCCTATTTCAGAGCTTATTTATTCCAAAAACTCTTCAGTTCATGCATAGTAAGACACACAAGATACACAAGACATATACACAAATACAAAACCCTAGAAACTCTGAAATGGCTAAAATATCTTTTTCAGGATGAGTTAATGAGGGACAATACTGAAGAACACAATACACCAAAGCTACCTCAAGCTGGAAAAATCATATTGATTGTTTTTTGACTATATGACTACTTCAATAGCTCTTGCTCCCAGATCCTGGAACTTCCTTACCCTCTAGATTCTATTATAGAGAGAAGAGTTTTGCTTTTCTCAGAAAAGATATAAACATATCTCTGTGTCTTTGTCTCTCTTTCTCTGTCTCTCTTATATGTGTGTGTACATATATATATTATACATATACATTTAAACTATCAAAATTAAAAAGGTTGTTATTTTATGGACTCTCCTTACTTCATGATGTCTATTCATTTTATATATATATATATTTTTTATTATACTTTAAGTTCTAGGGTACATGTGCACAACGTGCAGGTTTGTTACATATGTATACATGTGCCATGCTGGTGTGCTGCACCCATTAACTTGTCATTTACATTAGGTATATCTCCTAATGCTATCCCTCCCCCCTCCCCCCACCCCACAGCAGGCCCCAGTGTGTGATGTTCCCCTTCCTGTGTCCAAGTGTTCTCATTGTTCAATTCCCACCTATGAGTGAGAACATGCGGTGTTTGGTTTTTTGTCCTAGCATGATGTCTGTTTAAATTATAGTTGAGGATAGATTTTCTTGTTCTTCAGTACCAATTCTAATAAATTTTGCCTCATGCTCTGGCAGGCATGGCTGCTGGTCAATAGGGTTGAAAAGATGGTTTCTGTCTTAGAATTCTTATTTGTCTTAATTCTGTATTAGACCTCTCTGTTTTATTTCTTTGGCCCATATTGTATTAACTCAAATTGGACAATTTTTTAAATTGACATATGCTGACATATGCTTATGCCTACAAAGTTGAAATTAAGTTTAATATTTCTTGAGTCTACAAACACTCATTAATTTTTAATACACATCTGTGTGCATGCGTTCTCTCATATCTTTAGTTATTAATTCCATAGAATGTTGTTTTCTATGAGAAATAAATTGATGTCTCCTTCAAACTGGATTTTCTATACTGAGGGAGGAGAAACAATACTTAAATTGGTTGAATTATTAAATATTTTATTGGAATAATGCCCATGGAATAGACATTAATATGTGAAAAGCTTAGTGTGTATCACTGGTAGCCAAACTGCTGTGGATATTATGGTATTCGGTTTTGGGGCCTATGGATATGCAGCAAGGAAAATCATATTTGATAATCGTGAGTGAAAGATTTATCTGATTAAAGTATTTTGATAATTTGCCCTACCGTAATGATAACCCATGCTTAAGAAAATTGTTCAACTCATAATTTTGCCTTTTGATATATAAAGTAATTTTTAAATAATGAAGATATTCCCACCATTTCCATTTTTAAAGACTAGATGCATAATTACCTTTAGGTAACTGAATGTTGATATTTATATATTTACACAAAGAGTAAGATCAGATCATTATAAACACAGAAATACTTCTTTTCATTTTTAATATGTGATTTGACTTTCATGTTTGAAGAAGAAAATCAGTGTTTATCAGAAATCTTTTTGGTATTTGAATACAAATAGCTACTCATATTTTAAAATAATTCTGTAACAAGTTTACTTCAATTTCAATACTTCTCTATTTTATAAAAATTGTGCTTTTGTAAGTGTATATATTTATACAATATTTAATTATTTTGTCATTTTAAAAATTAACATTCCATAAAGCAGATCATTTAAAGAAACAATTAATATTGGCTATTCATTTTGTATGTCTAATATTCTTAGCATATTATTATAATATCATGGCTCGTTGTCCTGCCCCAGATCATAGGAATGGATATAAAACTAAAACCGTGATGGTCATATATTTTTGCCTCTTCAACTAAGGTGATTAATCCTGTGGGTTGAACTTTGTTGCAAATTGGCCTGATGAACATTTTTCCTTGAAATTTTTCAAACTCAACCTAGAATTAAAAATTCAATATTGCTCTAATGGTGAAATGTTAAAGATGTGAGACATGGGACTGATAACCATGGCCCCAACCATTATGAAAGAATGGAGCTGTTATCTAGGATTTAAAATAAGAGAGGAGAGATAAGAAGATAATTGTAAAGCTATCAGGATCCAGTTCTAAGTTATTGTGTCACCATATTTAACCTTATCCTTTACAAACTTTGTGAATCAATGAACTCTGCTTTTCTCATAAGCCCTGTGGGTTTTGGTTACTTTCAATCAAATGGAACTTGAAACAGAGCTAAAGTCAGGGAAAGCAGGAGGGAAGGATCAGGGCCATGGAGGGAAGGAGAAGCTCTGTTCCAGAAAGCAAGGCTCTTTCAAGTTCAAGAGATGTGAAATAGACACTCTTGATTTAACCAGATGAATTTCTAATGTTTTCATTTCATCCAAAGCTCTGTTATCAACTTTTGTGACTCCTTAACCTTTCTTCTTCCCACTGGAGGAGAGTGCACAGCATTTGAAGCACCAATCTCACTGCTTGTTTCAATCTCACCTCTCACCCCTCAACCTCTTAATAGTCCTTGATAGTCAGGACAGTGGCGTTTACCTCTTGCCATCCCTTGTTCATCATATGGGCAGGATTCTACTAAAGGATCCTGGGTCATCTTCTCATATTCCCTCACCAAGCTCACAAATGTCTCTAGTCCATCTTTTCTAGAAAGTCATGTCTCTGAAATCATCCCAACCTCCCTGTCGAATCTGACAAGAAGTGTAAGGGTCTGAGATTTGAATTTGCTTATGAGCTACTGTTAGTTTGCTATCAAAATATACAAGACTCCTTAGTCAGAAAAAGGGGACTTTATAATGCACAGCCTAGCGGGAAGCATGAGCTTCATGTTCACTTTGGTTCTCCTTGACAATCTCCCCCTGCCCCAAGTTCCAGGAAGGTGACGGTAAGCCAGGTTCAGCAGGATGCTGTACACACTGTGAGATTTTATCACAGTTGAAGAACCCCAAGATAAAGAAGCCCTGAGCTTTTGTAAGGGGGTGCAATCAAATCTGCCCAAGTGGATGGAGACATTACATATATACATATTACATTGGATAACAAATCTGCTTTCTGCTTCAGAGAAAGAAACTATCTCTGTCTTCCATACCTGTTGAACATACAAATATCCATGAAAAGATACTTTGGAACAAAGGATGAAAGTGCCTCTACTGCAAGATATAGGAAGAAATATGAGCGACCCATGGATATTTGTCTCCCAGTACCCATTTAAATATATTGTTTCTCTCAGAGCACTAGAATTGCTGATGGGTTAATATGGCCCACAGCCATGAAGGTCTGAGTTTTACTGCGGCATTCAACTATATTTTTAAAATAGAAATCAAATCAGGACATGTTTTGGTAGAAGACAACTTGTTTCTGTAGAATGATGGGTCCATGATGAAGAGGAATTGTGCTCCAGGACAGATTATATTCACATTCTCAGTTCCCACTGATTTCAATAATTTAGATGGTGAGATTTGAGACTTTTGAATTTATGAATTTAAATGGGAGTTTAGACTTTCAGTTGATGCAATAATGGGATGAGAACTTTGAGATCTTGGGATGGGGTGAATATATTTTACATTTGGAAGAGACATGAACCTTTGGGCAATGTAGGGAAGACTGTGGTAAGGAGAATGACAGACCCTCCTAAAGAGTCCACACCCAGCTCCTGGGAACCTGTGAATATGTTACATTGCATAGTAAAGGGGTTTTTGCAGAAATTAAGGTAACAGATGTTAGAATAGGGAGATTATCATGGATTACCTTGGTGGACCAAATCTCATCATATGAGTCTTTGAAAACAGATAACTGTCTCCAGCTAGAGAAGACATGTTTCATAAGGGGAAGACAGGAACATTTGAAGTGTGTAAAGGACCTGAAATGCTGTCTTTGGTTTGAAGATGGAAGGGGCAGTGTGATGAGAGATGCAGGTGGCCTTAAAAAGCTAGAAGAGTCTTCAGCAAGGAAAGCAGGACCTCAGCCCTATAGTTGTAAGGAGATGAATCCTGCCAACAACCTGGATGATGTCAGAAGTGGATTCTCCCCTAGAGCATCTAGAAAAAAGCCATGGCCAGCTGATGCCTTGATTTTGGACTTATAAAACCAGAGAAGAGGAAGCAGAGAGTCCATATGGAGTTTGACCTTTAAAACTGTGAGATAATAATGTATGTCCTTTAAAGCCACTGAGCGTATGTTTATTTGCTGTAGTGCCAAAAGTAAGCAGATACACTACCAGTTTTGAATTGGATATGAGTATAAAGCTTTACATTGGCCAGAGAAGTTCGAAGTCACCAGAAAGTAATGGGATCTGTTGGATATTTCACAAAAGGATGGAAAGTAAAATATTTCATCTATGAAAATTGAAAGCAGTGTTTAAAGGAAGTAAGATAAACTTTCATGATTATACCTCAAAAAGTGAAGAGTCTAATATATTGATAATTTGTGATACAAATTTGGAAATATGTAAATCCCTACTGTGAAAATGGATAACTGAAATGAAGCATATTCATAAAATATCTACTCTACAGCAGTTAAAAACAGAGTATCTCTCAATGAATCAACAATAATGGTTCTTGAAAACAGAAGTTTATATAAAAGAAGAAAATTTCAGAGGGATAAGTGAAATATGATGTCATTTAGTCTTGTGCAGCAAAGCAAAGACATTTTAGAAGAGAAATTCAAAGCTATTTAAGAATTGTAAGCACAGCATGGCATAATTTGACTCGAAATTTAGTTATCACATTGGTGTTAAGAAGGAGGGCAATTTATGGAAGGAAGACAAGAGGGATTAATTAGTAACCTTCGTAGTGACTCAGGCAAGTGATAGAGGTAGCTTGTCTTAGGGTAGTAACAGTGAAGATAAAGAGATGTGCTCATATTATGGAGAGACTGTGAAGGTAGAACTGACAATATTTGTTCCTAGATGGAATACAAGAAGTGAGGAAGTGAGTGAATTCAATAAATACTGAAAGTATTTTGGTGTGAGCAGTGGAAAAGAATAGAACTGTCATGAATTGTGATTGGGAATGATTACAGGAGCAGCATGTAGGGAAATCTATTTTCTCCTAACTCATTGTTTGTTTGATACAGTCTTCTTTGAATTCTGCCTGATAGAGGAAGCAGCAGTGTACACATGATGTTTAAAGCAATGTGACTGAATGAGATCAAAGAGGGTGCAAGCTTCCATGGAGAAGAGTCCAAGTGCTGGGCCCAGAGAGGGCATTCTAAAACTTGTTAATAACTGAGATGAGGAGAAACCAGCAAAGAAACAAAAGAAGTGGCAGCCAGTGTGGCAGGAGAAAAGCCAGGGAATGGGGCACCCTGGAAGCCAAGTCAAGAAAATGATTCAAGATGAATAAAATGATCAAGACTATCAAATATTACTGATAGGTCAAGTAAGACTGAATTTAGAAAAACAAATAGTTGTCATTGATGAGATTGTTTTTGTGGATTGCTGGGGACAAACGTTTGTTTTGACTAGGTTAATGAGACAATGAAAAAATAATTTGGGACAGTGAGTATAGAAAATTATCTTAAGTAACTTTGCTCTTAAGAGGCAAGAATGAAGGAGGAACTAGCTGGAGGGAAATATTGAGTCAAGGGATTTTTAAAAATAAATAAGATATTGCATTGCAGTTTTATTATAATAAGAGCAATCAAGAAGTGAGGAAGAAACTGATCAGACAGATGACAATACAGAACTGCTGAAGGAAAATAATTGAGGACATAAAAATGGACAGGACTTAGTTCACAAGGGAAGAGGTAGCCACATCTGTCTATGAAAGGCTGCAGACAGTTCATTCATAATAGCACGGAGAAAGATAGACTAGGTGGGTGCAGATAAAAGTAAGTGGATCTATGTGCTCTGAGGGTATTTGAAAATGATCTTCTATTTCTTTTCACAATAAAACAAGAAACTAGGTCAGCAGCTAAAAGTGAGAAAAAGAAATGGGGTGTTAGGTGTTCCTGTAAAGACAAGGTATGAAAAATCCATCCAGGGAAATGGGAAAATGTAAAAACTAAGGAAATGTTGTAGGATTGCTAGGCTACTGAGAGACCAATTAAGGTAAGTAACCAGGAATTTGAAATGAGACTGCATGATTTTATTCTGTGTTGTTCCTTCAGTTGCATTAGGCAATTCAAGTGACTTCCAAGGCGGTAGGTCGGACTTAGCCAGGGTGGGGTGTTTCTAGGCCAATATTAAAAAGGGTGAGAGAAGCAAGGGGTTTGATTGTGTATGCAAAGGAGTGACCAAAATAGACTGAAAACTGGACTAAAAGTAAGAAAAGAAAATGAGGGTATGCATGGGATGAGACAAAGAAAATTCAATAGGAATGATTTTACTATAAATCCTAATAGCAGTTTGGAGTTGTGTTCAAAACATATAAAGTGGTAGACTGGGAACACAATGCTTGGAACTGTGCCAGATGAGGTTTTTGGTAATGACATTAGGATATAATGTTGGGAGCAAATTAGGGAGTTAGTGAGTTGTCAGGAGGAAAATTAAGGACATTGAGAAACTCAAAGCCGCCTTGGCTAGTAGATAGATTATCAAATTTTCATCAAGAGTTATTATTGGAGCCATGTTAAAGGGAATCAACCTAAGTGTTCATCGATGTATGAATAGATACAGAAAATGTGGTACATATGTCAATGGAATATTATTTAGTCACAATAAAAGAAATCATGCAATTTGCAGCAACATGGACGGAATTGGAGGTCATTATGTTAAGTGAAATAAGCCACATGCAAAAGGGCTATCATATATTCTCACTTACATGTGGAAGCTAAAAATATTGAACACATGGAGATAGGGTGAAAAATAGTTATCAGAGACTGGAAAGAGTGAGTTGTTTGGCAGAGATGAATAGAAGTGGGTTTAAGGTTACAAACATAAAGTAAGATCAGAGGAATAAATTCAATGTTTGATAGCAAAGTAGGGTGACTATACTTAACAAAAATGTATTGTACTTCAGTGGTGATTATAGTAAACATCTCTGATTTGATAATTAATCATTATATATATGTAATAAAATTGCTTGTGTACCCCCCAAATTTGTACAAATATATTTTTTAATTTGAAAAAGTAAAAAATAAAATAGACACTAACATTTTCTTTTTTTTTTGAGACTGAGTTTTGCTCTCATTGCCCAGGCTAGAGTGCATTGGTGCAATCTCGGCTCACTGCAACCTCTGCCTCCCGAGTTCAGGTGATTCTCCTGCCTCAGCCTCCCAAGTAGCTGGGGTTACAAGTGTCTGCCACCATGCCCAGTTAATTATTGTATTTTAAGTAGAGACGGGGTTTCACCATGTTGGCCAGGTTGGTCTTGAACTCCTGACCTCAGGTGATCACCCCTCCTCAGCCTCCCAAAGTGCTGCGATTACAGACGTGAGGCACCGCACCCAGCCAAAATTAACATTTTTAGGGAATGAAAGATTGAGAATCAATGACTGCAGTACAGAGGGACGGCAGATGATAGGGTTTGAGGGCATGAACTTCAGAGCTGACAGTTTTAGGAAGGAGTGGGAGTGGCCTGTAAAGTGCAGTGAGAAGCCAGGAGGACACAGTCCATGAACAGTTACTAATCATGCTGAGTTCCTCCACCGAAAAGTTCTAGTGGGAGAGCAATGAACTCAAAGGAGAGCCAGGGAATTGTTAGAGCAAGAAGGTGAAGGAGCTGTACCCAGAAAGAATGCAGAGTGTAGGGGATTTGGCTGAGGAGGAGTCATGAGCTGCTGTGCCATGATGGAAGGTTTGAAGGACTGAGATAAAGCCATGTTACAGAGTAGGTGAAAACAAGGAAGAATGCACTCACAACATCAGAAGAGTAGTAACATCCAGGACAAAAGGAAGATGAAACTATGGGAGGGAAATAGGAAGCAGGTTTTAAATATAGTTGTAGCATTTTCTTTAATCTGGAAAATAATTGGTGAAAAATGGAGCTTTCATAAAATGCTAAGTGTAAGCTATATGGGTACCCCAATATTAGCTCTGACAAAATAATCTGAGGTCTTAAGTACTTTGCTTTTATTAGTATTATTTTAGGTTTTTGTTTTTTGTTTTTTGTTTTTGTTTTTGTTTTTTGAGATGAGATCTACAGAGGTTACAGTCCAGAGATGTTGTCCAGGATGGTCTTGAAATCCTGGGCTCAAGCAATTCTCCTGCATTGGCCTCCTAAAGTGATGGGATTACAGAGCATGAGCCACAGCCCTTGAACTGGTATTTTGCTTTTAAATGGTACAGATTTCTGTCTCAAAGATTCATTTTTCAGTCCACAGGGACAATCATTTCAAATTATATTATCTTAGATATTAGGATGATCTCAAGAAGTAACTTTTAAAATGTACTTCCTCCCTAAATTAGAGAGATGTGACTTCTATTTTTAACAAAAATTTCTGAATAAGGGATATAACATTACGCATTTTTAGTAAGCATATTCTAAACTGTCATTATCTTTTTATTCACAATTTACTCCCTGAATATTATCACCTTTACTTTTAGTCACTATATTCTATAAAGGTCTAAAATATTTTTCTGCATTATAGGAAGTGATTTTCTCTGTCTTTAAAGGTACTAAAGCCTGATAAAGATTGTACTAAAAATAAAACAAAAGACCAGTTTCACTCATGAATACCTATGCAACAATCATAAATAAAATATTAGCAAATAGAATTCAGCAATACATTTAAAAGTGATAAAGCATACCAAATGGAATGTACCTCAAAAATGCAAGAATGCTTCTTCAATGAGGAAATATTTTAACTTAATTTATTATATTAATTCTAATAAAATAAAATTTATTATTAATGCCACAGATTCTGAAAGGTATAATAAAGTGCACATTCTGAGTTTTAAAAAGGCTCAAGAACATGGACAGCAGATAATTCCTTAATATGATTAATTTGTGTTTGTGTTTGTGTGTATGTGTACAACAATTAAAAATCGTACTTGATGAGGCTTTCCCAGTAAAATCAGTAAAATAAAATGTTCTGTGGTACTGCTAGTATCTAAAACTGCATTGGAGGAAATAACTATTGGGTCTGAGATCTGATTTTATACTACTTACAAGCTAATACGCTTCTATTTTACGAATGTTGGGAAAAGATACATGACTTCTGAATTACAGACACAGAACTTTGTCACTATAGCACAGCAAGCTGCATGATATGGTGAGTTCACCCATTCCCCTTGCCCTCTGAGTCCCACAGTGGGGCAAGGGGTGATGTGGGTGGACCAGATGGATGCCGTGTACACTGTGGGTATGTGAAAAAAACTGAGCTGCTTTGGGAATCGGCTACTTTTATAGTAGTGATAAGCAAGCCTACTCTGTCCTGGGAAAAGATACTTCCATCTTTTAAAGTTGCTTTCTGCAACACAAAAAAGTGCCAAGAGAAAGCCGAGGTAATGAGCTGTCAGGACTATGCATTTGTAGCACAATCAGTAAGAGGAGTATGAGCCCAAGAGATACACAGAGGAGTGTCTCCCATTAGCCAATGCAATTAGATAAGAGAAAGCAATAATTTACATAATATTTTGGAATGTAGAAATAAAAAGATCTCTATTTACAAAATGATATAATTTATATGAAAAGCCTAAAGCAAGCAATAAGAAAAAGAAACCTGCTGAAAAGGAACATAGTTAATATTTAATAGCAATTTATAAAATTAATACACACATATTGAGTCTGCATATATTGAGACAATAACTAGTAAAAAGATATATTGAAAGAGAATACTTCATTTACAAGAGCAATAAAAACATCAAATACCGAGGCCTTAACAAAGTTTTCTAAAATCCACATGAAGAAAACCTAATCATCGAAAGGCACAAAAGTTAACTTGAATAAATGGAAAGGCATACCATGTTCTAAGATATGAAGATTTAGTAGTATAAAATGACAAAGCTCTAAGTTAACTTGTAAGACTGACATTATTTTAATAAAAAAATCCAATATGGTTTTTCTAGAGCTATATTACTTAATTCAAAAATCCATATGAAAAAATATTAATAAGCAAGTAAGACTAATTAAAAAAAGAAAAAGAAATATCAGGGAGGCCCAGTCCTATAATATTAAAATAATGAGCCTTTATAACTAAACACAGTGAGGTGTTGGCTCAAGAATATATAACTGTACTGTTGCAACAGAACAGATGAGAAAGGAGATCTAAACATATATTAAACTATTATGTATGATAAAAGTGATGCTTGAAATCAGTGCAAAAATATGAGCTTGTAATAAATGATACTGAGGAAAGATGAACATCTATTTTCAGAAAAAAATAAAATTGCGTTCATATCTTATACATCACAGTAACTTAAAGATTTATCAGAAATATAAATGTAAAAACCAAAATCATGTAAGTACATAAAGAAAAGCCTAAGTATTTTTTTATTATACTTTAAGTTCTAGGGCACATGTGCACAACGTGCAGGTTTGTTACATATGTATACATGTGCCACGTTGGTGTGCTGCACCCATTAACTCGTCTTTTACATTAGGTATATCTCCAAATGCTATCCCTCCCCTCTCCCCACACCCCACAACAGGCCCTGGTGTGTGATGTTCCCCTTCCTGTGTCCAAATGTTCTCATTATATACAAAAAAAAAAAAAAAAAAAGGAAAGAAAAGCCTAAGTAAATTTTCTTATAACTAAAAAATTGATACTGTCCAAAATTACTAAAATTCAAAGTCAGAAAGTCAAAATATTGATAAATACTACTAAATACAAGTTTAATAAATGTCTAAAAATAACATCAAAAGACAAACTAGGAAATGATTATAGCAACTGTATCACAGAAAATGCGCCAACATATCTAATAGGAAAATACATGAAGAACAGTCTCGTGAGAAAATAAAAGAAAATTTGAAAGAGAAAGTTCACACAAAAAGACAAATAACTCTTGATTATAAAAACTAAATCCAAATGGGGTCTCACTATGTTACCCAGACTTGCCTCAATCTCCTGGGCTCAAGTCATTCTCCCGCCTCAGCCTCCTAAGTAGTTGGGACTACAGGCACACACTATCATGCCAGGCTCAAACTGGCTTTTAATGAGAAAATGAAAATTAAGTGTGTGCAATGATACCATGTGTCACTTACTGAATTTAAACAATATACATTTTAATTTGAAATAATTTTTAATCTAAAAAGTGCAAGTAAATTAAAAATAATGTTTGTTCTGAACCATTTCAGAATAAGTGTCTAATCTGTTGCCTCATTATCCCTTAATACTTTACTATGTATGTCCCATAAAGACTTTCTCCTATAAAACAGTAATGCATTAATCAAATCAGGAAACTGACATTGATAAATTACTGCCATCAAATTATCAGAAGATCCTTTGAATTTTCATCAAATGTGTCAATAATGTTAACTATGTAGTAAAAATAAAAAAGGAAGTCCTGTTCACAATCACATGTGTGATTAATTGTCATGTCCCTGCAGGCACTTTCATTCTGAAACATTTTCTCATTCTTTTTCTGATTTCTATCATCCTGATAATTTATAAGTTACAAGTTAGGTATTTTGTAGAATATCTCTGATTTGGCTTAATGATGTTTTCTCACAAGTGCATTGAGGTTATTCATCATTATCAGGAATATCACAGAAGAGGTGCTGTTTTCTTTCATCCCATCTTACTAGGTGGTACATGATTTGGTTTGTCCCATTATTGGTTATATTAACTTTGATCACCTAAGATGGTTTCTGTGAGGATTTTCATTTGTGAATTAACTCTTTGAAATAATGTCAATATTTGTTCTCATTTAAAATTGAAGCTTTCAATTTACTTATTAAGCATAAATATGGATTCATGGATTTCTATTTTATTCAAAGAATTAAGACATATTATTCTCATTCTTTGCTTTGATACAGAAATTGTCCCAGATTTCTCTAGTTCTTTAAGACATACTCCATTTTTTTGTTGTTTTTTTGACATGCGCCTGTGTTTTGAGCACATTTTTATTTTCTATCTCAACATGTGTTTCCATGCTTATTTTGTCTTTTCTCTTCTCCAGTCTAGAAGCAGCCATTTCCCCAAGAATCAGACATATTTAGAAACCAAGATCAATGTGCTGTGCTGCTAGGTATTGAGGTGTCACTAATTCTAGGCCCTCTGACTAAACAGAGCTAAGGAATATATTTATTTGTACACACACAGAGACATACAAATTTGAACCTTTATTTATTTGTATATCTATTCTTGTTTACTAAAATCATGAATGTTCTAACTCAACACCAGGATATTTATTCTAGATTTTCCCTTTCAATGTTTGTAAATGAGAAACCTTCTCTCATTATTCTTAATATCTGTACCTATTTGATCAATTGCCCTGATGTAAATAATTTGCCATTGCCACACTGTCATGTCTCTTGCACAGCTATTCTACTTAACACATCATGGTCAGAAAATCCTGGTATGAAGGCCCTACTCAACAGTCTCAGACACTGACAATATCACTGAGTCTGGCCTGAATATTGATACCTCTCTCAATCTGTTGTCTTCATATGACTTGCACTAGATCATCCTCTTCATGGAAGTCCTTCCCCTCTCTCAGCTCTGACTCCATGCTAGGTGGCTCTCCCATGTGAACCTGTTTTCCATTTTGCCTGGGCTCTCATAATTCTGGGCCATCACAGCTCCCCGTCACCCAACCAGATGTGGATGCCCACCTAACCCTGACCAAATGGCTTTAGAATCTATGTGTTCAAGAAAAGAAGAAAACTAAACAAGGTGAAGTCAGGAGCAGGAGAGGGAGAAAAGGAAGAGTAAGAGTCAGAATTTGCAATATCAAAAATAAGTATGAGAGAAAGACTTCATTAGAGAATGTAATTTACTTATATAGAGTTTGATTTTAAAAGTTAAAATTACAAATCCCGACCCATACTCTAGAATTCTGGTAAAGCAATGGCTTCGGAGATATAGTATATGTATCATGCAATGACTGCAGAATTCTTCTTGGAGTATTATTACTCAAATATCATGCTAATTATTCATAGAAAAAGGTTTATATAGTTTCCTTCATCCTCTTCTTTTTCACCTTCTCTTCGAAACTGGTCTTCTTTAAACATTTTCTGATTTTCTCCCTTAAAATTTGTATTTAGGTTTAATTTATTGTTAACAGTGACCTAACATGTAAAACTGGTGCTAAATGTATTTACTCAAGTATCAATCTATTGATTCAAAAGTTGCAAGGCCAAGAGTAAACTAGCCTAGAACAAATCTAAAACCTCCAAGTGTGTCCATTCAATTGCTATTTGAGAGAAATTTAAGAAAATCAATCTTGAGAAAAAAAACAAGTAAATAACTTTACTTTCTTAGAAGTGTTTAAATGGGTATTGAAGAACTCTTCAAGGCACATTAGTTTTCTACTTAGAAAGTAGATTTGATTGTTTGTAAATGTAGGTTTTTATATTCTCTCAACAATACAAGATTTCTGGATTATGTGGTTGCATCTTGGATAGTTAAAACTAAAACTTGTCTATAGTTTACTCAGGAGAATAAATCTAAGTTCTAAGCAGTAACTAAGCAGTGCTATCAGAAAAACTTCCACCCCAATACTTTAAGAAATAATATGAAGGCAGTGGCAGAAAAAACAATGAATGGAAAGTTTAAAAATAGTATCTAAGACACACACTAAATGCCAGATGTTGATGATTGCTCCATCAAATATGATAAATATTTTTGATGTTTAATTTTGCTTATTTTCTTTATTCTAAGAATTAAGAAGTCAGCCTTTTATTTAAAACAAGAAATATTTAATCGGAACAAATATAAATGTCCATGTCCTATCATAACTTGTTCAAGAGCTGAATTAAATGAAATGAAATGTATACTACTTCCGCTCTATGAACTCCTCTTAGCTATCTCATAGACTTCTTATAAAGATTAAATAACTTCCATATATGGAATATATAATATAATTATATATGTATATATGTATATGTTCTAAGTGCAATATATATATTGCACTTAGAACAGTGCTGGGGCAGGACAAGCATTGTCTATTATCATCTTCCCTGCCAGAACAGCTGACTTCTGCCTTTCATTTTATTTTCTTTCCTTTGGCAAATACAAATTTTCTAACTGCCTGTCCCAGTACCCTACAGCATAGTTGGTTCATCCTTCTGGATTCCAATAATTACCCTATTCAGAATGAATTCTCAAAACGTTTAAAGTTTAAATAATATTGAAACACTAAAAAGATGTAGACATTCAAAAGATTTTGGTGGTAAATGAAGCCACTCTGTTTTCTTGTGAAAACACCATGACTCATGTGATGAATTCTTCTTCCCTTCCACCTGTTTCTTTCTTCTTCTCTTTCTTCTCCACGTCCTCTCACTCCACCTTCAAGAAATTCTTATAATTTTTCATTATGTCTCAAAAAATATTTTTGTCAGCTTGAAGACAAGACAGAGCCTGCTTTATAATTGTGTTAGGCTTTAGGAAGAACCTAGAAAAGAGGCTGAGATAATCTACAGGCTCATGTCCCCCAAAAGGGAGATGAAAACCAGTTCACAAGAAAGAACAAAGAACTGCCTGAATAACTGGGCTTTCTGTGAGTATGCAAAGTTTAGAAAAAGACATAGAAGCCAAAAACCAAGCAGAGATACTTTTAAATATAACCTAAATTAGTGCTTAGATATAAAATTTGTTTGCATCCCTTCATCTAGGAAAAGTAGAAGTTGGCCTGGATAATTGGCCCTCTTCCCACTTTGGAATCCTATAATTATGTGATCATAAACATGCTAGTTTTTTATTAATTCTTAGCAATGAAGACAGTATGTCTAGCTCTGAAGCACAAAATTAATGTCATTATTACAAGCAGGATGGTCATAATTAAAGAAAAATTATAATCTTTCTTTCCCTTTGTAAAAAATTATAGATTGGGTGATGAAAGAATAGAAGATTAGCTTTTGAAAAGTCTTAGTACGGATCTATCCTGCTAATTTCAAATTAGAAGCTTTTGAATAATTTTGAATAGGGATATTTGAAAGTAGCCATTTTATAATAAAATGCTCTTGTCTTAATTAATGATAAAGTTAAACATTATTCCGTTTTCTATCATACTGAGATGCTTAAAATCTTTAGAGCACTGCTGGCATATAATGTAGATTTGATTGGATTATTTTGAATTCAAAAATTACTAACTGAAACCCCTAAGGGAAAATCGTAATTTTAGTTATCCCTTGCGTCCAATTTTGTGTTTGTCTTACACACTCAACTTGATTGGTCTTGATGTTTAGCTAAGCAATTGTATGTGAGAAATAAATACTCAATGTCAAGCCAGAGAAACCATGACAAATCCATTAGTATTTATCTTTTGAAAATATTTGTTCACATATTTTTCTGTTTTATTGCTTTTCATTTTAGAATAAATTAAAATTAATACGAAAACTCCTTGGGAATGTGTAACAGTTCTTATCATTTGACTTCACATAGTCAATAAAAATTCTTGCAAACATATATGGCTATTTTATCATAGTCTTAGAAATATCTATGCAAACAATGACACTTGCTTACTCTTTTAATCACTAATTGTATCTTGTCTCATTTTAAAATAGACAAGATGTAGACAGTCTCATGTAGAAGTTAGATGAACCCATCATGATAGTTGTCTCCAATTTTCTATTTATTTTTTATATATATTTTACAGTCATATTAAAGCTTCAGTGAGGTTCTTTGAAGTGAAGAATATTTCTTCTGTATTTACTAGAAAAGATAAGATACATATGCTAAGTATTGAGGAGAATATTAACTATGTCATTTTTAAATAATAGTATTTAAATGTTTTACTGCAATGAAGAGCTACAAAAACACCACATCCTCCTTGTTCCTACCTATCTCCCCAAATGAAAAGGATATGCTGAATTAGAATTTACAACAATGCACTTTTTAATATTAGACTTAGCATACAAAACACTATGAAGAAGTAATAGGCCTTTATTTGAGCAGATGAGATGGACTGAGATGAGATATAATTTTTAATACTCTATCCCTGTGGAATGTTGAGATTATATGTGGTTAAAAATTCAACTTTATGTAGTTGTGAATATCTAGACGTCTATCCTTGTATTTCCTTCTATCACATCAATAAGGATTGTTTTTAACTACTTCAAATCCAGGGCAACTCAAAATAGCACTATGTATCCATAACATTTACCTCTCTGTAACAGAGGACCACACTTGAAATTGTATTCTTAAAGCAGTCTTGGTTTGAAAAAATGACAGTTCCATGTTGTCTGGCAGAAAATGACCCTCAATGAAATTAATACATTCATTGTCATATGACTTCTTATTGCAGAGGTTCATAAGTTTATCTTAATCATTTCGCTGTGGTTGACTAATCTAATTTTTTACAAATTTGAAATGCTCCTGTGAACACTTCTCTGTTCTCTCCTCTGCATTTCTTAAGGCCACTTTTAATTTCATGCAAATTAAGGCAATGGACAGATTGGAATGAAGTGTCAGTGGTTTACATTTGTAAACCTTGTGGAAGCATTATTTGAATACGTTGAAAAATTCTGGAATTTGGCCCTTCATGAAGATATTGCCTATTGATTGATTATAGGTATTTTTTTTCTTTTTTGAGAAGAACTTTCATTCTTCTTGACCAGGCTGGAGTGCAGTGACGTGATCTGGGCTTAATGCAACCTCCGCCTCCCGGGTTCAAGCGATTCTCCTGCCTCAGCCTCCTGAGTAGCTGGGATTACAGGTGCCTGCCACCATGCCTGGTTAATTTTTTGTATTTTTAGTAGAGATGGGGTTTCACCATGTTGGCCAGGCTGGTCTCGAACTCCTGACCTCAGGTAATCCACCCGCCTCGGCTTCTCAAAGTGTTGGGATTACAGGTGTGAGCCACTGCTCCTGGCATGATTATTGGTTATTTTAAAAAAGATTTTCCCCTGAGAATTTTTTCTGAGTCTTATTTTTGCAAGCATGAATTTATCTGACAATAAAATTTTAAGTTAGCAAATAAATTTTGTTCTTATAATCCTAGAAATTGATTATTGTCAAATAACCCTTTAAATGACATTCAGAAGACTCAAATGACTCCCACTTTTTTCTCAATGCCATTAAGTATTATTTCAGATACTATGGTTTCCAGAGGTCTAATTCTGGAGACACTGAGTGTGCTATAATTTTTTTTCTTCAATTCCACGTGCTGAATGGAGATACCTTATTGACTGTGTTTATGTAGGTGTGTAAGAAAGAAAAATAGTCACACCCCCATGAATTGTCAACTTATCTTGTACAATATACTCTTCATGTCTGTAGATATTTAAATATATAACCCAGTAAAACTTTGTTAGCTATGAAATGACATGTAGATTTAATGAGCTTTTCTATTTTGTGCTCTATTGACCTCATTAATGTCGTTTGCTTTCTTAATGTGAAAAACATCACGCGCGGACGTGCTTCGTTGGTTTCTGAGTCACAGTAATATAATCTTACATTCTATTGTATTTCCTTGAACTCACTAAAATGGTAAGTGTGTTTCATTTAAAAGGAATCATCTTATGTCTTTCTAATCAGCTACACAGAAGTGATGATGGATCATTTTAACATCACGTGTCCTAAAACTAAAACAATCCATAATTACTCGTTACATTTCCTAAAACCCTTTTATTTTCTCAGTGATACATGAAAGAATTCTTCATAGTACATTGGTGAAACCCTTTAGTTTTAATAATCATATTTATTTTAATAATCACATTAATTTTATGTATACATGGAAGATATAACTTGTACAAAATACTAATGACTAAATTGATGTTAATATTTAGGATAAATTTATGAAAAATTGGTTCATTTAAGATTGATTAAAAGAAAAACATTAAGTAAACTAGTGGTACCCATTCAAATTGTATATGAAAACATTTTTGAAGATAAAATGCAAATAACAGAAACTTGAAAAATCACTGAACTAAATAAAAAAAGATTTTGGAAGATAAATCTAATATTCTAATGAATGCAATATTGGCCTTACCAGATTATTGATAAGTTTTCAAGTGTTTTGGTCAAGATTAATCAGAATTAACAGTAAACTGCATGAACTATAAACTATAATTTAGAAAAAAATACTCATTTGGACAGGGTTTTATGCATAAACACACACACATATAAATTCTCTCAGTGTATGTAGGCTAAGCATTAGTGCCAGTGTGAACATTCTTGTTGGAGATAATAATTGTTCTACTTTTATTGTTTTAATGAGTTCTCTTTCCCTTCACAAAATTGAAGGCCTGTTTTTAGTGACAACTTCATATTATACAAAAATAACACATTTTTATTTCTCCTGTCTTACCAATATATTTATCGAAAATCGCAGAGAAAATGAGCTTACCAAGATTAAATAGGAGAATTTTCTAACATACATGTTATTAAACCTTGTTTCTTCTGTATTTTTATAGCACAGTGGATTAGAAGGGAACTATAGTGCACTAAAACAGATTTCATCATTTGTGGTGAATGCTTCATAAAGACATAATCTACCACACTTGGGAATATCTTCATTGGTGGATATAAAGTAATCAAGTCGTCACTCCAAATGAAAGACATACAAAACACAGGACAGATACGAAGTTGAGATTTGTAAATAAACTACATTCTTGAAGCCACACAAGGGAATTCCCCAAAGGACACAGGATAAGTCTAAGCAAGTGGGGACTCTATCTCAACCGAGAAAAGACTGCTTAGCATTACATCTGGTTGTCCCAATTAGGTAGGCACTTTTTCATGCAATTAATATGTGAGGAAGTAAATAGCATTTGAAACAGAGAGAAGGTACTTAGGGAGACAAATTGCAGTAGAATTCGGGAGGGTTTTGAGATGATGGCGGTGAATAAACTCCATGTCTAAGGACTTTAGTAGTACAAAAAGGATGTCCTATGGTCCTGTGTTTTATGTTGGTGATTTTCCTGAACACTGATTAACTTCAACAATCTGCTCTTTCTTCCACTTTTGTGAGCCAATGTAAGTCAACGAAGTGTTCATAAATTTGCCACCTCTTCTGTTCTGTTTATGATAATCAATTCATGGGAGAAACACTGAATAAAGCAAAAAAAGCAAAACTCAATTTCTGAATTTCTGGATCAATTTATTATTTATCCGACCATTTATGATTCATCCCAAAATGCAGTACCATAAATGCTCCTCTTGTCCCTTGAAGCTGCCAAATAAAGTCCAGTTTTCCCAGTTGCAGCAGAAGTTGCATCGGGACATGTTTGTGTGTGTGTGTGTGTGTGTAGTTCAACATATAGTAGATACTTTTTCAAAACACATTATTTTGGTAATAATTATACATTTTTCTCTGCTTCCTTTGTTGTTTTTCTATGTTATAAAAGACTATTCAGTGGTGAAACACTGCAAGTCAGTCATATTCTACAAGGCTTTGAGAGATTTCATACTAGGAAACTGTAATGGTAAGTATAATCATTTAATTTTTGTACAAACTTGAACATTTTTGAAAGCAATAGAGACCACTAATAATTATACTTGTACAATAGGCAGGACCTGAAGGTATCACAGGTAAAGTATAACACTCACATTGTGAGTCTGATGGCATTTTCCATTACGTTTAATCATATCAGATCTCTATAAAACGTTAACTGCGCATAATGAAATCGCCTACTTTAGTGCAAAATAGTTCCTTTATAATCAATTGTGCTATCAAAAATGCAAAAGAACTGGATTTTAATAACATCCATGTTAGGAGAAGTTCTTCGCACTTCCTGTTCTTTCAGCACGGAATGACTTTCTTTGATACATGCATAGTTTTATTCCGAATTTTTGCCGTGCGGGTGTGGTGTGTGTGTGTGTGTGTGACTTTAGAAAAAATATGCATTTTCAGAAGTAGTAGAACTGACTTCACCTATTTTCTCTTTACTCTCTGTCATCTATTAGAATACATGCTCTATAAGAACACACACTTTTAAGCTAATTTTTCTTTTTTTGCTGCTGTGGCATATAATAGGCACACAGTATGTATTTGTTGAATAAGGTTGCTTAAAATCTCCTTAATAACCTGAGTCCTGCTTACTTGCTGAATCTCAATTCTCATCATCCTTCTTTGGATGATATGTGAGAGTTAGATTAATTAACTTAATATTTATACAATGACAATGATATGTGCTCACCTGAAATCTGGGAGTCATCATTGACTCCATTAATATCTCATCTCCAGGCCTTCATTCATGATATTCCCCTTCCCTAGGACATTTATTATCACCCCATCAAACATTTTAAGTCCTACATATTCTATAACTAGTATCTTAAAAGTAAAGTTCTTTTCAGACAATTTGAACTAAATCCAGATACTCTTCATGTGTCTTCTCATCCTCCCCTGTGTTTTCCACTCACAATATATAGTAATTGCTAATTTAATAATGTCTGCTTTGCTAAACTGTGCAAAGACAGCAACACCTTTTCTTTCTCACCACTGCATCCTTAGCTTCTAGTGCAGCACCTGCTATCGGGTGGATTCTTAATAAATGGTTGCAGAGGCAGGCAGATCACAAGGTCAGGAGTTCGAGACCAGCCTGGCCAACATGGTGAAACCCTGTCTCTACTAAAAATACAAACATTAGCTGGGCATGGTGGTGAGCACCTGTAATCCCAGCTACTCGGGAGGCTGAGGCAGGAGAATTGCTTGAACCCGGGAGGCAGATGTTGCAGTGAGCCGAGATCGTGCCACTGTACTCCAGCCTGATGACAGAGTAAGAGTCCGTCTCAAAAAATAAATAAAGAAAGAAAGAAATAGTTGCAGAATGTTTGAAGGTATGTTTTTATGCTGTAAGCCAAAATGTAGACACTAGGGTAAAAGATTAGGGATCACATGTTCAATTTGTGGAAAAAAAAAAGGTTTTGAGCAATACTGCTCATTCGATGACTTTCGTGTTTTCAAGAGAACAGCATCAGTTTCTCCAATATCCTGTGTACAATTTGACTTCTTTATTGGTTATTAGTATTGTTTTCCTATAATTGGTAAATTTCTCTTTCCTTTGAAACTATATAATCTTTCATTTTCCTTGCTACTTGCTAAATATATGTCGTTGAGCTTTTAAAAGATCAATTTATTCATTCTCAAAATAGGAAAATAAATAGGTACAGACTGTGAAAGTCAAATGAACAGACAATGTAAAGCACAGAATGGAGACCTTGGTACACGGTAAATGCACAATAAATGTTAGATGTTATTAGAAATAACAGTGATATTTATTTAAGAAGATTAGATTAGAAATAGTAAACAGAACTCTCCACACTCTTCAGTATAGTCCTCAAGGCTGCCTCTAAGAAACCATACAATTGGTATTCAAAGAGAAATCTCTTTTGTCAGTCCTAGATTTAAAATCCTAATGTTCACATGCCATTCATTTAAACCTCCTAGGATAGAAAACTAGAAAAATGGGCTGGAATATTTCATCTCTTATTCTGACCTTCCTGAAGAAGTGGTTCTTCAGCCCAGCACCGATCAGATGTTTACCTTTGTTCCAAACAACTATGTTTACAGAAGGATGATGCTTTACTGTCATGACATTTAGCAGCTAGCTATATAATCTACAAGACCATAATGAGTCAGAGGAAGCAAAGTTAATGTCTGCATTGCAATACTTAATAATTTCAAGTCAGTAGTTTCCCAATATTGATACAAATATACTTGTGATTTATAAAACACAAAACAGCCTACTGATATAGACAAACTAATGATTACAAGGATTTGAACAATATACTATACAACATAAGAATTCTAAACGGCCAGCACTCAGGAGTTACACCTGATTCCTATTAGTAATTTTTCTCTAGTGTTATTTTAATTTTAAACCCTTCATACTATTTACTTTCTTCTTTTCTTAACTTGCATTTTCAACTGTAATCCCTGAGCAAAGAATACAATATATGAAGGACTTAACATGACAAACTAACCAGAAAACAGGGATAAGTCAAACCTCTACTGTAGGCTTTCCTGAATGCGCAATAAGTTCTTTAGTAATCAAATTAGCTCATTGAAATGACATTGGACAATGATTTGTGAAAGTTCTTGAAGGGATTTTATCAAAATTTGAGGCTCTCCACTGCCACTATCAGCCTCATACTTGGCAATTGCCTTCTAGAAGAGTTTGTCCTGAAGTTGACTCTGCTGTCCTGCTGAAATGTGTCACTACTGTTGCTAAGGGGGCAAATCATATGCTTCAGATGTATTGGAATAAAAAAGAGAGTTAAGAACTTTGAAACTAGGAATGCTGCGGAATACCACAGTTTATTCTTGCTGCTGTGATATACCTTTTAAACCTACCAAAAAAAAAAAAAAAGAATTAGTAAGCATAGCTGTCCAGTCCATCCATACAAAGATATATGCACAAAACAGTGCCAGTTCTTGATTGAATAAAACAAAAACAAAAACAGGAAATCAGTCATTTTAAAGAAAAAGGGCAGGGATATAATTTTTTTTTTTTTAGACAAAGTCTTGCCCAGTCGCCCAGGTTGGAGTGCAGTGGCACAATCTCAACTCACTGAAACCTCTGCCTCCCAGGTTCAAGCAATCCTCCCACCTCTGCCTCCTGAGAAGCTGGGACTACAGGAAAGTGCCACCACACCCAGCTAATTTTTGTATTTTTTGTAGAGATGGGGTTTTGCCATGCTGCCCAGGTTGGTCTCAAACGCCTGGGCTCAAGTGATCCTCTCGACTCAGCCTCTGAAAGTGCTGGGATTACAGGCATGAACCACCACACCCCAGCCAGAAAACGCTCTTTGAGATAAGTGAAAGGTGAAACTCTCAGTTCCTTCCCCCATTAGAGAAACAAATTATTTTCAGTGAATAACATCCAGGCTGGGAGTCTGTACTCTGTAACTTCTGTCATTCCTCCTTTGAGTGCTTTGAAGTGATTTATTGAAAAGAAATATTTACTTTGATTTTACCATCTGTATTATAGCTCTGTTGTTAGAAAAATATTTAGCTATCTTGTTTTCTTTCAAGAATGGAGTATTTTCTACTTTCACATTTATAATGTTTTACAATATGTTTCCTATTTTCCCTATATGTCCTATATCCTATTCTATGAATACAGGGAAAACTGTTCAAATGTTGAAGAGTTTCTATGGTAAATAAGTTTATAATATTTAATAACATTCCATTATTAATCACTCTACTTTGGTATTCTAGTGGGAAGAGTTTTGAGTATAAATAATATAACACACAGCCTTAGATTTTTCTTTGTTCCTGAATAGCATTAAACATCAGGATCCTTCAAAATTAATAGCGAATTTTTTAATGATTTCTAAAATGACCCTAGGAAGAAGCAAAGTGGAGGAAAATGTATAGCAGATACTTTTCTGACATGTTTCAATCCTTAGGGCTACGTATCAGACACATACACACACACACACACAGAGAGAGACAGAAATGAGCAAGTCAGTGTAATATTGAGGGATGAAGGATGAACAAAAAGAAAGGATTTTGAAGAAATCTACTATAGAAAGCAAATATCATTAGTTTGTCAAGAATCACAAAATATTGATAAAAATAATAAAAGTCAGTCTGTCTTGATATTAAGTTTTAAAAAATTGCTTCAAAATGGTTGACAAATGTTTCAAAAAGGTTTGACAGACTGTTTAAAATATGACTTGAAAACCGAATTCAGTTCGTCCTGGATTTATACTCAGTAATAAATTTAGAAAATTGGTAAAGGGATATAAAAAATTATATTTGTAAATGGAAATTCTTAAGATATGATGAGGACCTTGTAGGAAATCACGAATAACCCCACTTACCTCTCTTTCATTTTAAAAAGGTGTATCCTAAATATTAACATATCAAGGATTTTCAATTTGTAAGCTTTAAACAAGTAAATATCTCAAGTAACAGCAGCTTAAAACTTTTTCACTCCCTTGTGCACTGATAGAAATCATGACTTCTCACAAGGGAAACTAAATTTTCTGCCTCAGCTCTGCTCAGTTTAGGAGTAGAGAATACATTTGCTTATAATTGCTTATTACCACTGGCCTTACCTTTCTAGATTGTTGGCTTAGGGAAAGTGAGAGAGCAAATCCACAGTGGCACAAATGAAGTGAATTTGTAAAGAGATAAGCTTTGTTCTCATTTTCTATTTTGTAACTTCTAATTCTAGCCCATAAAGAAACAATGTAGATAAGTTTTACAGAGGTAAATCCTTGGTTTACTGTAAGATTATTCATTGGGTAAAAATAAGTGCTTCGCTTTGCAGAAGCAAAAATAGAGAAATGGTTTTTGAATTTATAAGGTTTTAGAGTTTATTCTGATTACATGTACTGCCGACTGTTGATAAAATTGATGTGGGTTTCATGGATAGAATTTACATTAACATTTACATTAGTGCTATGAAAATGTAAAGATTAAAGTAGTTCTATGGTTTTGCTGAAGTTCATTACCATTAGTTATTAATGAAAGAAGCACACTTAGTTCTTCCTAATGTTAATAACTTTGCATCATTTTAATAACTTTAGACATTCAAAGAGGAGATAATATAGTTTTAAAATGAAACAGTAAAAATCCTTAAATAATGGGTGTTGGCGGCTTACGTAAGGAAAATGGTTCTCAATATGTGGACTGATCCTCTAACCTCATGTTTCTCTCTGTGGAGGAATCTGCCCAGAGGTCAACTTTTCTAACTTTCTGACCTACTCCATGTGACCCACATCTCTCACTTCTCCTTACAGAGGAAAAAAAAATGAGTTATCTGATTGGTGGGTGATAGTCATTTGCTCCCATATTAATTGAGTAGGAATAAAAACAAAAAACAAACAAACAAAAACATCTGTAAATTGTTAGTCACTGGGGTGTCATTTCTCTCTCCATTTCTTCCCCAGACATTATGAGAAAGATATACTCAATACAGGTCTATAGAGAAGCATCAAATATTCTCCTGGGTGGGCCACACCAATCTCCACAAAGGGAGGCTGAGTACAACGGGTGAGCACATTCAGCCACAGATTTAAAGCTACAGTCTCCAGTTGGTGTTCATGAAAGTATTTGGTATTTTTCTTTTCTGAGCTTGATTTTTCTTTTTTCTGTGTCTTAGTTATCAATTAATCATAATTTTTCAAAAGAAAGAAATGAATGTTATTTATTAGCCCTTAATATTCAAATGTATAAAAGAGACCCCTTAAAATTTATAGTGTTGTTTTTGTTTACAAACAAAAAGAAATTAGCTGTCTTAAGTATGTTTGCATCTTCACCAATTTTATTAATCAGAAAATTCCTGATGGGTTTTTTGCAACGTTAAACTACTTGTTATACAAAATATAACCAAATTTGCCATCTGACTACAATCCTTGCATTTAAAAAATAGAAAAATACGAAATATTTGTTTTGTGCAAAACATTGAGTAAATATGCACCAAGGATTGAACACTGCCATCTGTATAGTTAAGGAAGGAAATAAAACCTCTACTAATTTTTATCTTAAAGGTAAAATGAATTATGATTTATGAATATATGAATCAACACTGGTATTCTCAGTTATTCCATTTGTCAGACATTCTTAACCTGCTCATGTGAAGAAAAGTGAGAGATCCAAAAACTTGGGGGATTAGGAAGATAGCTTTGCTCCATTATTCATTTTTAGCCTATGCTTATGTATTATTTTTAAAGCACATTTGGATAGGTGTTTTTAGGTTCTAGTATGTATTATTAATTAAACAAATATATTCAAAATAGACAAGTGCAAAGAAAGTGACAATAGTGCTAATAAAAAATGGAACTAACACTTTTATTTCTAGAATTTTAATCTGATTTTATCATATTCAGCTAAATAAAAATTAATACAGAATTTGTTATATGGAAGTGGGATGCTGTGAAAAATAAAATAAGAAAACTGTGACATTGGCTGAAGGAAAGAACTTCACTATGGGCCATAAGGATATAAATACTGGGGTCTGGAAAGCTGGTGACCTTTGTGATGCTACAACAAAACATTTGGTCTAAATGTTAAATTTTGTATCTTGGGAAAGAGCTGACTAATAACAATATGGTTAGTATAAATGGGAAGAAAATAAACATTGGGGGTATTGGCATGTTTTGCTTTCAGTGTGGCTCTGAATATTGGAGGATGAACACAGGCCCGATATAGACAATGTGCAAGCAGAGGTGAAAAAAATATTTCATCTCTGCTGTCTTCAAGTTTATTTGACTGAGGATCATCTCTGCTGTCTTCAAGTTTATTTGACTGAGGGTCAACTTGAAGGATTAAAAAAAACTGCTCCTTTACTCCAGATGAAATGTTATCTAATTATTATAATTTCTGTAAGACGATAACCTTAGAAGGATAAAAGTCTCTTGCCATGGGCCTTTTCAAAATCTCCCCTTAAGAGTTGTCTGCTATTGAGAGGCCAGTAATTGCCTGCTTGCTGGTGAAAAAGATTGCCTTCATAACTTAAGCCTTTTAGGTTTTTATTATTTTTATTTATTTATTTATTTAAGACAGAGTCTAGCTCTGTTGCCCAGGCTGGATTACAGTAGCATGATCTCGGCTCCCTGCAAACTCTGCCACCTGGGTTCAAGCAATTCTCCTGCCTCAGCCTTCTAAGTAGCTGAGGTTACAGGCATGTGCTACCACACTTGGCTAATTTTTGTATTTTCAGTAGAGGCAGGGTTTTACCATGTTGGTCAGGCTAGTCTTGAACTCCTGACCTCCAGTGAGCCACCTGCTTTGGCCTCCCAAAGTGCTGGTATTACAGGGATGAGACACCACACCCACTGTAAGACATATTTTAAATTTCTTTAAAGCATTGACAATTAAGCTAAAACCTTTAGGATTTTTCAGAGCAGAGAAATCATTATTAAAATAGGAGAACTCACAGGCTTAAAGATACTTCTAAACAAGATATGTGGTTGTGGAAGTTCATACCAGGGATTGACTGAAAGAAAATACACTGCAAACTCAGGTTTTAAGAAAATTGTACTGCCTGAGAAATATCTTGCTGAATTGTCAACAACCTGTAACCATTTTTATGGAAGACCATCTCCAGCTTTGCAAAATCACTCCAACAAAAAATTGGCTGTGAAAGCCGAGTAGCCGTTAGGAAATATATTTTCTCAAGATTCACCATAGACTTCCATAGATTAAATGGACAAGGAAGCCCATGCAGGGCAGAAATAGTAACTGTGGGAGATAATAGATAAGGCAATGTCTCCAAAAATCAGCACTAGAAATGTAATATTTTAATATGGCAAAGGGTCCTCACTATTATATCTACTGGGATTTAATAATTGTTTTAGACCAGTGACAATTACATATTTTCTATTATCTTTCTGCCTGATTTAGGGCTTTTAATGCTAATTCTTATTGTAAGCAAAAACAAAATTTGAAGGCACCCACAGCCATCTGAATGGACTTCCTCTTCCTCTGCCAGCCCACTCTAAAATTGAACCTGAAAGACTGGTTCAGGCCACGGCAGGAAGTGGGGGTTGGATATGCTTCACTGCATCCCTACAGCATGAACGTTAATACAAACCTTAAGTCTAATAAGAAATATTTACGGTCTATTCTCTCTAAGTCCTGCTAACTTGAAGGCTTCATCTGCCTGATAAAACCTAGGTCTCCACAATCCCTATCTTAACCCAGACATTCCTTTCTATTGATAATAACTCTTTCAACCAATTACCAATCAGAATATGGTTAAATTTACCTGTGACCTGGAACACCACCCCCTTTCGAGTTGTCCTGCCCTTCCAGATTGAACCAATGTAAATCTTACATGTACTGATTGATGTATTATGTCCTAAAATATTTAAAAGCAAGCTGTACCCTGGCTACCTTGGACACATGTTGTCAGAACCTCCTGAGGCTGTAGGGGTGTGTCCTTAACCTTGGCAATATCAGCATTCTAAATTAAGACCTGTCTCAGATATTTGGGGTTCATGCTATCATTCTATTTTTTTTTACCTTTCACTTAATATTGTTATGTTTAGGGAAAGAAAATTGTGTTTTAGATTATCTCTATTATTTACAAAAGCTACATCCAGTATAATAGAGAGAAAAATTTATCACCTAGAAAATCTGGATTTTAAAGTTATAAATTAGCTACCTGGTCTTTGGATTATCTTCCTAGGGAGAATAATGATTGTTCTACACGTTGGAAGAAGTGTGCAAATTTTGAGTGTCCACGGAAGCCCAGAGCCCCTTGACATGTTATGAATTAGTAGAAATACAACCCTTAGAAAACTGCATACAGATGTCCAGTCCCCTTTACTTGGCTTAAACAATGGATATAGTTTATAATGAAGCTTGAAAAAAGAGTAAATGTAATTTCAAAGCAACTGTGGTTCACCAGTACTTCCATAGTCCCTCATGAAATGTCCTGTATGAGTGACCTTATGTCCCAGTAAAGTGGGATCCTATCAGATCAGAAGTTTTCACATCTTTGAAATTAGCTTTTTATACTTTTACAATTTAATGTTCCATACCATCAATATCTTTTCCTTAATTATAGCATTGCACAAGACCAACTATGCACTGCAATAACCCCCTTTTAATGATTTCTGTGCTTCAGGTCTTACAATTCCTACCCAGTGTAGATAAGCAATTAATTATAATCTGCATTTCAAAGCCTAGGGTTTTTCCAGAGCACAGGCTCTGGAAACATACAGGCTTTGAGATAAACTAGCTTCAGTATTTTTTTTTTTTTTTGAGAGGGAGTCTCGCTCTGTCGCCCAGGCTGGAGTGCAGTGGCGGGATCTCGGCTCACTGCAAGCTCCGCCTCCCGGGTTCACGCCATTCTCCTGCCTCAGCCTCCCAAGTAGCTGGGACTACAGGCGCCCGCCACTACGCCCGGCTAATTTTTTGTATTTTTAGTAGAGACGGGGTTTCACCGTTTTAGCCGGGATGGTCTCGATCTCCTGACCTCGTGATCCGCCCGCCTCGGCCTCCCAAAGTGCTGGGATTACAGGCGTGAGCCACCGCGCCCGGCCCTAGCTTCAGTATTTTAAAACAATTCTAAATAGGTGATTTTACATAGGGTTTTACAATAGCAGGGTTGGCGTGACATACAAAATGACTCAAAGGTATATACTGTAACAGGCATTTCTAAATGCTTGCCCAAATATCTATGTTTCTTCCTTCACAGCACAATTTCTTTTCTGTTTTTGCATCTAGGAGAGTTATCTTACAGTTTTTTATATTTAAGGTTAAAGCTGTTGGTACTTTCTGGAAGAATTTGGTGTTATTTTTACAGAAGGTAGCTAGTCAGACATGAACAGGGCAGGAGAGCCCCTCTCCCCGACATCCCCCAGGAATGTCAGGCGACCATCAGGTGATGGTCAGGCTGTTGTTAAACTATCTCTCTGAAATGGAAGAGTTCCCTGACCTCCCTAACAGGACATGCAACACGGTGTGGCTCGTCTGTTTGGTCACCGCTGCTACTCAAACCCCTTAAGGGAGGGGGCGCATGCAGACAGACAGGTGCAGGGGAAGGGGTGCTGGGCTTCGGCCCCACGGCAGCATCCAGGGTTGGGAACCTGTGACTCCCAGAGCCCAAGTGGGCGTATGTTACAGTGCGCTCTTTTAGCCTTGCTGTCTATGGATGGCTTAAGTGTTAACCAGCTCAGTGGACCCCTCTGCCTTTTTGCAAGGGCAGAGGGCCAGTGTGACAGCTTTCTGTATCTCGAGCTCTTGTCCAGCATCCTGGAAGAATTGGGTCACACATGGACTTGAAGGATGAGTGCAGGGGTTTTATTGAGTGATGGAGGTGGCTCTCAGCAGGATGGATGTGGAGCCGGAAGGGGGCTGGGGTGGGCAGATGATCTTCCCTGGAGTTTGACCATCCGGTGGCTGATCTCCTCTCTGATCATCCCTAGCCAAACTCCTCTCAGCATTCAGTTGCTCCTTCTCTTCTCTCCTTCTCTGCTGCTCAGTTCTGCCATTTGACTGTTCGTCTCCTGCTTCTGGAGCCTGGGGTTCAGGGTTTATATGGGTACAGGATAGGGAGCACCATGGACCCAAAGGCAACTTTTTGGGCACAAAAGCAGAAATGCCTGTTCTCGCTTAGGGCCGCGGGTAACCAGGCTTGAGGGTGGGGCCTTTGATGGGGAACCACCCTCTTCTACCCAATATTTCCCTGTCTCCTGTCCATATCCATCTCTAAAAGAATAACTGGACCCAGCCAGTGCCAGAGAAAGGCAGTCTCCCAGTAACCAGAAACACCTGAAACTGGTGAGCATCAGCTTCCAGATAAGTTCTCAGCAGTTGGGTGAGTGGGTTCAAGTTTATGCATTAAGAGTCAAAATGGCAGATTTTAACTGGAGCATAACCTCCTAGAGACATTCGACTGTTAAGGGAAGAATGCCTCAAGTGAGCATGCATGCTACTCCAGTAAACACGCTGCGCATGCTCCCCTCCCAAGGGCTAGCAGGCCACTGTGCATGTGGACAGCCCAACCCAAGGGAATAATCAGGGAAGAAGGGATCTCAAACCCTTCACCCACTTGACCCTCTTCCAGTTGTACTTCACTTCCTTTTATTCCTGCTCTAACACTTTTTAATCAACTTTCACTCCTGCTGTAAAACCTACCTTGGTCTCTCCTTCTACATTATGCCCCTCAATCAAAGTCTTTCTTCTGAGGAGGCAAGAATTCAGACTGCTCTAGACCCATTCAGATACAGATTTACTGCCACTAACATTATGAGCTAAATTGTCCACCACTATTTACCTTCCAAAAAGTTATATGTTAATAAAATCACCTTTGCAAAAATTGTATCAGTGAGAAAATTATGACAATGAAAGAGATCTGAGCTAACCCACACCCCATCTTGCCTTTTCTTTAATTATTTCTGGGCTATTGGGCCAAGATAACTTTGGAAGAATTTAGGCTATAGTTTAAATGGTAATAGGCTTTGCTAAAAACTTAACCACTTTTGTAAAGCTAATGAAAGGCCGTCAAGCTGGTGGGAGGAGAGAAGCCTTAGTCCTGCTAAGGCATAGACATAAATGATCGTCAGCCATTATTCTGGAGGTTATAAGATATGCAATTTCCCCAATTATTCCTGCAAATAATGTCACTATTGTAGAATTTAAGGCTGGCCTTTTGAGATATCTCTTCAGGTTTTTTGCATGTCTGACACCCATGGCTCCATCTGGATCTGATGGCTCTACTACTTGGATCTGCCAACCCTGCTGCTGCGGCCAGGAAAAATTCAACCTGCAGGAAGACAGCTTCAATCCCCTATTATTTTATCTCCTCCCCAGTCAATAAGCAGCAAGCACCTGTTACATGGCCACCCCCACTTCTTCTCCTAAAATGCCTTTGAAAAACTTCTAACCTACAAGCTTTGGAAGAGATTGAGTATTAACTCCATCTCTCATGTTGCATGGCTGGTCTTGTGTCTATTAAACTCTTTCTACTACAATGTCATGGTCATTCTTTGTAAGGAGGCAGGAATAAACCCTCAGGCAGTTAGCATTCTAGCCCCACAGTTCCTCAGAATGTGACTATTTTTGGAGGTGGGCTATTTAAAGTAGTAATTAAGGTTACATGAGGTAATATGGATGGGACTTAATCCAGTCTGGCTGGTTTCCTTACAAGAAGAGGCGATTAGAACACAGACCTACACGGAGAGAAGAATATGTAAAGAAAAAGATAGAACAGCCATCTATCAGCCAAAGGGAGAGGTCTCCAGAAGTAACCAACCCTACCTGCACATTGATTTTGGATTTCTAATCTCTAGAACTGTGATAAATATATATACATGTTTTGTTTAAGCCACTTAGTGTATAGCACTTTGTTACGGCAGCCCTAGGAAATAAAGACATTTGACTTTGTTAATTGCACCACCCCTTTTTGTTTGTTCTTCATGATGGTTCATTCTGCATGGAACATGAGCAGGTGGCCAGAGAGGAAACAACCATCTTGTTCTCACAGGATGGCAGAGTGGAAGTATGCGTGGATATTGGGTTTTGGTTAACACTGTGGAGCTACAAGGTAGGACTATGTCACTACTGATGGACACTGTGGCCAGACTGCCTAAGTATGAATCCTCAACGTATTACTTAGGTCCAAGTCAATTTACTTAACTTCTTCCTGTGTCTTTGTTTTGCCATGTATAAAATGTGAAAAATAATATCTAACTCACAGGGTAAACATAAGGATGAAAGGAAATAACATGGGGGAATGTATTTAGGACAGTACTTTGTATCTAATAAGTGCTATAAAAAGTATTAGCTATCATTACTTATTTTGCTATTATTACCATTCTCTCTGTAATTGACTCCTTACTCATGTGTCTTATGTAATCCCTGAATAACAAACATTAAAAACAATAAAAATTTAATCACATATAACCATAAGAGAGAGAAATGCTGAAATCACTAAGAACACTCACTGAAATATGATATAATCCAATATATTATTTATACACTTAGCACATATGATATATTTTTATATCTAATGTGGTAGCATTATGTTACATATTATATGCTATACCATTAAAATATTTTCAAATGAATCTATGTATATTGTAACTAAAGTATTTTGTTATTTTTCTGTTAGGCATGCAGCATTTGTTTACTCATTATTAAGTTGTACAACTGCTAGTATAGACACTGTAATATTATGATAATGGCAACCTTTTACAAACATGAAAATTCGAGTAATTTCGGCTATTTATTCAGTAACTTGACAGATCTTTTTTCTCCATGACAAAGATTTGAAGCTGTCTATGAAGTTTTTTCTAGCACTCTCAGCCTAACCCCAGTCTAAACCAGGTATTTTAAATCTAAATAGACTATTTCAAGCTAAAAGCATTACTTTAAGCAATTACTATAATACTATATATTATCAAAATAATTTAAATTCACATCATACTTCTCAATGTATAAAATATATTTACACTTTGGACAAAATCTGTATTCGAAAGGTGAGACATGTCTACATGTTGGTCTATTTTAAATTTTTAAATTGGTATATAAATTATGCCTTCCCTGTAGACAATTTATAACATTTATTTCTACAGCAGAAAAAAATATTTTCTTGTAATATAAATATGTAGAGAAACCACTCCCTGCTGAACTTTTGCAAAGGCAAATTTGTTGAATGAATTCAAGACTGAGTCAAGAAAACAAAATGCTTTCTTACATTAAAGACAAGAAAAATTATTTACAAAGGAAAATATGTGAATTGAATTTTACTTCCAGTTAATTATCACAACTAAAAGTTGTCCTTCAAATTATTTGTTGCTTTGCTAGAGTATTTTTATTTAATATTCTATGTTGAATGGCAGTGCTCGTGATTTCAATGAGTATAAGAAGCATCTGCTATTTGACATATAATTCAACATTTTTGAGAGGTAAAGGAAGTTGTTATGGCAACTAAAGCTCCAAAGTAATAATATCACTAAGAAGACTTCTTAACACTCATTTCAACATGGCTCTCAGCTGGAATATGCAATAGAAAAATGTTCAATTCGGAAAAAAACCGAGGTGGTTTAAGAAAAATCTGATGTGATGTTTAAATATTTAACACGTTCATTTTTAAGCTTAACTTTCATTTCATATTATGTATAGAAAGACATCAAGTGCAATGTAAAATTTTGTGATTTAGATACAGTCATTGTATCTTCTATCACAAATTTTTTTTTGATGAAGCAAAATCTAAAATGTGTAAAGTTTATATTTTACACTTGTTCACCTTCCTTTCTTCTTCGTATTCTGTACTTACCATATGTATGTTTCCCCTCCCTCAGAAATTGAGTGGTCTTATGCTGCCTGAATCAGTCAGGGTCAGTCTGAGTCTTGACAATCAAAACATAATATATTACCAGAGATAAATGAAGACATTTCACAAGTGGACTATTAAGAGCAGTGTGGACAGAGTTAAAAGAATAGTAAAGGATGATGAAGCAAGAATCACCAGGGACTAGCAATAGTGAGAAGTTGTTGCCACCCTTAGGTCTGAATTGGTAAGGGAAGGAAATGGTATTCCAGGGCCTAATGAGATACGGTGTCATAGAGGAAAGTCCACTGAGCAGTATATATGACCATAATTATAGGAGCACAAACTCTGCCAAATCATGGCCTGCCACATAAGTAGAAAGGGAAAAAATACTCTGACTTCTGAATTCTCCTGTTCTATTATTTGTTGCTGAGGCTACTCATTGCCAAAAAACCAGAAGACAAGAGTCCAGTGATTGAGGCCCTAGGGACTAGTTTCCTGGTGCAGCAGAAGATTGCTGAAGTTCTGTGAACACAGATGAAGGGCCAAACAGAACAAACCTAGGAAAGTCTATTCTTTTTTCTCTGAACACCAATAATTGTCTTTCATATAGAGAAAAAAAGAACAAACAGTAACAACAACAAACTATTGCCAACACTGGTGAATCACAAAATCATATTCAAAATGTTACTGAGAGGTGATGCCAATTCAGTCATAATCCTCCAAGAATCGAAGTCAAAACATTGGTTATCTCAAGGGTTTTGATTATGAGGTATCTGGGACAATAATATAGGATGAATAAATAATTAATGTTTAAAAAGACAATGAAACCTTCCAATTTCAGTTATTGTTCCTACCCTTACGATAGGAAAAACCTCAGCAAACTAAAAATCAGTAAACTTCCTTAAATACCTCAAAGAATTGATGTCACAAGGCAAATGCACACCCCAGAATCTGGATAGACAGATGACTACAGAGAATCACAGCTGAGATCAGCTAACCTGACATGTAGCCAGTAGGGCCAGTAGCTAATAGAAACATTTAAATGACAACGTTAATGAGATGCTGGAGGCTACATAAAAAAATAGCTTAGAGGCCAGGCGCAGTGGCTCATGCCTGTAATCCCAGCATTTTGGGAGGCCGAGGCGGGCAGATCACCTGAGGTCAGGAGTTTGAGACTGGCCTGGCCAACGTGGCAAAACCCTGTCTCCACTAAAAAAAAAAACAAAAAAAAAAAAAACAAAAATTAGTCGGGTGTAGTGGCAGGCGCCTATAATCCCAGCTACTTGGGAGGCTGAGGTGGGAGAATCGCCTGGACCAGGAAGGCTGAGGTTGCAGTGAGCCGAGATCATGCCACTGCACTCCAGCCTGGGCAACAGAGCGAGACTCCACCTCAAAAAAAAAATAGCTTAGAGCTAAAAACTCCTAGGAGCTCAGCCTACAGTAGTTCCTGGCACCTCTGCACTTTCCTTGGTTTTATTTTTGGGAGACACCCCCCATCTTGATGGTAAATATAAGAGAAAAAAATTCCTCTTGTTTTGGCCAGAGTAGGGGGAAAATAATAATTCTGAAATAGGCCCAAAGAAATCTCCATAAAAAAACCCTGTCCTACAAAGGAAATCACTGTACATTTAGGAGACCTTTCTCTGACTCCGGGAAAGACAACTAGCCAACTGAAGGCCACTCCAGTCTAAGCATCTCACATAAGGAGAAAAAGGCTAAGGAGTGCATCCAAAGTCACAGGCCAACTAAAAAATTTAGATTTAAACGTAAGGTTATCAAATGTCTCTATTCCACAAAACCTTGCCACCGTAACAAGAGTGCTCCGGTATGACAGCACATTACAACTAACAGAGCAGCAAGACACCAGCACTACTAAAGATGCAATTTCTAGGGAAAACCAAGACAAGAAGGGAAAGAGAGAAAATAAACCAGAAAAATTATAAACAATAGTCCCTGGCACCTAGAGCTTCAGCAAATATCAGCGCAACTCCTAGCCAAACTAACAAAAAATCTCACACTCAAAACTTTATTTCCTGAGTTCCTACAATTTGAGACATAACATCCAGCTTTCAACAAAAAATTACAACTCTACAAAACATCCCTACCTGTCACAGACACTTTCAGTGCCTTTGAGTACATGGATATTAAAGTAACCCTTTTGATCACGTGATTGTTGAAAGCCTCTCCTTTGGCAGATGCTTTTGGGTGGACTTTTACACAAAATATGAATATGTTCATAATTTTTACCCATTATAATAAGACCATTTACGTATTTTTTTCTGTCCTTTTCTGTCATCAGTTTTGCAATTTTTTTTTCAGGCTTAGGTCAAGATTCTATTATATCACCTGACCCCCCTAAGTACCTACTCTTATCTTAATGGTGATTTGTGCCCCCAGGAACTTGTGGAGTCCACTGACAGTATGAAATAACCCTTGAAATATTTGAGAAAATTATTTTCCCCAGGTCTCTGAGTGAGCTGTGAGAATTATTCATAGTGCATTCTTATTATTACTGGCTGAGAATCCACACTAGTTTAACTCAAGTTGAGTTTTGGCCAAACAGACCTAGACATTATGAGATGCATTGGCCAAACAACCCCTTAGAAGGCTGTCCAGCTATCTCATTCATAGGGACCTTGTCATCAATTATCCATGGATTGCAGCATGCCAGGGCCATCTGGTTACCACAGGTTTGCAGTAGCATATCATGCTAATTATGTTAGATTTATTCCTGTTGGGATCTTATTATCCCCACTAAAATAATAAAATCCAATTCCATTGAGACTTCCTTCACCATTGTCACAGGCCTCAGAGGACAGTCACCAAATTGTGTATTCAAGGATGTGTGTGCTTCCCTCACTAACACATGTTAACATTTTCATAAACCTATAGCATACAAATGAATAAACATACCAATCAAAATATACAGCTTGTTGAATTATCAATAGTGTAGTGACTACTTGAATAGAGAAGCAACCTCATCTTGGGCTTACTCCCCTCCCTGCCTCTTAATATCTTGATAAATGGAATGTCCTCTGAGTATCTCCAGTTAATACAGTAAATGGTGTCTGAGCAGTTTGCATATAACAGAGTTACTTGCTAGGCTTACCTCCCTGAGCCTTTTGTGTACTTTCTTTAAGTATGCTAGAAAAGTAAGAGGATTTCTATTTCATTAATTGTAGAACACAGTTGAATTCAGGCTTTAATTGATCAGCCTAGCAGACTTATAACACTTTTCTCAGGTGCCCAAGCCAAATTACTAAATTTCATATTCTGAGAGAAAGTACACGTATCAACAACTTCAGCTTGATCAAATCTTCATGGTTCAACATTTGTCCTGATCTAACACTCTTAAAAATCCATCCATACCTGTTCCTCATAAACTTTGTGCTATAAATTGGCAGGATATGGCAACTCCTTTTGAATAAAAGCTATCTCCTCCCAGAACAAGCTTGTACTTCTCCATATGGATCTACCTTTTATCATGGTCTTGAAGAGAAAGAACGATGGTGATGGTACATCCTGAGGAGTATCCTTATCCCCTTGGGTGGCACCAGGCCCTCTTGAAGGTATTGGTAAATCTCATGAAAGTTAAAGAGTATTGATGAGAGGAACTGCAGTTCTGTCAGGGAAGCTTTTGGAGAATGTGAAAGTTTAAAATTTTCAGTCTCTTTTATTTCTATTCGCATGTACCTTGCTCATTCCCAATAGTATATATCTTAGCATAAGACAGTAGTTGAGGTGGTACATTCAATTAATGTTCTAACTGTGTAGTTCTTGAAACAGGCATCTTCTAGATCTCAGATGAGAAAAAATTTTATTTAAAACAACAATTGAGGATTTTTAAGTTTTCCATCTGCTCATGGTTGGCAATTCAAGTGTTTTGATTAGTCTTTGTGCATTTTTGAAAGTTATATTCAGGGATCTGGAATTATCCAGCCTACCCCACAATGATTGTAATTGCCAAGTTCCACAAATCACTTGACAACCTCAACCTGCAGTCCAATTCATGCTACCACTGAGCAATTGCTATGCTACCAAATGCCACAGATTACCAGTGCCTCATTTCTCTCTGATTAGGAGGTTGTATTAGTCTGTTCTTGCGCTCTTATAAATACCTGAGACTGGGTAATTTATAAAGGAAAGGGGTTTAATTGGCTTATAGTTTCACAGGCTGTACAAGAAGCATGAGGGCTTCTGATCAGCTTCTGGAGAGGCCTCAGGAAACTTATTATCATGGTGGAAGGCAAAGGGTGAGTGGGCACTGCACATGGCAGGAGCAGGAGAAAGAAAAAGGGAGGAGGTGCCGCACACACTTTTTTTTTTTTCCAGACAGGGTGTCACTCTGTTGCCCAGGCTGGAGTGCAGTAGTGCCATCTTGGCTCATTGCAACCTCTACCTCCTGGGTTCAAGTGATCCCCCTTCCTCAGCCTTCGAGTATCTAGGTCTATAGGCATGCATCACCATACCCAGCTAACTTTTGTGTTTTTTATAGAGATAGGGTTTCACCATGTTTCCCAATCTGGTCTAGAACTCCTGGGCTCCAATAATCCACCCACTTCGGCCTTCCAAAGTGCTGGGATTACAAGCATGAGCCCAGCAAGGTACTACACACTTTTAAACAACCAGAATTCATGAGAACTCACTCACTATACAGTACCAAGGCGAGGATGGTGCTAAACCATTAATAAGAACTCCGCTCCTATGACCCAGTCACCTCCCACCAGGCCCCACCTCCAACACTGGGGATTGCAACTGAACAGAGATTTAGGTGGGGACACAGATCCCAACCATATCAGAGGTTATAGGTACACTTGACATATGTGACTAACCGAACACCAGAATGTTGGTTTGAGGGTACGTTTCTTGGGATCTCTGCTGGTACCAGTTACTGTATCTTGCAGACTTTCAGCATGAAATAGTCCATTTGAGAAAATAAATGAAAAAAGTTTAACAAAGGAACTATTTCCAGAGGTAGAGGAATAATTAAATGAAACAACAAATGATGGTGAGGTATCTAGGGTTTACACCAGTGGAGTGATTACAAGCTGTTACAAGATTATTAAGAATCTGGCAAGAGTCACAGTTGAGGGTGTGAGGATACTGAACCAGAGCTGGAGCCACAGTTAAGAAATAGAATGTTCTCTGTTTTCTAGCTAGTGATTTCCATTGGCCAAACTTCATGAAAAGTGAAATGCAAGGAAGGCTGAATGACGCCGCATACAGATATCAGCCTCCCAGGGCACAAGACAGCAGAGAATAGAAGTAAGAAGAAAAAACTATCTTTGCCCTCTCCAAAGCCCCACAGCCCCCACCAGCGGCACTGCTTAAGACCCACGTATACAAACGCATTATCACTACTGTAATCCTTTGACCCTCAGCTTATCTCTCACAATTGCTGTGTTCAGCTCTATACAAGGAAAATGATCACATGTACTGAATTTCCAGCTAAGAGTAAAAACTAGCGATCTCAAAGGGATTGTATCCTAAAGAAGAGCAAAGTGCAGAAATGGAGTAATGACTCTGAAATTGACAAAATTACAGAGAAGTTTTCTTCTTTCTTTGCAATATTAGGATACTGTTTATAGATCAGGGTATTAATAAAGTGTACTGTAAGTTTGTGTTTGAGTGGCAGTGTAGGGGTCGAGGGGTCAGGAGCAATATTATCCTGAATCATCAGTATTCTCTAGAGTATATGTGCTTCCTTTGGCGTTATTATAAAACTAAAAATAGTTATCCCCAAAATAATGGTTACAGTCAGAATATAAAATCACTGAGGTGTGTAAAAAGCAGTGTGTCTGAAGCAACACAAAGTTGTACAGTGCCAGGTAGTTCATGTCTACAGTTAAGAAAAGCACCTGCTGCAGATTCTGCGATAGTACTATGATCATTTGAGTTATTCTGACCTGTTCATATTTTGTAATTCTTAAATTTTGTATCTCGAAAATTGTGTTGCTTTACCCTATTGCAGAAGAACAAACCAAAACATATGCTGGACAATCTTCAGATGGAGCCTATTTGTGTATTTTTGAAAGGTGCCATGATTCTGACATTTCAACAACTCTCCACACCCTGAGAATAGATTTGGCAGCAAATGCCTGTGGCCTGTTTATGTTCAAACTAAGTTGGTAGTTTTAAATATATTTGTATTTAAAACTAGCTAGCCTTTCTTATTTGTTTTATTGATTGTTTAATCATTTTCTTTCTTCTCTGTGTTTAAACGGCCATTATTTCCTATTTCATTTCATTTTTTCTATTGCCTATGTGTTAGTCATTTCTCCTGTGCTTTAAAATGTGCATTTAAAAATGATCTGAGCCCCTTTTGAATAATATTATATGGCTTCACGTGTAAGGCAATATGTTTCCAATTTCTTCATCTCTTCTCTTGTGGAATCATGGCCATACATTCCACTTTGATATCTTATATAAGCACACAATGCATGGTTACTCTTATTATATTGCTTTAAACACTCAGTCATCTTTAAAAAATTATTAATAATGAAACAACTTATTTACCTCTATTTATTCCATTTTCAATGCTCTATATTTCTTTCTGTATTTCTAAGTTTCTGACCTATATCAGAATCTCCATGCAAAAAGCTTTCTGAATATTTCTTGTAGAATAGGTTGTGTTGGCTGCAGTGAATTTTTTGTTTTTGATTGACAAGTTATATTTCACTTTTACTTCATATTTTTGTTTGATTCTTTTCTAATATATACTTTTTTAAAAAATTGAAGTATAATTAACACATAAACATAATTATATATATTTTTAGTATACAACATGATGTTTTGATACATGTATATATTGTGAAATTCTTACCATAATCAAGCTAATCAACGTTTCTATCACCTTACATTGTTATCTCTTATTTTTGTGGTGAGAACATTTAAAATCTACTGTCTTAGCAATTTTCAGGCATATAATACAATCTTATTAATTATAGTCACCAGAGGCTTTCAATTTCTCTAGTGATAGCTTATGTCTATTTCTAACTTTGACTTTGATTTCTGATCTTTTCTTTGTTTTTGTCTCCAGAGAGCCTATTCTTGCCGGTTTCCCACCTGTGTGATTCAGTTATTTTTACTCAACCCTGGTGTGGTAGGGGGAATGTGGGAAATGGGTATTTTTTAATGTTCTAGTTAACCTCAGTCTCAAGAAGGAACGGTGAACACTGGCCGAGTGGCCTGCCTTCCATGTGCATCCAGACCCAGTGCTGGGCCTGGACTGCTTTCCTTCCCCACACACATTGGTAGTTTCTAGCTTCCCTCCCCTTGCCTTCCACACCTATTTCCCTTCTTCAGCTTCAGTGGGTTTCCACTACTGCCCTCGTGCTACAGGTTTTTTGTTTCTTGTTTGTTTTTACCAACTCCCTGCAAATTAGGTTTTGTTTTCTCTGTATAGGAGATCAGGGAGTTGAGTCTGGGTGTTTTGAGAGGGATGGTAGGGCTCTCCCTTTGCTAGCTGCACAAGGGAAGCTTTCTCAGGATACTCCCCTATCTTCCTGTGAGTGCCTGGGAGGGCTCCTGGAAGAAAAGCCTACAAAAAATTGTGAACACTCCTATTTCTGCAACCTCTGGGGGTTCATAGTCTCATGCAAACCCACATTCAGCCTTTAGCAATTCATAACAATTCTCCACTAGACAGTAATGAGTTTGGCAATGCCTGTCCCAGGTAAGCAATGGATCTAGTCCTATTTCTCCCCATAGCCATGTCTCTTTCTCTAGAACTGTCGAAAGTTGTTTTCCCTTTGACCTTAGTTCTATAATGCTTTCAAGGCAAATTTAATTTTCAGTTTATCTAGTTTTTCTCTAGATTTAAGCATGAAAGTCATGCCCTGTCCAGCTCTCCACATCACCAGGCTAACATTGGAACTCAGAAAATGTTTAAGAGGAAAACCAAGTACCTAAGAAACTACCAAGTGTGCTATCACTTGTGATTTTGAGACAGAGAGAGTGAGACAGAATATAGATAATTTTATATTCAAATTATACATATTATATAGGCTAGAGAAACCCTGAAAAGATACAAAAGAAAACTCTTTTTGAAAAGCACCCCTGAAAGATACACCAGAAAATGGCAAAAACATTAAGAACTGTTGAATAAGGACAGATGTAGAGTTGAGAAATCTCTTTAATAACTTTGTATAGTTTTTTAAACTATGTGAATATCTTACCTAAACAAATAAATGAACTGGCTTTTAAAACAATATGATAAAGACTTAATAGCAGTAATGGGTTTTGCTAAAGATTATGCTTTTATAGAAGTACTGGCTGATAAATTAAAGCACACTATTTACTTGGGTTAACAATCAACACTGAAAATAATAAATGTGGCTGGGCATGGTGACTCATGCCTGTAATATGTAATACTAGCACTTTGGGAGGCCCAGGCAGGTGGATCACCTGGGGTCAGGAGTTCGAGACCAGCCTGGCCAACAAGGTGAAACCCTGTCTCTACTAAAAAAAAAAAAAAAAAAAAAAAAAAGCCAGGCGTGGTGGCACGTGCCTGTAGTCCCAGGTAGTTGGAAGGCAGGAGAATTGCTTGAACCTGGGAGGCAGAGGTTGCAGTGAGCCCAGAGGGTGTCAGTGCACTCCAGCCTGGGTGACAGAGCAAGACTCTGTCTCAAAAAAACAAGAAAAGAAAAGAATATATGTAAGACCACATTTTTTGTAGCAGACTAAAACATTTCTCATATTAGAAGAATTTTTGACTTTATCATCAGGGTTCCTTTTTGGCTTGCATTATTAGTATAGCTTATAATTCATGTAAATTAAATTCATAGGAATTTAATGAAATTCATAAAATTTCATAGGAAATTTTATAACATTTAATTTGATGAGGGATCGTTTTGATAAAACCAGATTATTTCATAATTAACCACACATGTATAAGTTGCTCTATGGTAAAATATGTTAAAAGTTGAGTATATAAAAATACTATTTTCTATTTTCATTCTTCCATACTATTCTTTTATTTTTTTGAGACAGAGTTTCGCTCTGTCACCCAGGCTGGAGTGCAGTGGCACGATCTCGGCTCGCTGCAACCTCCGCCTCTCGGGTTCAGGCGATTCTGCTGCCTCAGCCTCCTGAGTAGCTGGGACTACAGGCGCCTGCCATCATGCCCGGCTAATTTTTTGTATTTTTAGTAGAGATGGGGTTTCACTGTGTTAGCCAGGATGATCTCAATCTCCTGACCTTGTGATCCGCCCGCCTTGGCCTCCCAAAGTGCTGGGATTACAGGCATGAGCCACCACACCCCTCTTTCATATGATTCTTATAATATTCTATGTATAATGATAATACATGAATACACTGTCATCCTTAGTAATCCATATATTTAATATAAGTGAGGCTAAATTTCTTATAATCTATTAATAAGTATAAAGAAGAGAAATGTTAAAGTTTGATATTTTGAATCTAAATTTTTAAGACTTTTGAGAAAATTTGTCTACGTGTTCTCATCATTTAGCTCCCACTTACAAGTGATAACATGCAGTACTTGGTTTTCCGTTCCTGTGTTAATTTTCTAAGGACAGTGGCCTCCAGCTCCATCCACGTTCTTGCAAAGGATATGATCTCATTCTTTTTCATGGTTGCATAGTATTCCATGATGTATATGTGCAACATTTCCTTTATCCAGTCTTGATGGGTATTTAGGTGGATTCCATGTCTTTGCTATTGTGAATAGTGCTGCAATGAACATATGCATGCATGTGTGTTTATAGTAGAATAATTTATATTCCTTTGGATATATACCCAGTAATGAGATTGCTGGGTCGAATGGTTTTTCTGTCTTTAGGTCTTTGAGAACTCACCACACTGCCTTCCACATGGCTGAACTAATTTACCCTCCCACCAACAGTATATAAGTGTTCCATTTTCTCTGCAATCTCGCCAGCACCTGCTATTTTTTGACTTTTTAATAATAACCATTCTGACTTGTGTGAGATGGCATCTTACTGTGGTTTTGAATATACTCTTAAGTTGCAGTTAGTTTACATACTAAGTTAAGTTGTAGTTCACTACATATAGAGGCCACTTTAGGTCAAATTCAATTGAATTTAACAACCACTACATAACGTAAGGCGACTACTTTAAATCTAGCCGTTACATAATGTAAGCTATCTACTTTAAATCAAGTAGAGAATATAGGTCAGCATACAAAGAAGACTAATATGAGGAAATCCTGATGTAACTGAAAATGAAGGAAGGCAAGTCAGCACGATATAGGTGTTGTTACTTATTCAAATGATGTTGATTTTTATCTTCCTAGTTCAGAGTCTTCAAACAGCACAACTTAAACCTTTAAAAATTGGAGAGCAATAATAAAGGTAACTTCCTTCACAAAAATCTGTGTCTTATTTAACGTTTTATGCATTCTATTTTTGGGAGTCTTTTTATGCATTTTATGCATTTAACATTTTATGCATTCTATTTTTGAGAGTCTTTTCTCTTACTGAAGTTTAGTACAAGTACCTGGAGCCTAAATAATGTTAAACAATTGAAACTTCTTTATTTCATTTCAAATAGTGATGCAGGTGGCTTGAGTTGTTTAGAGATTTTCTAATCTCTTCTAAAGAAAATAGATTGGATTTTTAGCTGGCTAAGGCTCCTGAGACATTCATTACACATAGGGTGTTCTCTGATGAATTTTTTGAATCATCTTACTTTTATTTCATGTTGGAAAATCACTCTTCCAAGAGGCTGTTTGGGGGCCCCATGATCTTGATTCTGTCTGTCATAAATCAATTTTCAGTAATGCTATTGAGAAACCTTCACACATATCATGTTCCCCAATGTATAGAATACCTTATCAGAAAAAGAAAATTAATTGAGAAATATCCTACACATTGTCACAGTTGCATTGCTTAATAAGATGAGCCCCTTTCTCTGGAGAATCGGCAGCTTTCTGACATTCCCTGGTTTTATGCTACTTGAGTTAAATATATTGCTGGAAATGAAGCATAGCAATTTTATCAGGAAAATTACATCTCAAATAAAGAAATCTATTGTATTACATGTTGTTTTTGCTCTGTCTGTGCTACTTGATTTATATATAATTCTAACACAATATATACCACATTTGTGCTTAAGCAGTGTTAGTTGATCTTTATAAAAAAAATCAAGCTACATGGAACATAGAGGATCCTGGCAATACAAGTTTTCTGTGAAAAAAAAGTTTTCCTGTCCACATTACAAATTGAGTGACAACTTTTTCTATAGGATCGAATTTTTCAACAGAGGCTGTGAACTGTGCATTCAACAATAAACTATATACAAATATAAAACCTGCTTTCTTTTAGTAACTGAAACACTTTTCTTTGACATAAAAACACAAGCTCATTCTTTCTTGTCAGAGGTAAGAAAAATTAAGATAATCAGAAAATTTAGATATAGTGTTTGATTTATTCATTTATTTTCTGGCCTGACTCAAATTGTTATATTCACGGTCACTGTTTGGTTCAAGGTAACTTCAACAAGATGTCCCTTCTCTCTTCAACTATCTTTTTGCTCCTTTTCCTCCAGTTCCTAAATTTAATTTCACTGGCCTATCGAAATTTTTTTATATGGCAAAAGAGGTAGGGATTGGGATTATCTTATGTGAATAAGTGTTCTGTGTGGGCAACGCACGAGGGGAGAAGAAAAGACACAAACACAATACCTTTAAGGGTAAACAATCTTTATCCCATGTAAATGGCAATGCAGGTATAATAAGCAAATGATATAATAATATATAATAAATAGATTGATATAATAAGCAAATTGCAATGGGAAGGAGAGAAGGGAAAAGATATTTACACTCACCAGACTATGGAGGATTCACCACTAGACCGGGAAGCAACAGCCTGGGCTCCAGAGTCGGTCACTCGTCTGTTTACAGATGAGGAGAGGTGTCATGAAGCTTTGGCACAGTCTGGGACCCTATCTCTTTTTGTAACGAGTTGTTTGGCATGAGGTCCAGTTACGAGGGCCCTTTGTGACTGGGCTCAAGGAACACAAAAAGTCAACTTGTTTTTTGTGATTGTCTATTGTTTTTCAATAACTAACGTATAGGAATAGATTGAAATAGAGATTTCTCCAAAACAGCTCTGAATGAACACCTCAAGGTGTTCACACAACCTGTTCTGGGACTTGGTAACCATTGTTTGTGTCCATGTTCAATTGAGTTCAAATCTAATATTTAACTTTTCCTCCACATTAAGATAGTGCAGATGGTCACAGATCACTTCCTCTGTGTGATACAGGTGTTGTGTGATTGCTGATGTTAGTGATAGGTAAATCTTAGCTATTGTTTCCTCATATGACAACTAGAATTCTGGTGCTGAGCTGAGCTCCCCGTCAACCTCCTAGTGAGATATTGCCTCACATCTGTTATTATTAATAGAATAGTTACTATCAAAAGGACAAAAGATAAGTGTTGGCAAAATGTAAAGAAGCCAGAAGGCGTGTTCACTGTTGGTAGAAATGTAAATTGGTGCAGCCATGATGGAAAACAGTATGGAATTCTTCAAAAATTAAAAACAGAACTACCATACGGTCTAGCAGTCTCATTTCTGGTATACATCCAAGGGAAATAAAATCAGCATGTCAAAGAGATATCTGCACTTCATGTTTATTGAAGCACTATTCACAACAGTTGAGGTATGTAACCAACCTAAGTGCGTTGATAGATGATGAATGGATAAATATGGTATACACATACATACATATGCATATACATACATATATACATACGTATGTATGCATACATATGTATATACACACGTATGTAACATATGTATATACACACGTATGTAACATATGTATATACACACGTATGTAACATATGTATATACACACGTATGTAACATATGTATATACATACGTATGTAACATATGTATATACATACGTATGTATGTACACACGTATATACATATGTATGTATGTGTACATATGTATATACGTATGTATGTATGTGTATATATGTGTATATATGTATTTATATATACGTATATATGTATATATCCATATATACATATATGTGTATGTATACGTATATCCATATATACATATATGTGTATGTATACGTATATCCATATATACACATATGTGTGTGTATACGTATATACACATATGTGTGTGTATACGTATATACACATATGTGTGTGTATACGTATATACACATATGTGTATGTATACGTATATACATATATGTGTATGTATACGTATATACATATATATGTGTATATGTGTATGTATACGTATATACATATATACGTGTATGTGTATGTATACATATATACATATATACGTATATATACATATATACATATATACGTATATATACATATATACATATATACGTATATATACATATATACATATATGTGTATATATACATGTATATGTGTATATATACATATGTGTATATATACATATACATATATACATATATACATATATGTGTATATATACGTATACATATATACATATATACATATATACGCATATATACGTATACATATATACATATATACATATATACGCATATATACGTATACATATATGCGTATATATAAGCATATATATACGTATATACATATGTATGCGTGTGTGTATATACATATGTATGTATGCGTACATATGTATATACATATGTATATAGGTATGTGTGTATATACATACATATAATATATATTATATATACATTTATATATATACGTATGTATGTATGCGTATACCATATTTTCTTTATCCGTTCATCATCCATCAATGCACTGAGGTTGGTTTTATATATATATATATATATATATATATATATATATATATATACACAGTCACATGCCACATAATGATGTTTCTGTTAACAATGAACCGCGTATACAATGGTGGTCCCATTGGATCATAATGAAGCTGAAAAATTCCTATCGCCTAGGAACATCATAGTTGTCTTAACATCAGAACACAACATATTCCTCATGTGTTTGTGGTGAAGCTGACATAAACAACCTACTACAGGCCTACCAGTCATAAAAGGCATGTAACATACAATACATAACACTTAATAATGATAACAAATGAAATGTTACTTGTTTATTTATTGACCATACTATAACTTTTTGTTGTTGTTTTAGAGTATACTCCTTCTACTTAAAAAACAAGAAAAGATTAATGGTACAATGATCTCAGGCAGGTCCCTTGGTGGTATTCCAAAAGAAGGCATTGTTAGCATAGGACACCACAGCTCTATGCCTGTTATTGTCCCTGAAGAACTTCCAGGGAGACGAGCCCTGGAGGTGGAAGGCAGTGACACTGATGATCCTGACCGGTATTGGCCTAAGCTCGTGTGTATTTGTGTCTTAGTTTTTACCAAAAAAAGTTTAAAAAGTGAAAAAGAGAAATTTAAAATTTAAAAATAATGAAAAGTCTGTAAAATAGGGATATAAAGAAAGAAAAATATTCTTGCACAGCTGTAAAATATTTTTGTTTTAAGCTAAGTGTTTTTATTAAAGAGTCAAAAAGTTGAAAATTATTAAAAAGTTTATAAAGTAAAAGTCAAAGTAAGCTAAGTTTAATTTATCACTAAAGAAAATGTTTAAAAACAAATTTAGTATAGCCTAAATGTACAATGCTTATAGTGTCTATAATGGTATATGGTAATGTCCTAGAGCTTCACATTCACTCACCACTCACTCGTGGACTCACTCAGAGTCAACTTCCAGTCCTCCATTCTCCATTCAAGGTAAGTTTTCTATTAAAGTATACTATTTTTATATTTTATACTTTATTTTTACTGTACTTTTTCTACTTTTATATGTTGGGATACATTAATACTTACCACTGTGTTATAATTGCCTATAGTATTTGGTACAATGACATCCTGTACAGGTTAGTAGTCTAGGAGCAATAGAATATACCACATAGCCTAGGGATTTAGTAGGCTGTAGATTTGTGTCAGTACACTTTATGATTTCTGTACAATGATAAAATTTCCTAACTATACTTTTCTCTGAACATATCCCTGTCATTAAGTGATATATAATTGTATACACACACACACACACACACACACACACACACACATATATATTTACAAATGCACAATGGAATACCATTCAGCCTTAAAACAGAAAAGAAGAAAATACTGTCATTTGCAAAAACATGGATGAACCCAGAAGATATTATGCTAAATGAAATAAAGCAGGCACAAAAAAAGAAATACTGCATTATCTCACTTATATGTAGAATCTAAAAAATTTGAAATCATAGAAACAGAGAGTAAAATGGTAGTTGCCAGGGGCTGGCAGAGGATGGGATGAGGAGGTGTTGGTCAAAGAATATAAGTGTTGGACAAAGAAAATAAGTTCTGGAGATGTATTGTACAGTGTGGTGACTATAGTTAATGATAATATATTGTAGTCTTGAAAACTGCAAGAGAGTAGATCTTAAATGTTCTCACCACAAAAAATAATAATTATATGAGAAGAGGGACATGTTAATTATCTTAATTTAATTATTTCACAATGTGTACTTGCATATATCAAAACATCGTGTTGTATACTGTAAATGTATATAATTTTTATTTCTCAATTATACCTTAATAGAGCTGGGGGGAAAGGAAATGAAAAATGTACATATTAAAAGGAAAATTAAATTAATGGTTAAATAGCATATTAAATATAGCTTAAAAGAGAATTGCCAATCTGGAAGAGAGACCAAAATAATTACTCAGTATGTAAGTTAAGTACTTAGATCTGTAGCCTTCTAGTTATTGAAGAAGACTACTGCATTTGGCCATTTTTAGGTTATTAGAGCTATGTACTATTCAGGTACACTGCTCTATGATAGTAAAAATATTATATGATATGAATGAAGAATGCCTTTTTAGAGATACATGATTTTCATATAAACATAAGATGTATATAATCTGTAATAATATATACTTGCAGACTATTCAATAAAACAAGGTTTTCAGTAGCATCCCTCCCCCATGCCACCTCCACTTGGGACAGTCGGGATGCTTCATGACTAGAATGATGAGAAGCAGCTTTAAAAAGGGACCTTCAATTATGCCATCATTCTGATTTTTGTCAATTGTTTTTTATTATTCATGTCAATTTACTTTTACAGAGATAACTAGAAGTGTTAACATCACTGCAACAACATTTTAAGGAGACTCTGAGTTGAAGTATGCAAAAAGGAGATTAAAAGCCAGAGAAAACATATAATGATTTGATATTACACAGGTTTGTCTGAGTTTCCAGGAGAAGACAAGTGCGATAATGAAGATGAGAGCATATTTAACCAGGTAATAGATGACAATATTCTAGACCTACAAAACAAATGAAACCACGCAGAGAAGAATCCCACTCCATGTATGGCACACATTATTCAGTCAAAGACTAATCTGTGTGCTGCTCTGAAGGGAATTTGCAGATGTTATTAAGGTTCCAATTCAGTTGACCTTAAAAGAGGGAGATCATCCTGGGTGAATCCAACCAAATCAGGTAAACTTATAATAGGGACTGGATTTTTCCTGGCAAAATAAATTTTAAAGAGTGAGACGAATTTGATGAGAAGAAGATTCTCCACTGCTGGCTTTTACGATGGAAGGCATACGGCAAGGAACGTGGGGGATCTCTACTAGCAGAAGCAGCCCCCATCTGACAACCAGCAAGGAAATAAGTACCTTAGTATTACAATTTCAAGGAACTGAATTTTGTCAACAGCCTGAGTAAATTTGGAAACAGAATACTTCCCAGAGCCTTCAGATGGGAGCTCAGCCTGGGTAACATCTTGATTTCACTTTAACTAGACCTTGAGCAGAAAACCCAGACATGCAGTACCCGGACTTCTGACCCACAGAAACTGGTAGCAAATAAATTTGTACTGTTTTAAGCTGGTAAATTTGTGGTAAAGTGTTATGCATCAATAGAAAATAAATACATTGTACCAGTTTACATTATAGGGTGACTTAAATATCAAAAATTAAAAAATGACCTTGAAAGCTGGCAGAGAGAAGACATGTGTAGGTAACATTGATGTTAGACTCCTTTTCAGCAACAAAAGATTCCTGAAGAGAGTAAAATGACATCTGAAATTGATGAAAAAATAATATTTTGAGACCTAGAATTTTATACAGAACACGACTTTCTTACAAGAATGAAAGCCAAAAAGAATTAACAAACATCTTCAGTTAAACTCAGATCAGAGAGCATTTTTAGTCATCAACTTTCAGTTATGTAATTTTAAAAGATGCATTCTTGAAAGAAGGTTAATAGTCCCAGCAGTATGATCTTAAATTAAAAAAACAAACAAATAAATTGATAAACGTAAAGTTAAATCTAAACAAAGATATGTTAATTACAACAAAATAATATTGAATTTATAGGATAAAAAAGAACTAAAGTGAACAACTAGCCACTTGTTCCTGTGAAAGGGTTAGCAAAGGTAAAGCTCATAAGGGAGAGGCAGAGAGAGAGAGAGAGAGCAAGAGCGAGAGAGAGAGAGAAAGAGAGAAAGAAAGACAATGAAAATAGGCAATCTTTATTGAATGTCTGATATGTACCAGACACTATGCATAGCTTTTACACATTTTATTAAATACTCAAAACAGTCCTATGAATAGTCCTATTATTATATTATTGTCATTTTAAAGAAGACAGCAAAAACAGTGAAACAATTTTTCAAGTTTGCCCAGTAAATGAATGGCAGAGTTGGAATTCAGAATTGGGCAGTTTGATCACAAACACTAAGCTTTTGATCCTCAAACACTGTGACATCTCAGATAGACATTTTAAAATATAATTCAAAACCTTACATAAGAACTTTTTTTGTAATTGGAAGAGAATACAAAATATTCTTAGTGGAAGTATGGAAAGAAAGAAATGACAATATCTTTTTAAAAATGAAGTGTAACTAAATCAGCCATTTAATTTTTTAATCACTTGGACATTTAAATATTTACTTGTACTACACAAAACCAAATATTTAGTGGAAGTCACTATGATATTATTGTACAGAGCGCAGTCATTGTCAATGAGGAAATGTATTTCAGCTTTATCATACCATATTTAGGTGATTTTGGTTCTTTCTGAGTATATAAATATTTTTAATGGGGTGAAGTATGTCTTATCTCACAGAAGGGTTTTCTTATATGTGACTAGACACTTTTCTCTCACTCTTTTTAGGATTCTGTTTTTAATTTTGACATTTTGTCTATTACATGTCAGGGAAAAAAAACAAAGGTGTATCTATTTGGCGATCTCTGAGCTTCCTGCACCTGGATGTCTAAATCTCTTGCGAGATTTAAAAGTTTTCAGCTATCATTTTGTTAAATACCTTTTCTATGTCATTGGTGTTCTCTTCATCTTCTGGAACACCCAAATTTGTAATATTTTCTAACTTTATCGTGTCCCATATAACACATAGGCTTTCTTCATTCTTTTTATTTATTTTCTTTCTTTTTTTTCTTTTTGGTCAGACTGGGCTATTTCCAAAGACCTGTCTTCAAGTTCTGAAATTCTTTCTTCTTCATGATTTAGTCTATTGTTGAAGATCTTGATTGTATTTTTTATTTGATTCATTAAATTCTTCCTTTCTAGGATACCTGTTTGATTCTTCTTCATGATTATCTATCTATTCCTTTCATAAATTTCTTATTCATATCCTGAGTTGTTTTTCTGATTTCTTTGTATTATCTGTGTTCTCTTATATCTCACTGAGCTCCCTTAATATTATTATTTTAAATTCATTTTTCACCATTTCATAATTTTCTTTTTCATTGGAATCTGTTGCTGGAGAATTATTGTTTCTTTGGAGGTGTCATCTTTCCTTGCTTTTTTACATTTCTTTCATCCTTACATTGATATCTGTGCATCTGGTATAACCGTTGCTTCTTCCAATTTTGGAGGCTGACTGTCATAGGGGAAGATTTTTTCCTGTGGCTGTATCTGTGGTGTTGGTTGGGTAGGGCACTTTAGCTTTGGTTCTGGGTGTGTGAAGTGTAGTCTCCATATGATGTTTCTCAGCTGTAAACAGGGACAGTAGTGTTTGTGCTTTCCTCAGTGGCTTAGGCTGTAGTTGTTAGTGGAGGCTATGGCGAGGTTTTGCTGAGAATAAGGATGCCACATGGGCCAGTCCTCGGGCCCCAGTGTTAGGATCAGTAGGCTGAGTTTGCCTGTCCTTGGGTCCCCAGGGAAGTGTCTGTGGGAACTGATGTTACTGGTTTCAGGCAGGCTGATTTTTGGGCCTCCAGTTAGTTTGCTTTTGTGCTGGTAGCAGCAGCAGTGACCTGGGCAGGAGGGTGAGTCTTCAGGCCCCTAAGCAACGTGCATGGCATGTGTAATGTCAGTAGCTGGACAACCCTCAGGCTCCCAGGCACTATGCGCTGGTGTTAGTGGTGGCTGCAACCAGCTGGACAGGCCAGTCCTCAGGCTTCCAGGTAGAGCTTGTGCAGGTGGGTGCTAGCAGCAGTGGTGGGAGCAGGTTGGATGGGCCTGTCCTCAGGCTCCTGAGAGGGGTGCACAGATGCCAGTCATGGTGGACCGGCCAGAGAGGTTCCCAGACCTGACGGCATGCTTGACCACTGCCAGAAGGTTTTCTGGGCGTGTTCTAGATTCCCTGGTGCATACGCATGCACTGTGGTGTCCAAAAACATTGATCAATTCCCAGGTCCCCAAGGTGGCAGGCTTGGGCACTAGGGGAACAGTGCCAAACTGGGCAGTCCTGTCCTTAGGCATCTCCTACCCCCCATCTGATGTTCATGGGCATAGGCTGTGGTGAACAAGAATGGGGCAATTTCCAGGGTCTTGGGCGGCATGCTTGGGCTCAGGGAGAGGGCTCAGCACCAGGTCACTTGGGCCTGTCAGTCTTGAGGCCTGCAGGTCATGCACAAGGGCTCAGGCTACGGTGGGCAGTGTGGGGCAATCATCAGTCCCTAAGTGGTGAGCTCTGCTGGTCAGATGGCTGTGGCCGTGTGCAAGAGTTCACAGTGGGAATGTGGACCACCAGGGGTCACTCACTTATCATTTTCCCTCACTGGGAAGCCTCTTTGGGCTCCCAGCTGCTCCTGGCCAGGCCCTCTGCCTTACCTCCTCCTTCAGAGCCATAGCTGTTTCCTGTCACTTCTCTGCTGAGCTCCAGCATTCTCTCTTAGATGCTCTAGTCAAAGTGTGATTATCTACATTGGCTATTTTGTGTCTTCTTTGTGGAGGAGGGGAGTGTCCTGTGCTTCTGGGCAGCCATCTTTAAGTCTCCCTGTAAACATTAATTTTGATCACTAGTAAATACAAAATGTATTAAATGTCTCCATTCCAGAATCATACTTCAAGTTTTCATATGAGGTATGGAATGTCCAGCTTTTCCTGGTTACTTCTTAGAGGCTGCATCTTGTGCATATGGACTTCTGCAGGGAAAATGTTTTCTCCCTAGAGAAAAAGATTTTTCTCATTTTGGATTTAGTGTGAAGTCAAAGCTTGCTTTTGACATGTGCAAACTTTATTATTAATATTATTAAATAGTTTGGTTTTCGCTGACAGCAGGGCAGTAAGGATGCAGAAAATCCCAGAAACTTAGATGCAAAAAATAAGAGAAGGCACTACCTGCAGAGACTTCAACATCAATAATAAAACAGAATAAAAGTTGATCTGCTGTTATTATTACTATGTGTCAGGACTTACAGCAATGCCAGTGATAATGTACTTGTCCCTGCCAAGGCAAGTTGCTCTCACCGACCTCACCCGGAGTTGCTCTGTGAACTGATAAGATGCACGATCAATATAATGCATTCAGATTTGGCAATCTTGTCCTTCTTTCAGATTAATGTCAACAAAATGGCAGCAGATTAAAATGTGCAATAAAATACAAATAGGAAGTAAAATTATGATGTAATTATTTAAATTGTAAATAAATAAAAGTATGCTTTCTTTAGAAAAAATTCTCTGGCCCAAAATGAAAATTACAGTTACGGCCCTGTGGAATCAAAGCATCTACTGAAGATGATGGCTTTCTTGTATTGAGGCTGCTGTAAAATAGCTAAATATTCAGATAACTCAAAAATTGTACTATTTCTTTGTGTTCTATTTGCATGTGTTTATAATGAAAAGTATTACTTTATTTCAAAAGTGTAAACATATGTGTTGCTCTTTTATTGTTCATTCGGCAAATGGCTGTTTTTATTTTCTAGCTGCTTGGAATATTTTCAAAACTCTCTATTACCTTAGGTACTTTAAGAATATTTTGGAAACTGGAGTAAAGTGCTGAAAGCCTGGGGCATCTGGGCGCTGCCTGAAGAGGGATTCCAAGATGAAGAATTTCCATGGGTATTTTAAATTAATTACCATGTAAAATGTAATTAAAAGGCATCACTTATCATTTGAAGAGCAGCTGGCAAAAAAATATACATGCATCTTTATACAGCTCAACCTGAACAGGGAATCCCAGAGGCTGAAGTTAGAAATTATCAGCACTTTTGAATTGGCCGTTTCTAAATACTTAGAAGACTCTTCAGTGTTTAACTTCTTTATTTTTCTTCTTTTCTTTTTTTGAGATAGAGTTTCACTCTGTCGCCCGGGCTGGAATGCAGTGGCACCGTCTCAGCTCACAGTTGCCTACGCCTCCTGGGTTCAAGCAGTCCTCCTGCCTGAGACCCTGAGCCTCCCAGATAGCTGGGATTCCAGGCATGTGCCACCATGCCCAGCTAATTTGTGTATTTTTAGTAGAGGAGGAGTTCTGCTGTGTTGACCAGGCTAGTCTCAAACTCAAGTGATCTGCCAGCCTTGGCTTCCCAAAGTGCTGGTACTACAGGCATGAGCCCAGCCTATAATGTTTAACTTCTTAAGAGAAATGGAAATCATATAAAGCATCATAGTCTACTGTTGGTTTTGAATGGCATATATCTTACTAAATTCTGTGCACAAACATTATTTTTATTGTTATATTTAAAAAACATAACTGCACCTAGATAAGGATTTTATATGTACATTTTAGTAGAGGAATAGATTTATAAATTATTTGTTATTTTATTTATCTCATCACTGCTTTATTATATAATTCTATTAGAATTTTTCTTTCTCTTTTAAAATTCTCTTCAATCAACATGTTTTTATATTTATTCATTTTGCATTTCCTTTTGCTTTTTTGTGCTTTATTTTCATATACAGCTTTTAAATCTCTTTTCCTGAGATGATGGTGGATCACGAGAAAGAGGATAGAGCTTAAACAAGTTTAATCACTTATTTTTTTAAGCAGGTTTAAAAACTTTTTTAAGAAAATTTTATTACACATTGACAATTTATATTTTTATATATTGATGGATTACAAAGTAATATGATTTATGACTACAACATGAAATAATTAAATCAAGCTAATTAATATATTCATAACCTAAAATACTTATCATTTTTTTGTGGTGAGAACATTTGAAATTTATTCTGTTAGCAATTTTGAAATGTACTCTATTATTAACAATATTCACCATGCTGTACAATAGATAAGTTTAATTACTTCGTAAAGAAAAAAAAAGATATCCTCAAAAGCACTTCTACAGTATAAAATTACTAAAACAAAAAATACAAATAAAGAAAACATAACAATAAATAAACTATTTCTCTTTTGTGATATACATCAGTTTGTTTTATTCTAATACCTTTCTTAAGCAGTAGGCAAACATCAGAAATTGATATTTCATTGCACGCAATGTATTTCATTTGTTTTAGTTTCTTGGTGATAATCCATGATCTCTTCTTAGAGAAATACTAATAATTAAAACTCTTATTGCTTGCTATATCCATTTTTTGCCTTCCGGAATAGTGTTCCTTACCTGCTTGTGTTTCTATAATTTTGAGAACAGTTTTATGATTGCACTCATTTTAATAATATTTTCTCATTCAAGTAGTACAACAAGCCAAAACTTGTTTTGATTCCTCATAAAAGACAGAAAACAAATAAAAGTATATTACAGATTTAATTATTCAACTTTTGAATTAAAGTTTCTATTTTTATTTTCTTTTATATGAAGACTTGAAAATAATATTACTAAGTAATTATAGTCTTTACACACTGCATACATGTGTAAATTGTGTATTGCCGATTTATTATTTTAAAATACATTGCAAAATGTGTTGAAGATAAAACTTGTTTTTAATCAATGAATTCCATTATAGACAATGACCAATAGATTTTCACAGTCGGGTGGGGTGCATAGCTTTCTAATGATATCCCAGGAGGAAAAGTCCCCAGTTGGATGTACTTAGCTAACCCAAATCTTCCCTCTCTTGCTTGCATTTCTCAGTCAGAATGTACTGAGAGTGCAACATGCTGAAACAAGGAAGAACTGTCCGGAACAACCTGGGCTGTGTCCTCATTTTCTTAGAATAAGATGTTCTATGGCGCTTGCACTTAGTGAGCCCGGTGGCACCTTACAGTTGGCTGGAGTGCTTTCAGTGTCCCTCAGCTGCCGTGCAACATGGGAAGCACCCAGTGGGATTCTATTCCCTCGGCAGCTTTCTTGGGAGACCAGCTCACCATGGGTTCTACACTTCCAGTTATCTGTGCTGCCTGTCCTTGAGTAATAAATCTTTGTCTGACATGTGTGGACATTCTGTCGCATCAAAGTCATGCACTTGGCAGACAACCTCTGCATATAGTAAGTCAGTAAAACCAGCCTGTGAGGTGCAATATTATCTCAAAGGATCCTAACGCCCTGGCTGTTTAAATTATTCTCAAATTATCTCATATTTGGATGAAGTTAGAGACAGCTGACTATTTCAGAATTGCAGCTACCAGACATCTGTTAAACATAAACCTTTATTTCAAAGTCTTAATAAATATAAATCTGTTTCTCTAGTTGGGATTGTAATAGATGGCTAGAGAATAGACATTTGTTAGAGGCTTACAGTGTACTAAATCTTAAGCTGGATGTTTCCTTGCATTGTTTAATTTATCTTAAAAACTTTTGGAAAAAAATGCATACTATCTCATATTTACAAAAGATGGAGATGAGATAGGCATTAAGAAATCTCATTCCTACTTTGCTATTTGAAGTAGTAGTATATAAGAAAGACAAATGCATTTAATCACAATTTTTTTGTCGCATTTGATGGGATAATGCAAATGTTTTTATAATTGATGCAATTTTTAAAAGATTCATACTGGAACAACTATTATAGTGCGTGGGAAATAGTCTGGTCAGCCTTTTAAAGGTCCTAAAGTCTCTGGCATAGGGAAATGTCCTACCCATAGTTTAGATGGCCTGGGTAAATAAAATGAATTGATCACCACCAATTGTTTTTCTCTTTTAAAATGCCAATAAAATAACAGGAAGCCACTGAAAGGTATAAACTTCTGATGAACAAAACTATCAGGCAAAAGACCACATAAGCAATTTCAATTTAATTTTGGATCGCGGTAATTGGACTTAAAAGTAGTGAGTACTGTGCCAGGCAGTCAAAGAAGTAGCCTAGAATGTTTCTAAAGTGTGAGGCAGCTCAGAAAGAAGCTGATTTTACCTGCAGAAATCTAGAATCTAAACACTCAAGAATGCAAAGTATGACTGAGGAGAAATAAAACATGGAGCTAAATTCAAAGGGATTAACTGAAACTTTTCATAAGAGAGTTTACTTTCCTGTCTCTGAGATTCACACACCACATGGTATCCCAGCTGTAGCCCCCAAGCCCCCAAGCTGGTATCTTAAGGGTTCATCTAGGAGAATGTGCAGGTCCCAGGGGAAGGTGATGAGTACTGGCTTTGGCCTTCCTTCTTTTTTTTTTTTTTTTTTTTTTTTTTTTTGAGACAGAATCTTGCTGTGTCACCCAGGTTGGAGTGAGTGCAGTGGCGCGATCTCGGCTCACTGGAAGCTCCGCCTCCTGCGTTCACGCCATTCTCCTGCCTCAGCCTCCAGAGTAGCAGGGACTAAAGGCGCCCGCCACCATGTCCGGCTAATTTTTTTGTATTTTTTTATTTTTAGTAGAGACGGGGTTTCACCCTGTTAGCCAGGATGGTCTTGATCTCTTGACCTCATGATCGGCCTGCCTTGGACTCCCAAAGTGCTGGGATTACAGGCGTGAGCCACCGTGCCCAGCCTGGCCTTCCTTCTTAACCCTGGCTTCTAGTTCTACTCCACTAATGCAAAGATGAACAAGAAATGAGCACAGTAGCATACCCAGAGCTGCCAACCAGCATTTTATTTCCTCATTCTTAGATATGAATGGAGAACAAAATATTCTCTCAACATCTTAAGCCATCACAATGAAAAATTGCCCCAGAACACAAGCAATACAAGTGACAAAAAAGAATGTAGAACAAAAGCAAAATACAAAAAGACATTCTAATGTGTATGCCCAGAGAAATTTAAGAGATATGGCATCCATTTTTTAAATAAAAAAGAAAAATCAGGTAATAAACCAAAGATCCAGAAAATTATAAATAAGTGTCTAAAATAAAATTAAAAGATTGCCAGGGAGTTTAGAAAACATAATCACAGAATGTTCCCAAAACACCAAATAAAATCAGAGAAACAAGAAAATGTGAAAGATAAGAGACAAACAGTATTGATAAATGATGCCAAATATCTAAATAAAATGAGCTCAAGAAAGATAAAATATGATACATAAAAATAAAATTCTAAGCCCCCAATCAACTGAACAGACCATCTTTTGTCCAAGGGGAGCCCTTGGATACCCCACCTGGCCAAGAAAAAATACTGAGTTCCAGCCCCCACAGGAGGAAGGGTTGAATACGCCTCGTTGTACTCCTCTCTCATTAACTGCCATTATTAGTTTTGTTTTTTCACCTAAGGGCTAAACAGAAACCAACCCCTTGAAAAAGATTCCACTACGAATATCAACCAGGCTTTCTTGGTTGGGCACTGACCCTGCCTTTCCCTTTCTGTGGTTGGGCACAACAACTGATCAGTATTTCTTCCCTGTAAGAGACCACTGGCCAGGAAGTGGTTCTGGCAGTCAGTTCACAGAGCACAGAGACTGCACCCAAAGGGCTTTACAAGTAAACAGCCTAATAGTAATACATTTAAATGTTAAGTCTCTGTCCCCAAGGTGAACATGGGATGCATATTGCGTACATGTTAGCCTACTATGCATGTGCACGCCACCCCCTGTGAATATTCATAGTACCTCCTATAATCTGTTGAATATGTAAACTTAGCTACCTCACTCAGTTTAAATTCCTGTTCCCTTTGCCCCTCCCTTGAAGCGCTTGCTTTTCGGTTTCAGTTGGAGGCTTCTCTTCCTGCCTTCAGGCTATGATACCCACTTTTAGAAATAAAACCCTTTTTTCTAAATTTATAGATTTGTGACTTTTTAATTCAGCAGTTGATAAAAACAGTCAAACTCTGAAATATTTAAAGAGGTTTATTCTGAGCCAAATATGAGTGACCAAGGCCCAAGGCAAAGTCTCAAGAGGTCCTCAGAACATATGCCCAAGGTGGTTAGATTATATATATATGTATTTTATATATATATATATATATATATTTTATATATATATATATATATATATATATATTTTTTTTTTTTTTTTTTTTTTTTTTTTTTTTTTGCGACGGAGTCTCGCTGTGTCGCCCAGGCTGGAGTGCAGTGGCACAATCTCAGCTCACTGCAAGCTCCACCTCCCAGGTTCACGCCATTCTGCTGCCTCAGCATCCCGAGTAGCTGGAACTACAGGCGCCCGTCACCAAGCCGGCTAATTTTTATATTTTTAATAGAGACGGGGTTTCATCATGTTAGCCAGGATGGTCTGGATCTACTGACTTCGTGAGGTTACAGTTTGGTTTTATATGTTTTAGGAAGACATACGATATCAATCAGTACATGTGAGTTCAGTCTGGAAAGGCAGGACAACTTGAAGTGGGGGCTTCCAGTTTGTAGGGGGATTCAAAGATTTTCTGATTGGTTGAAAGAGTTAAGTTATTATCTAAAGACCTGGAATCAATAGGAAGTAGTGTCTGGGTTAAGATAAGGGGTTGTGGAGAACAACATTTTTGTTATACAGATGAAATCTCACAGGTGGCCACTCAGTTTCAAGTACTAAAGTTTCAAGTACTAAATGTTATATGAATCATTTTATGTATTACAATGTGAATTATGATATGAATCATCATGAGCACTAAGACCAATTGACAAGTAGCATTTGATGATGGTAGAGCAGGTGATTCTGCTCTTGTAATCACCTGATAGGTTCTTTGTGCCCACTGCACAGGCAAAATCAGTTAACTGAGACCATGGCATTGTGGTAGAGAAAGAGTTTAATTGACAGGAAGCTGGCCATGTGGGAGATGGAGCTATCACTCAAATCTGCCTCCCCAAAGGTTCAGAGCTCAGGGGAGCAAAGTTTTCTATTTAGAGCAAATGTTTCCTATTCAGATATTTAAAGGGTGCCAGCCTTTCCAGAAGTGAGCTAGTAAGTGAAGGAGATTCTCAACAGAATGCAAAGTTCCCCCACAAGAGACAGCTGTGCAGAGTCATTCCAAAATAGGTCAAAGAAATATATTTTGGTGTAAATACTTTGATTTCCTTCAGGGCCTGCTGTCATGTGATGCTCTACTAGAGTCAGGTTGAAATTTGCTAGCTTATTGCTACAAAGAATCTGTTTTGTCAGTCTGAAGAGCTCTATTTCAATGTTAGTGCTGGTCAGATGTGCCTGAACTCCTAAGAGAGGAGGGTGTAATGAGATATGCCTGGCCTCCATTTCTGTCATGGCCTGAACTAGTTTTTCAGGTTTCTTTGGGTCCTCTTGCCCAAGAGGGAGGTCCATTCAGTTGGTCGAGGCACTTAGAATTTTATTCTTGGTTTACATAATAAAATTCTGGAAATTATCCACTCTTCCTACCACCAAAAGGAAGAAATTTTTTGAGTTTCAGTATAGGAATCCCCTCACTGGAAGAGCCCAGTTAGTGACCTGTTAATGAATGACAAATAAACCCACCTGTTAGATCCCGGGGTCCAGGTCCAGCCTATGCTGAAGTTTGAGGGGAGTGGGTGGATGGTCAGAAAGAACACGCGGAGGGCTGTAGGCAGGTGAATATGGTTTTTATTTAGCAGCAGCTTTCATTATCAGCTTTCTCATTAGCTCTTTTCACATTGTCCACCTTTGTCTCAGCTGTTTGCTCTGGCTCTGTGGCTCCTGCCACCCCCACACCTACAGCTGCATGGCCAGCTCTCCCTTGCCTTCTGGGTCAGCAGCTTAACTCTTTTCTCTCTGGGCACCAGCGTGAGCCATGCTGTGGCTCCCCTATGTCCGTCTGCAAGATGGACAGCTCTGGTTCTCTCTCTCTGGGCACCAGCGAGCCCAACATGTCAAGCCATGCTGAGCCCAGCTGAGCCCCAAGAGCCCCTGTACAGCGTTAGCAGGGCAATTACACCTTTTACAAACAACAGTGGCTCAGAGCCAATTATAAACTCATAGAGGTTATATAACAAGTGGAGGTGTGCACCTGCGTGCCAAACTCGATAAGTCATGAAGGCCTGGATATCTGCCTCCGCCTATTGCTTGACCAAAGCACATCCATGTACCTTACACCACCAAAGTATGTAACCACAAAATTTGAAAACCTTAACTATAAAGGAAAGTAATTAAAACTTTCGGAGAAGAAAACCAAGGTAATTTAGGAAGTTTAAAGGTGGAATAAAGACAAGGAAGGATTTATTAAATGTATAACTGTGATGGCTAACTTTTTGGATATTATTTGAACTTTTTTAAAAAACCGAAGAAAAGGCATACAAATTAACATGTTTACACAGGAGCCATCAGAATGAAGACGCAACTTCCCAATGAGGTACAGGAGCTTATGTATCATCTTGAGGTTACAGAAAGAATGGGCACTTGGATCGTTGTAAAACAAGTTGTGGGAGAAGGACTACGAAGAATTCCATTGAGGGGCAATAAATGATTACTAGGGAGAAAGATAGGATCTAGAACCTAAATTGATTGTAAATAATGTTCTTTGGATTTTAAATAATTGGAGACACTCACTATCTTGAAAAACGGTCTGTTCATCTGTGGTTCCTGTAAAGGATAATGAGATAACAGGAAGGGGAACAGGAATATTTGTTCTCCTTGGTGGGCCAGTTCTGTCTTTATGTACATAGTGGAAAAGTCTCTTGCAGTTCTTGTTGACCCCTAAGGATTACAAAAAACAATAATTTGGGATCTGAAAACAGTTTGACCTACTAAATAATTTGCCTAAGGCTATGCAGCTACTTGAGAGGCAGACTAGGCTTCGGGGCCTGACAGCTGACTCCAGAGCCTGGGTCCTTAGCCTTCAACCTATAGTACCTCTTATAGAAATGATCAGCATTTATTGAGTGCTCACTGTCTTCCAGGCATTGTGCTAAAGGCTTTACATATATCAACTCATTTGCCTTCACCATAACTCAAGGTAGGCATGATAATCATAGTTGAAGAAACTAAGACCCAGGGAACCTTAGTGAATTTCCAAAGGTCACACATATAATAATTGACTGAGTCAGGTTTTGCACACAAACCAGCTGGCTCCAGAACCTGGGCCCCATATTTTGTGCCTCTTATATGTTTATGAGTATGGCAGAATTTGGACTGAGACAAGCTTTCATTGTAGTTCAGAGAGTTTGGAAGAGGGAATCTTCTGTGTGTGTGTTTTTATTTTACTTTATTTTTATTTTATTTTTCTGTCAAACCTCAAAGCAGATGCTAAAGGCATTACATTTGGTAGGACACATGGAAGATGACAATATTATTTTCTGGCCTGCTCAAGATGACTGATACTGTCATTTAGGTGAAACTGGAGATTGACCTAATGATTTCTTCAAAAATAAGCAAGGAAGTGAAAAAGAGAAAGGAAGAAAGTGGTGTAAAAGGATAGAGGTAGCATGTGTGAAAGATAGGAAGAGAGACTATAAACGGTATTTCAGCCATACCAACTCTAGATATTTTAAAAACAGTGTCCCCAAGCTGTGTGAACAGTGAAGGGGCACACTTCTCCCACAATACAGCTTGCTCTTTTCTTTCAGCCACATTGATAGAAACATATAGTTGGTGTCTTACTAGGTTCTTTAAAGTTTCAAATACTAAATGTTATATGAATCATTTTATAATTACTAGGTGAATTATGGTATGAATCACCGTGAGCACTAAAACCAATTGACAAGTAGCATTTGATGATGGTAGAGTAGGCGATTCTGCTCTTGTAGTCACCTGATAGGTTGTTTGCTGCACAGGCAAAATCAATTAACTGACACCATGGCATTGCAGTAGAGAAAGAGTTTGACTGACAGGAAGCTGGCCATGTGGGAGAAGGAGTTATTACTGAAATCTGCCTCTGCACAGGCTCAGAGCTTAGGGATTTTATGAACAATTTGGTGGGTAGGGGGCTAGGAATGGGTGTTGTTGATTGGTTGGGGATGAAATCATAGGGTTGTGGGAAGTGGCCCTCTGCACTGAATCCACTTCTGGGTAGGACCACAGGACCAGTTGGGTCATGAGTCATGGGTTCAGGCAGGGTCAGTCTGAAAAATATCTCAAAAAACAACAACAAAAAAGAAATCTTAGATTCTACAATAGTGATGTTATCAGTAGGAACAATTGAGAAAGTCACAAGTCTTGTGACCTCTAGCTAGATAACTCCTGAGAAGCAGAGGATTATAGAAACTATTGCTACATTTTAGCAGAATTCAGGCCTGTCGCATAATCCTATTCTTATGGCCTTTCATTAATCTTACAAGGGCAGTTTTTGTTTCCTGAGCAAAGAGGGAGTTCATTTTAGGGAGGGACTATTATCATCCTTGCTTTCAAGTTAAACTATGAACTAAATTCCTCCCAAAGCTAGCATGGCCAAACCCAGGAATGACCGAGAACAGCTTGGAGGTCAGAAATAAGATGGAGCCAAACATGTCAGATTTCTCTTACTGTCATAATTTTGCAAAGGTGGTTTTGCGTGCACACACACAGTCTCTCTCTCTCTCTCTTTCACTTTCTTGTTCTCTTGCAAACTCCCTCTTACTCTCTCTCATTGAGTAAAACTGAAAAACTAGACTGAATATATATTTAAACTTACCAGGAAGTATCAAAGAGCTAGCAAGACAGTGATGAATTATGGAGCAAGATCCAGGATGCATGCTTTGTGGTCATAAACGACGTGGTAAAATAGTAATATGTAGGTGAACAGATTTGATGTGGTTAGAAAATACAGACGTATTTTCCACTTAAGGTCAAGAATGTTCACTTTTGACCCTTTTGAGGTTTTCATTTTCCTGATTTCATTTATCAAGGTCTCTGAGCTATTGATTTCCAGCCACCCTCTGTAACTCTAAACGCTGTTTCTTAAACTTGAGAGAAAAGCAGCTCAATTTACCAGAAAATTATTTAGGCATATCAAAGAGGTTTTAGTTTGTTTTCTTTTCATATATCCTCTCTAATAATGGTTCCTCCTTGGATTTGTAAAATTGACAATCTTAAATCATAGGACAGTATATTCCTAGAATAGGAAAGGAATGAAAAAGAAAAGAAAATATATTGCCCACTCTTTCTTATTTTTTGTTCCTAGCTTCATTTGTCCTCCATCTCATTTTCAGAGAATCACCTCCACTATTGTTTTGGGAAATATGTCCCCACAGCTGCCTCCTTCCTTATGAATTGGTTGAAGTGCCAGCATTCTTCAGCTGAGCCAATCAGAATCCTTCTCAGTCTGATTAGGAAGGTTCCTTAGTTTGGATCCTACTAAAATTTCAACTCAACTTGTTATCTATTTTTAAGTAATGAAATGTAAACATGTACACTCTTGACTATCATATTCTGATTCAAGTATTGGAAATAAATAAATATGATTGGCTACATGAAAGTACAGTGAGTTAAACGGAGAGATAGAAAGCAGGAAGTTGGAAAGGGAATTCTGATAGTGATCCGTTCCTTGATTCCAATTTTTCCAGAGTCCTAACTTGAGACTTCTTATCCCCTTGGACTTTGACTCAGCAAGATGCTTTGGTGCGTTGTTAATATCTTTGCTTCCTTCTTCAGCTAAGTTTACTTGGCCTATTTAAGGACAGTCACAAAAGAGAGTTAATGGATACCAAAGTTTGGAAGAGACAGCACTATCTCACTGTAACTTGGAACTGAACCGTAAGTGGAAATTAATATTCTATAGGTAATGAAAATTCTTCAGGAATATGCAAAGCTTTTCCCCCTAAGCCTCGGAAGTACAAAATGACATATTAAGTTTAATTCACTTAATAGAAAAAATTAAATGACCTCTATAATTATTAATATTGTTAATAGTTCCTTTAGGATGTTTGGCAGCTTTCTTTATTACAACTTTTGTTCTTTTTCTTTAGTCAAGGATTTGTTTTATTATGTTTAAAGAAATGAGCAAAATATATACATTCCATAAAATAATTAAAAATAACTACCCTTGAGATTTCAGACCCCAGATATTGGCTTCAAATGTTCCAGATTACAAATTGATTCACCAAATCTGAGATGAAATGTCAAAGGTACATGACCAATTATTTATGACATTTCATTTGTAGTTAAGGCTATAAATTGTTCATGATGAAGTCTTGAGAGAGATGCTTAAATGTCACATACTAGAGTGCTGGATTCTATAATAATTGCTACTTTTATGATTTATACTTTTTCATACTTGTTATCTTTCTACCATTTAACACTAAGTACATTTGACTCTGTACACTTTTAATTCAAATTTGGATATAGAAAAAAAAGAGAAAAGAATAGTGCTTATAGTGGTAATTGACTAAAAAAAGGTTAAGATGAATGCATTCATTGATAACATTGACCATAATTTAATTCATTCAATCTCACTGTCAAAGAAAATGAGAACTAATCAATTAGGTATTAAATATATAATAAAAACCTGCAGAATTCTATTCATGTTCACATTTGAATTGGAATCTGACTTTTCACTTGTGCCTTTAGTTTTAATCATTCATCATGAAAGTCTGACATTTCAATTGATACACAAAATTTAGTACAATTAATTCCTATTCAAATGTTAAATATCCCAAACAATTAACATCTGATGTGTTTCTCACACAAATTGGCATGCCTAGCTAATTTTTGGATACCTAAATTCATTCTTTTTAAAGAGTTATGTTAAAAATGTTTTGCCGGGAGTGGTGGCTCACGCCTGCAATCCCAGCACTTTGGGAGATCGAGGTGGGTGGATCATCTGAGGTCAAGAGTTTGGGGCCAATATGGTGGAAGCCCATCTGTACTAAAAACACAAAAATTAGCTGGAGAGTGGTGGCGGGTGCCTGTAATCTCAGCTACTCAAGGGAGGCTGAAGCAGGAGAATTGCTTGAAACTGAGAGGCGGAGGTTGTAGTGAGCTGAGATGGTGCCACTGCACTCCAGCCTGGGTAACAGACTGAGACTCCGTCTCAAAAATAAAAAATAATAATGAAAAATAATGTTTTAAGTTAAATAATGGAGAGGCTTATAATGTTCCAGAATTTTAAAACTTAACTTTTTGTTTTTCCACATTGCAAAATTTATTGTAAATCTTTATTTAATTCAAAATCAATCAGAATTCCATATTGGAAAGCATTAAAATGTTTTGTAAGTTTTTATGGCAGAATAAAGGTGAGATACTTCAATATAACTTTATAATAGAATTCTAGGATCAAGAGCTTGTGATTCAATATAATAAAAAGATATTAATCTGCTATAATTAAAATTATGTTATAGGATAAATAAAAAATTAAAAAGATAATTTACATGATCTCAGAGCATATCTAAGAATATGGGGAATATAACATATATTAAAGGGATATTTCAATGCAGTGGTTAAGATTGTTTTTTAAATTAATAATGTTTGCTTAATAGGCTTTCCACTTAGAAAAATAAAGCTTGCCTTATCAACTATATGGAATGATTTCCAAAGAGATTAATGTGTTAAATATAGAAACAAAAATATGAGCAGCAGCCTCAACATTTATGAGTCATTTTTAAGCAAGACAGGAAACCTGTCATAAAGGAAAAAAATGACAGGATAGGCTGCATGAATGTAAGAAATTTTAGGATATTAATATCCATTATAAGCAAGTCAAAAGATGATAGACTGCCGCAAAGTCTTTGCTTCATGTGAGTGAAGCAACAGAAGTTTCAAGTCACCGTTTTAAAGAATTTCTTCAAATTAGTAAAGCAACAACAAGAAATATTATAGAAAAACCTGGAAAATTGTTACCACCATGGCACAGAATCTTTAAGCTTCAATTTCAAGAATAAACATCTAAAATGTTCAATACATTTAAATGCAGATATGAAATCTACACAAACACATATTTTTAGAATAATTTATCATTTTCTTAGAGGTCTCAGATTTTACTATCTCCAGTTTTTCCTTATGTTTCTTACCATTCTGCTCTTTCAACACTGGAACTCCTTTGTTTAAGCAACAGAGCAGAATGTTATCAACTGACTTATGTCAATGCTTGCCTAATTTCCCATTCTTGTAAAGAACAAATTACCATTTTTCTTACATTAAATTACTATTATTGTTTTTATTTATTATTTATACTTGAGGTCTTGCTCTTTCACACAGGCTGGAGCACAGTGGTGCGACTATAGCTCACTGCAGCCTTAAACTCCTGGGCTCAAGCAATCCTCCTGCCTCAGCTTCCTGAGTAGCTGGGACTACAGACACTCCACCATGCCCAGCTAATTCACTTTTACTTTTGTTTTCAGAGATGGGGTCTCGTTGTGCTGCCCAGGTTGCTCTTAAACTACTGATCTCAAGCAATCCTCCCACCTCTGGCTCTCAAGTAGCTGGGATTACAGGTACTTGCCACTACGCCCAGCTGTCTTGCATTAAATTATATAATGAACAGTAATTGAGATGATTTAGATACCTGCACTAGTCTCCATTATAATATTTCACACAATAGTAAATTATTATTTTTAATTGACTATCAAATTATTGGAACTAAAGTGTCTGCTAAGGCTTTGAATCTATGCAAGCCTCTATTATTACACTACTTGATATTCTGATATATGTGGCCCTATCAAGAACACTGTTCTGCCAATGGAAACTCAGTTCAATCAAATGATAGGGAGCTCTGGACTTTCCCTTATTTCTATTTTCCCAATTTCTTCCCCCAGTCTGCTTAGCTCTCTGAGTTAATGATGGAGTCATTAGGGCTTGTTTCAGCTTGAGTCACACAAACAACACATACATACAGGCAACAAGCATACATTATTTTCCTCAGAATGAAATCATGCTTTTCTGCTAATTTGTAGTTAAGGCTAAAATTATATGTATGGGCATGCTATTTAATACAGTTGCAAATATTTAAGTAGTGGTACATATTTTTTCCCAACTATTATCTTTGGGGGAATTTTAGTATTGGATATAGAAATTTAGAAATAAAATATAGAAAGTTTCTCTAAATTAAGATTTTATTTAGCTTACAGAATTTTATGGATGTTGGAAAGTATGTATATATATATTCATGACACCTTTAGGGAATGTATGGAAGACACATTGATAATATTTGTAACTTTCTCAATTTTCTTCAGAAATGGTATAATCAATTCTACTTTAGGGAGATCAATTTTTGCAGTAATTTTTCAAAATATCATCAATCATATTAACAATCTCAAATATATAACTGGAGTTTGGCCTAATATGCTCTTATCATTTTAATTGCTTATTTACCTTATACCTGTAGCTATAATCTTTTTTTTTTAGTTTCACATTAAAAAGTGTTTTATTCTTTGGTGGCTATTGTAAATGGGATTAAATGTTTAATTTTGCTCTCAGCTTGGACGTTATTGGTGGATAAAAACGCTACTGATTTTTGCACATTGATTTTGTATCCTGAAACTTTGCTGAAGTTGTTTATCAGATCTAGGAGCCCTTGGGCACAGACTATGGGGTTTTCTAGTATAGTATTATATTGCCTGTGAAGAGAGATATTTTGACTTCCTCGCTTCCTATTTGGATACCTTTTCTTTCTTTCTTTTTTCTGATTGCTCTGGCTAGGACTTCCAGTATTATGTTGAATAGGAGTGGTGAGAGTGGGCATCATTGTCTTGTTATGGTTCTCAAGGGGAATGCTTCTATCTTTTGCCCATTCAGTATGATGATGGCTATGGGTTTGTTGTAGATGGCTCTTACTATTTTGATGTATGTCCCTTCAATGCCTTAAAATGCCTCTGAATACAGCTAACTAAGGAGTTGAAAGACCTCTACAATGAGAATTATAAAGCACTGCTGAAAAAAATCAAAGAAAACACAAACAACTCAAAAAAATTCCATATTCATGGGTAGGAAGAATCAATATTGTTAAACTGGCCGTACTCCTCAAAGCTATTTACAGATTCAATGCTATTTCTATCAAACTTCCTATGACATTTTTTCACATAATTAGAAAAAAGTCATTCTAAAATTCATTTGGAACCAAAAAAGAGCCTGAATAGCCAAAGCAATCCTAAGCCAAAAGAACAAAGCTGGAGGCATCACACAACCCAACTTCAACCTATACTACTAGACTATAGTAACTAAAACAGCACAGTACTGGTACAAAAACGGACAGAGACCAATGGAACAGATTAGATAACCCAGAAATAAAGCTGCACACCTACAACCATCTGATATTTGACAGCATCACCAAAAACAAGCAATGGGGAAAGAACTCCCTATTCAATAAATGCTGCTGGGATAGCTGGTTAGCCATATGCAGAATATTGAAAACTGAGCCCTTACTTTACACAAAAAACAAAAAGAAACTCATGGTGGATTAAAGATTTAAAAGTAAAACCTAAAAGGAAAAAGATTCTAGCAGAATATCTAGGCTATACAATTCTGGACATCTCAGCTTGGCAAAGACTTGATGATGAAGACTCCTAAAGCAGCTGCAACCAAAACAAAGATGGACCAGTGAGACCTAATTAAAGTAACCAGCTTTTGCACAGCAAAAGAAAGTATCAACAGAGTAAACAGATAACCTACAGAATGGGAGAAAATACTTGTAAACTGTGCATCTGACAAAGGTCTAATATTCAGAAGCTATAAGGAACTCAACAAGCGAAAAACAAACAACCCCATTTAAAAATGGGCAAAGGACAGGAACAGACACTTCTCAAAAGAAGACATCACGTGGCCAACAAGTGTATGAAAAAATGTTCAATATCACTAATCATTAGGGAAACGCAAATCAAAACCACAATGAGACACCATTCAAACCAGTCAGAATAGCTAATACTAAAAAGTCAAAAAAGAACAGATGCTGGTGAAGTTGAGGAGAAAAGGAAAGGCTTATACACTGCTGGTGGGAATGTAAATTAGTTCAGCCACTGTGGAAAGCAGTCTGGAGATTTTTCAAAGGACTTAAAGTGGAACTACCATTTGACCTAGCAATCCCATTACTGCATATATACCCAAAAGAAAATAAGTTGTTCTACCATAAAGACATATATATATATATATATATATTTTGAGACAGCCTCACTCTGTCACCCAGGCTGGAGTGCAGTGGCACAACCTTGGCTCATTGCAACTTTCCACCTTCCGGGTTCAAGCCATTCTCCTGCCTCAGCCTCCCAAGTAGCCGGGCATGAACCACCACACCCAGCTAATTTTTGTATTTTTAGTAGAGATGAGGTTTTGTCATGTTGGCAAGGCTGGTCTCAAACTCCTGACCTCAGGTGATCTGCCCGCCTCAGCCTCCCAAAGTGCTGGGGTTACAGGTGTGAGCCACCGCATGAACATAGAAACATCTATGATATTTCTGCTAAAGATAAATAACCTGAATCAATCATAAGGAAACAATAGACAAAACAAAACTAAATGGCATTCTACTTGTACCCGCCTGAAACCCTCAAGATTGTCAAGGTCATGATAGCCAAGGAAATGTTGAGGAACTGTTTCAGACAAAAGGAGATTGGAATGACATGTGACTCTGAACTTGATTCTTTTGCTAAAATGGACATCAGTAGACAAATGGTGAAATTTGAGGACCTGAGGATTAGCAGGATTAGATGATGGTAATATTTCTATGTTAATCGCCTGGTCTTCATGCTTTTGCTGTAGTTGGACAGCATATTCTTGTTTGCTCAGTGTGATGGAGCATCATGTCTACAACTTACTCTCAAATAGTTTAGAAAAACTTCTTTATATTATACTTGAAAGTTTTTGTAAGATTGTTTCTAAAAATAATAAAGAAAAAGGTTTTGTAATGTTTATCGTAGCCTATTTCCCATAAACCACATGAAAACGTATTTATATTTTATTTTTTCATAACATTTTGCTCATTAAAGCTTAGATCTTGATTTTAAAAACTATTGTTGCTCAAGTAACTCTGAGACATCTATGAAATATTAGATAGGATTCCAACGCTCTTGCTGTCAGAGACCAAAAAGAAAAAAAAATGGAGGTTAGATAAGACCCATGTTAAATTATTTCCTTTTAGGAGGACTTCATGTTTCTTGATTCAGTAAAATAGGTATGCATATTTGGGTAGTAAAACTGTGTCAACTGTCTCTTTCATCTTCCAAATAAACACACACACACACACACACACACACACACACACACACACTTTGCTTTTGCTATAAGACTTTTTTTCCTTTTTTTTTTTGACAAAGTCTCACTCTGTCCCCACTTTGGCCTCCCAAAGTGCTGGGATTACAGGCGTGAGCCACCGCGCCTGGCCCATTATTTTTCTTAGATTAAAATCATGTTTTCTTTCTATTTTGTCCTGAAATCATATTTATAGATATGCTATTTAATACATTTGCAAATCTTTAAGTAGTGATCTTTTTCCCATCAAATACCTTTGGGGAATTTGGATTTGAAAGCATTAGGAGATATTTGGCAAGATTCAGGATAGAAGGAGGCTAAAGAATATTTGAAATTATGGAAAGAAAGCAGTTTTCATGGGATAAAGTATTTCTGGATGTGGCAGTGCTGTATATTTTAGAGATAAGTGGAAGAAAATATTCCAGTAAAATACCGTGGAAATAGATGAAGGAGCTAGAACATTCACGTCTCACCTTCCCAATTTTGGCTATAGGTTTATATAGAAGATAATTTAAGGGACAAGAAAAACAAAAGACTACAAATTTGGTTCAATGTACACTGCTCAGGTGAAGGATGCACCAAAATCTCACAAATCCCCACCAAAGAACTTACACATGTGACCGAATACCACCTGTTTCCCGAAAACCTATAGAAAGGAGAAAATTCTAAAAATGGGCAAATTTATTTATCATTCTAGCATCTGATATTAGTTCCCTGAGGAAGAATATTTCTGACCATAATATGAGCTCAATGTGAAAAAATAACTCATTAAGATCTAATCAGCTAATGACATCTTAGTGTGGTTGTATTGTTTTAGACCTCAATTCCTGAAGGTTTTTAGTGAAAGGCAAAGTGTCAGTTTCATCTGTGAGAAGATCTGGAACAAGTCAATTTTAGACACATTTCTAAGATTCCTTGAGCCTGATCCACCATCGATCAATTTTTCTCACTTTCCTTTCTTTAAGAGGTAAAATTGGGTAACTCTAACTTTCTAGCCCAGAGATAAATGAACCTTTTCATTTTAAACTGCCTCCCAGCACATCCTTTTTAATGTAGAGAGATCAAACTAACAAGAAATGAAATTTTAAAAGCTTTCATATACGTCAGCTGCAATGGTGGTCACTCGGGTCTTCTCTACCATTAGTCTGAATGCATTAATCTGCTTTAGTTCTTGTCCGGTGCTGTTGAAATTTCACTCTGATTTCTCTGGACACTCTGGTACCCATATGCCTTATTAGTAGGACATGTGCTTGCAAAGAGATGCAACTATACTATTCAACAGTTAAAATGACTCTTATCCATTTACATTTTTGGAAGTTTTGAGATAACACTTTCTAAAATACAATAGTTTGATTATTTGTAAGCACATTAAACAGATGTCAAGAGGAAGGATCATTTTATATTCCTGTATTTAAATGTCTAGTTCAGAAAATAATTTATACTCTTCAAAAGGAAGAAGTTTCATCTAAAAGTAGATCAGAAGTAATTCATATGCAGTCATATAAAGTTCACAAAAATATTTCTCTGAGTACTTTTCCAAATGAAACGACTGTTTTAAAAATTAATAGAGTGGATTCAAATTAATTTTAACTTTTTAAAATTTATTGGATCTTTACTATGAACACTAAACATGTATACAAATCTGAACTAACAAAATTATGGCTCACTTTATAGTTTTATATTTGAAATATTTGGGGTTACCGAAATTAAGTTTTAGTCTGACCAAGGTTTGAACATACTGTTAATCATATTTGCTCGTAATTTAATAAGGCATAAGAATAATCTGGCAATAGGAAGTAAGAAAATAGATTGTATAATTGAGTCAATAAATTTGAATTATCATTATCTTAATCAATTTTAACACCAATGTGAAATAAAAAATACCTTGGTAAGGTATTGTTGAATTTCCTCATATACTTTTGCCAGTTTACTTCTGGACTCCAAATCTGTGCTGTGTGATGTTCATTTTCGAGCTCATACTGTTACCAGGGTGTCCTTGTTCCCAGAGCTCCCAAGATGGTGGCGGGCTGCTTCCAAGAGGGCAGCAAGCCTCGTGTTCTGACCTGGGGTTCTTGGCCTCAGGGATTCCAAGGAATGGAATCTTGGGCCACGTGATGAGTGTTATAGCTCTATTAGAAGCCGCGGGTCGCAGAAGAGAACCGTGGAACCCAGTGACTAGTGTTCAGCTCAGTTAGGACGAACCCGGGAACTTAGCTATGCAGGAACAATGGCAAGCCTTTAGCCTGATCGAGAGCGGCAATGGGCACCTTGCTGGATCAGGAGCACAGCAGACACCCTGCCGGATCCAGAGGGATGGAAGTCAGCGGCGGGTCTGTGACAGCGGCAAACAGCAGTGGTGGACAGCAAGTGAAAGCTCAGCTCGAGCCGTAACAAACACTGACCAGAAGAGAGCGCAGTTGCAAGTTTTAATAGAGTGAAAACAGAGCTCCCATACAAAGGGAGGGGACCCAAAGAAGGTAGACGTTGCCAGCTCGAATGCCTGGGTTTATATCCCGATCATTGTCCCTCCCCCTGTGCTCTCAGGCGATACATGATTGGCTATTTCTTTACCTCCCGTTTTTGCCTAATTAGCATTTTAGTGAGCTCTTTGATTGGTTGGGTGTGAGCTAAGTTGCAAGCCCCCTGTTTAAAGGTGGATGTGGTCACCTTCCCAGCTAGGCTTGGGGATTCTTAGTCAGCCTAGGAAATCCAGCTAGTCCTGTCCCTCAATACCAATTGCCTTAGCAGGCTTCGACAGATACTGCTAGTGGTGCTATGATGGAGAGCAATGATGCTTTGGTGTGGAAATCTGAACCAAATCATCAAGAATCACTAACTGTAAAATAGGAGAAATGAGAGAGTTGCACTATTATATATGATCGTCATGTTGTGGTTAAAGTTTTTCTAAATAGGACACTATTTCTGGGGTGGGAAGAGGAAATGAGTACTCTAGTTAGCTTCTTGCCTGTGCATTCATATTTATTGACTATTTGTTTTAAAGTGAAATACAGATTCAGAAAGCCGCCTAAAGAAATATATAGCTTAATTAATTACCAAATGGAAAAACAAACAAACAAAAAACAGCTTTTTAATGACCCTTCTCCCTGACTTCCTGATAGCAAGGTCAAGAAACACAACTTTGACTCCCGAAGCCATCCATGAGACCGTCCTCATCCTGAATCTCCCCTTCCCACAAAAGTTACAACCATCCCTACTTTACAGTAATCTCTTCTTGGTATTTATTTATTAATTTATGTTGTACTCCTTTTATCGTCTTTTCATTGTAATTATTTGACTATTTTAGCAGACTACCCTCTGCCAAGTAGCACTGCTATATTTTTAAGGAAAGCTACTCAAATGTATGAAAACATTTAACTTATTTAAACATTTGCTAATCTAAATAGTTTACATTATTAAGAGCAACAAAGGAATTTTCTAGAAATTATTCACCTCAGAAGGTAACAAGCCAGTGACCTTCAAACCCAAGGAGTGTTTTTGTTGTTGGAAACTCTTTCATGACTCGGTCGACACAATGGAGGAATGTTTCTACACCTCACATCAAATAGCTAATTAACACTGCTGGTTATAAAAGTCAATATTTATCTTGTCAAAAAATATCACCAAGTAGGAAATGTGTATTTTAGGCCGGGTGCAGAGGTTCACGTCTGTAATCCCAGCACTTTGGGAGGCCAAGGTGGGCAGACCACTTGAGGTCAGGAGTTCAAGACCAGCCTGGTCAACGTGGTGAAAATCTATCTCTACTAAAAATACAACAACAACAACAACAACAACAAAAATTAGCCAGGCATGGTGGCAGACACCTGTAGTCCCAGCTACTTAGGAGGCTGAGGCAGGAGAATGGCTAGAACTCGGGAGGTGGAGTTGCATTGAGCCAAGATCAAGTGACTGCACTCTAGCCTGGGAGACATGGCAAGACTCTGTCTCAAAAAAAAAAAGTGTATTTTAAATTACTTAAGAAAAAATGTTTACACAAAGGCACATATGTAATTTGCTGTTTTGTTTTTAACCTATGCTGTTTTACTGTTATTTTTCATTATTTCATTAAAAAAATTGACATAAAAAAGTGGAATAATAAACTGCCTACTACTGATCATATGTCACCTAAAATTCATAATTTATTATATTTTATTATAGTATATTAGTTCCAATTTAACATTAAAAATATTATGAATAAAATTTAAAATAGCAATCATTTTCCTTACCACTCCCATGACCTGTGTGTGTGTGTGTGTGTGTGTGTGTGTGTGTGGTGTGTGTGTGTGTATGGTATAGGTTTATAAAAAATAAGCATATATATCTATATATCTATGCTCATTCAGGCTCTTGGATGGTTCATGTTCACAAAATTAGGTTTACTTATATTAATTTCTAACCAGCGGAATAAAATATATCATGTAAATCTTCAGTGAATGCTTATTTATTTTGGGGATTAAGAAACAAATTTCTAAAGTCAGCTGAGTAAATGAAGAGTTAATGGGTGCAGCATGCCAACATGGCACATGTATACATATGTAACAAACCTGCACATTGTGCACATGTACCCTAAAACTTAAAGTATAATAATAATAAAATTTTAAAAAAAAGGAAATTCCACATCAGCTTTTAGAGGCTGTATAGTTTGGGAAATGTTACTACCGCTTTTTTTTCCATATGTAAAGAATGGGACTAGACATACTGCTTTACATAGGATTCAGTTAGGTTACCACCTACTGAAAACCCCACAATAATGATAGCTTGGGTGAGATATGTTTATTTATCATAAAAGGAATCGGGTAGATACCATACCATGGGCTCCTTTGAGCTTACTACTTTCCTTTTCTAGATGTCACCTTATGGTCCAAGATGACTGCTCAATCCCTGGCGATTAAATCTGCAATCCAGGTAGCAGAAAATTACAGGGACAAAGGGTACATTCTCCTTCTTTAGAAATAACTTTCACAGGCTGTTCTTTACAGCTTACTGGCTAGAACTTAATCATATTTCCACATGTAACTGCAAAGGAACCTGATAATGTAATTTACATGCAGGGAAATGGTACAGGCTTAAAAAATGGAGAATTCTACTACAAAGGACTAGTAGAAGTCTCTAGTGCAGACTGTTTCTTTGGCTACATGCATGTTTCTTCTCTCACATACAGAACTCTTTCCTGGAGGGAACCAATCAAAGTTTTTCAAGTAACTTCATCCAGCTGAAAATTGAGTATATCTGGGCGACTTATAGTTGGTTCTGTCCATCAGGTCTAGAGAAGTCTGCCATGAAGTATCAATATACAATGCACAAATACGGTGAAAAAATCAGTGAAAGAAAATGTTTTCTATTCAGAGAGGCATACATGAAAAACACAAAGCCTTCACATGTCCAGAGTTCTGATGGAACTACGCCAAGACAAGAAGAGTGAGGGGTACCTTCACCGGTGATAATGATCCTGTGTTTATCCATGTGTAAGGCCTTGATTCTGCTCTCTTGGTGAACATTTCTTGCCTGCATTGACTGATAAATTTGTTTTCTTGGAATTTCTTTAACGTCTGAAATTTTTCATGACTATATGGCAGGAGGGTGTTGGAAAATAAGCCCTTTTTGGGGATTGCACATTCTTCACAGGTCACTTCCTTCTTGTGCATTTGTGGGGTCTCATAAATTGTTTAAAGACATTGACCAGCCAGTCTGTAGGTTTTCTTTCAAAGATAATTCCCTGAAAAGATAGTAGGCTTTCTACTTTCTCCTGTTGAGTTTCATGTCTGTGCAGATGCATACAAAGACCTACTGTGAAAATTGCTTTTAAGCTCAAGAACTCTTGTTTTTCACTTATTAAACTCTTTTCTCAGTTCATCTTCCTCTATCAATTTTAGTGGCCATTGCTTTATAGCCATCATAATGGGTTTTAGATGACAGCATACGGGAATCCCTCAATCCAATTTCAGACATTAATGTTACTATATAGAGACTCCTGGAGTTGAACTTGGAGGTGAGCAGTGGGAATGTGGTGATATTTTGACCACCCACTGTGTAAACTAGTTTAAAGGAATGGTGGTTACTCATTTTCCTGATTGGATTTAAGCAGCAGACACATAGAAGATGGTTTCACATATAGCCACAGAGTGTCTGCTGAGGTTTTGGCAAAACTATACGTGGATTAATTCTAATAGAGATGAGAAATTTATGTTTCTTATCATCTTTTGTGTGCATTTTTTGGGTAACATCTAAATAAGCAAATTGAGAAAAACTTGTTTTTCACCAATTACAAATAAAAGAGTGAAAGTATTCTCTCCCTAATACTCAAAAACACAAAGGTCTCATCTAATTTTTGATGACAGTTTAGAAGCTAAGAAAGGAAGTTAACTAGTCATCTATAACATAAAATAGTTTATCATAGGAAAATTAAACATAAAATACAACACAAACTTCCTGTTACTTCCAAATAAGCCTAGAACAAGTAAATTTAATACATTTACTTCTAACCTGAGATTTAGACATAGAAATTGTGGGAACAAAATTTAGCAGATTAACTAGTGTCTATTTCCTCCAGAATTATAATGGGAGGAAAATGGCCTCAAGGTTTATAGGCCGTATGTAGACCTTATGCTTCTTTCAATCTGGGACTTGATAATTCTGTCATGTAATTAAATGTCTTACGTGTAATAACATAACGGAGAAGGCATTTTATTAACCATAACTGTTTAAAGCCTCTTTCTACAGGTACACAATTCAGTACAAAACAAAGTAATGCCTCAGATCTATTCTACTTAAAATAATTCAAAAGTTTTTCAAAGCTGTATACTAACCTCCTGCATAATTCTAGATATATGGTATTTATCCACACTCCTTCAAAACTTTACAACAGTTTTACTTTTTTCTTTTTTCTCTCTATAAAAAAATTTTTGAGTTTTTTACATTTTATTTTTTTAGACACAGGGTCTTCCTCAGTTGCCCAGACTGTAGTTGTCTAAGGTTAGGGGTTACTGTTTGTTAGGAGTAGGGTTAGGGATCACAGCTTACTGCAGCCTTGCACCTCTGGGCTCAAACAATCTTACTGCCTCAGGCTCTGAAGTCACTGGGAGTACAGGTGTACGCCACCAGGCCCAGCACTTTTTTTTCTTTTTTCTTGGTAAAGATGGGGTCTTACTATGTTGCCCAGGCTGGTTTTGAACCCTTGGCCTTAAGGGATTCTCCTGCCTCAGGCTCTCAAAATGTTGGGATTATACACATGAGCCATTGCTTCTGGCTACTTCTTTTAATTTTATTTTAGATTCAGTTGGTACGTGTGCAGGTATATTACAAGGGTATATTTTGTGATGCTCAAGTTTAGGCTTCTATTCATCCCATCATCAAATAGTGAACATAGTACATGGTAGAAATTTTCTCAGCCCTGTCTCCCCTCACTCCCTATCCACTCGAGTATTCCCCAGTGTCTACTTTTTCCATCTTTATGTCCATGTGTATCCAATGTTTAGCTCCCACTTGTAAGTGAGAATATGAAATATTTGGTATTCTGTTTCTTCATTACTCACTGCAGATAATGGCCTCCAGCTGCATCCCTCTTGCTACACGATTTCGTTCTTTTATATGGCTGTGTAGTATTCCATGGTGTATAGACTGTTGATGGGCACCTAGGTTGATTCCATGTCTTTGCTATTGTGAATAGTGCTGTGATAAACATGTGAATACAAGTGTCTTTTCCATAGAAAAATTTATTTTCCTTTGGGTATATACTCAGTAATGGGATTGTTGTGTCAAATGGTAGTTGTATTTTTACTTCCTTGAGAAATCTCCCAACTGCTTTCCACAGGGGCTGAACTAATTTACATTCCTACCAGCAATATGTAAGTGTTCTCTTTTCTCTGTATCTCCACCAACATCTGTTATTTTTTGACTTTTTAATAGTAGTCAGTGCGACTGGTGAGAGATAGTATCTCATTTTGGTTCTGATTTGCAGTTCTCCAATGATTAGTGATGTTGAATATTTTTTCATATGTTTGTTGGCCACTTTACAGCAATTTTATTTGAAAGGAACTTTAGGTATTTATCTCTTGGCTACCAGTTAAACAAAAGTAAAACCAACTTTGATTTAGTTTGGATAAGTAAAGACCAAGGGAGAGAAATTATACACACACACATACTTGCCTCATTTATAATTAGCATTCATCTTCTGTGTGTCCTGGGATAGAGTACAAATGCGAAAGGGAGGCATATTTGTGTTCAATACAGTAAAGGAATCAAATAAATGAACAAACAAAAGTGATTTTTCCTCTAAAAGTAAAATAGAATAAACAAAATCAATTATATTAACCCTATAATGTAATACTGTGCTACATTATAATATAATTTCCATATATAATATATATTTGGAGTACTTTTTCTTATAACAATGTGGTCTTTTTACATGTATGCATGTAAGATTATATTATCTATTTAATTTTTTATAATAATTTTCATAACCTAACATTTAGCATGGTAATAATTGTAATAACTATTTTTTTACTATCTACTATTATAGCTTAGGCATGTGGCTTAACCTATTTAACCATTCTCCTACAATTATTTTATAACATCATTATATTTTAGTGTGTATGTGAAGGTGCTCTAGTGAAGAGATCTGTCATATATTAACTAGAGCAAAACAGAAAACTGTCATGTGGCAGTTCAAAGGTGTACAGGTATACCAGTCTTTTCTCGCACTGCAATAAAGAAATACCTTAAACTGGATGATTTATAAAGAAAAGAGGTTTAGGCTGGGTGGGGTGGCTCACGCCTGTAATCCCAGCACTTTGGTAGGCCGAGGCGGGCGGATCATGAGGTCAGGAGATCAAGACCACGGTGAAACCCCGTCTCTACTAAGAATACAAAAAATTAGCCAGGCGTGGTGGCAGGTGCCTGTAGTCCCAGCTACTCGGGAGGCTGAGGCAGGAGAATGGCGTGAACCCGGGAGGCGGAGCTTGCGGTGAGCTCAGATCGCGCCACTGCACTCCAGCCTGGGTGACAGAGCAAGACTCCGTCTCAAATAAAAAAAATTAAAAAAATAAAAAAGGTTTAATTGGCTCACAGTTCCACAGGCTGTACAGGAAACACGGATGGGGAGGCCTCAGGAAACTTACAATGATGGCAGAAGGTAAGGGAGAAGCAGGTGCCTCTTACACGGCCAGAGCAGGAGCCTTCTCAATTCTATGCCTGAGACACTTTCCCATGCTCTCTCTTGAAACACGTGTGGCACCAAAACCTATTTCCTCTACTTCTTGAGCATGCAGCTAAATTTCATTTACTAGCCTCTCTTACAGTTAGGTATGCCTGAATTCCCCTGAGCTCTGGCCAAAAGTCTGGGTTTTGTACAGTAGACCAGAGAGGGGGAAGTGATACACACTTTTAAACAACCAAATCTCGTGATAACTCACTCATTATCACACAACAGCAATGGGGGAATCTACCCCCATGATCCAATCACTTCTCACCAGGCCCCACCTCCAACATGGGGATACAACTTGACATGAGATTTTGGCAGAGACACAGACCCAAACCATATCAACAGGAGTTACGGGGCTGGTAAGGAGCCCTGCTGCACACGCTCCACATTGAAGTTGGCCCAAGCATACGTACGTTCTTATTAGAATTTCAAAAATAAAATGTCTGAAAGCATGCATATATACTAAAGAAAATATAAAATCACAGTTATAAAAACAAGTCATGTTAACATGATCTTATAGAAATTAGTTCAGAGCACAGATTATTTATTAGCTTGTGATCTTAGTCAGGTTACTAAATGTCTAGTGATTGCTTTCCTACTCTTTAAAGTAGAGATAATAGGAGTAACTTCATCTCATGCTTTTTGTGAGGGCAAAATGAATGAATATTCGTAAAGCTTTGTGAACTTTGGCACATATGCTAATTTTTTAATAGTAAAAAATTTCAGGCTTCACAGGAATATATTTCTGAACCCTATCCTTAAGACTTATTAACAGTGAGATTTGGAGAACAATCATTTAAACTGTCCATAGCTGACCTTTATCATAATACTAGTTAACTTTTATTCAATCACAAGTATTTATTAAGGAAATGTCATTATATTTCAGGCATTGTTTTAGGCACTAAAGACAAAGCTGTGAACAAGACAGACAAACATTCTGCCTTCTCAGTAAATCTGAGGGCATTTAAGAAGGTGTTAATTGCTATGAAAACAAATAAAGTGATAAGGGATAAGGGAGTGTAAGATATTTGGGATTTTCACAATTTTAAATATGGGCTCAGAGAAAGCCTCAATGAAAGGGTATGATTTGAGTTGAGGGAGAGACCTGGAGCTAGGCTCCAGGATTACAGGCAAAGATAAGGGTAGTTTGAAAGGCCTTGACTTGCCTGGTTTGTTTGAGGAAGTGCAACCAGGACAGAATGTGGTGAAGGAGAGTCATGAGAAAGGAAGTCTGGAGGGAATAGGAAGCCAGATTGTGAAGGTGTGGTAGATGCTGAAAAAGTCCTTGGCTTTGGCTTTAATCTGTGGCTTGGGAGAGTGTCCTTGGAAAGTTCTGAGCAGAGGATCCACATGCTCTGACATGTTTTTTAAAGATTCACTCTGGTTGCTTGAGGTAGACTGATAAGCAAACAAATATGTGAGCAGAAAGAAAATTCAAGAGACATTAACTCAACCGAGAGAAACGGTGATTTCATCCCGCTTGGTAGGTGATGTCTCCTTGGTCCATTCTGCTGCAGAATGCAGGCTGCCATGTGCTCAGAACTCATCCTCACTACCACCAACCCAGCCATGGGTAATTGACCCAGAGGCTAACCATCTGTTTCAGGTTGGAGCATTTTGAGACATCCACTGATTTTTTAAAAAATTGGTACCATAAAATATGTTAATCCTTCTCTGGTAATGATAGCTGCAGAATCTTGGCATTTGAAATTTACAAATTGTCAGTTGCCATGAGCTTCATCATAAAGCGGGTGATAAGGACACCTGCATTATCTTTTCTAATGTAAATGTTCCTTTATAGCTTAACATTAAGCTTATTCTCCCTGGCAAAGGACCTCCAGGCTTCCCTATGCTTGTACAGAAAATTATAAAGCCTGAAAATTAGGGAAAAGTAATATTGTTCCAATCCTCTCTTCTTCCCTTGTAACCTGTATTCTGGGACAATGCAGCTTTCCTCGTTAGGAGACTTCTGCACGTGAAAAGGTGGCGGCTGTTAAACGAGCCTTGTTGCTCATTCATAGCCTGAATCATAAATTTGACTCAGGATATAGTGACCAGATGACTTAGATATATGTTTTGTACAGTTCCTTATTGTGTTTTGTTACATAGTCGTAATATACATTTAATGTACCAGTATGGATGTTTTTACCTTATTAAATGTTTTATAGTATTTCAATGTGTAATGGGGTCTCTACTATTATACCAGATGTCCCTAAAAAAAGAGCTTTATAATACCTAAGAAGAAAGCTCCGCTACAAAGGTAGATAAAACTCCTGTGACCACATCGATTCAAAAAAAACATCTAGATCACCATTTGACAGAGCCATTAGAGTGGAGAATAATAAATGACAAGTGGTTGAAATATCATGTTTTCAGATTCTGTCAACTTGAAATTAATACAGTACTTTGCTCATAAACTGCTTAGGAATGTTTTATACTCAATATGTGCAATGTGTACATTCATTCTTTAGGCAAATAATGATGGAAATCTGGGGATTCTTGATGGGCCGTTGAGATTCTAATGGGATCTGGTATAAACACATTTTAGCAGGTAAATAATCTTTACAATGCCCTGGCTGCAAATAGAATCTGGATGCTAAGCACAATACTTAATATGATGTTAATAGACATTTGCCTCTTAAAAAAATATTTTTCTAGGTATATGATCTTGTCATCAGTGAACAGAGATAATTTGACTTCTGTTTTTCCAATTTAGATGACTTTTATTTCTTTCTATTGCCAGATAGTTTTACGTTAAATAAGAGTGGTGAACATGGGCATCCTTGCCTTGTTCCAGTTCTCAGGGGAATTGCTTTCAACTTTCCCCATTCAGTATAAGGTCGACTGTGGGTTTCTTATATATGGCTTCTATTATTTTCAGGTATGCTCCACCTATGCCTTGTTTGTTGAGGGTTTTTATCATGAAAGTTTGCTGGATTTTAGGAAATGCTTTTTCTGCATCTTTCTTTTGTTCTTAGATATTTTTATTCGGTGAATCATGTTTATTGATTTATGTATGTTAAACCATCCATGCATCCCTAGAATATAGCCTATTTGATTATGGTGAATTATCTTTTTGATGTGCTTTTGGATTTGCTTTACTAGTATTTTGCTGAGAATTTTTGTATCTATGTTCATTAGGGGTATTGGACTAGAATTTTCTTTTTTGTTGTGTCCTTGCCTGATTTTGGTATCAGGGTAATACAGCATTCATAGAATGAATTAGGGAGAGATCCCTCTTTCCTGATTTTTTGGAATAGTTTCAGTAAGACTGGCACCAGCTTTTATTTGTATGTCTGGTGAAATTCAGCTCCTGGACCTGATTAGTGACTTCAGTAAAGTCTCCAAGATACAAAATCAAAATACATAAATCAATAGCATTTATATATCTCAATAACATTTAAGCTGAGAACCAAATTAAGAACTCAATCTCATTTACAATAGCCACACAGACACACACACTAATCTAGAAATATATGTTAAAGAAGACAATGAAAGATCTCTATAATGACAACTACCAAATACAAATAAAAGTACTTGTAGACAACACAAATAAATGAAAAAATATCTCATGCTTATGAAATGGAAGAATCAATGACCATACTGCCTGTAGCAATCCACAGATTCAACACAATTCCTATCAAAGTACCAATGTCATTTTTCACTAAGTTAGGAAAGACAACCCTAAAGTTCATATGGAACAATAACAAAATGCCTGACTAGCCAGAGCACTCCTACGGAAAAAAAAATCTACAGGCATCACATTACCTGACTTCAAATTACTTTATAAGGCTATAACTAACTAAAACAGTATGATACTGGCACAAAAATAGATACACCGATCAAGTGAACACAACAGAGAACACAGAGATAAAGCCAAAGCCACAAACCTACAACCAATCAATCTTCAGTAAAGTAAAGAAAAATAAACAATGGGGAAAGGACAGTCTATTAAACCAATAGTGCTGGAAAAACTGGCTAGCCATATGCAGAAGAATGAAAATGGACCACTATCTCTCACCATATACAAAAATTAAACCAAGGTGGATGAAAGACCTAAACATGAGACCTAAAACTGCAAATGTCCTAGCAGAAAACCTAGGAAAAACTCTTCTGGATATTAGCCTAGCACAGAATTTATGATGAAGACCTCCAACGTTTGCAACAAAACCAAAAATATACAAATGGGACTTAATTAAAGTAAAAAGCTTCTGCAGGGCACAATAATCATCCTACAGAGTGGGAGAAAATATTTACAAATTATGTATCTGACAAGGATTAATATCCAGAATTTAAAAAGAATTCAATCAACTCAGCAAACAAACAAACAAAAAACCACTATAAACTGGGCAAAGAACATGAACAGACGTTTCTCAAAAGAAGAAATACAAGTGACCAACAAACATTTGAAAAAATACTTAATATCAGGAATCATCAGAGAAATGCAAATTAAAACCACACTGAGATACCATCTTACACCAGTCAGAATGGTTTTTATTAAAAAGTCAAAAAACAAGATGTTGACATGGATGTGGAGAAGAGAGAGCAATCATACACTGTCAGTGGGAATATAACTTAGATCAAACTCTATGGAAAACAGTATGGAGATATTTCTGAGAGCTAAAAATAGAACTAATACATTTGACCCAGTAATTTCATTACTGGGTATCTATCCAAAGGTAAAAAAAAAAAAAGGTGTTATATTAAAAAGATACCGGCATTCATATGTTATTACACTATTCACAATAGCAAACTCATGGAACCAACCTAAGTGTCTGCAAAAAGTTGATTGGATAAAGAAAATATGTTATATATACATGATGGAACACTACGCAGCCATAAAAAAGAATAAAATCATATCCTTTTCAGAAACATGGGTGGAGCAGGGGGCCATTATTATAAGTAAACTAATACAGAAGCAGAAAATCAAATATCACATATTCTCACTTATAAGTGGAACTAAACAAAGGGTACATATGGACATAAAGATAAGGAAAATAGACTCTCAGGACTCTAAAGGGTGTAGGGTAGGGGAGTTGAAAAATCACCTCTGGGTACAATGTCCAATATCTGGGTGATGAGTACACTAGAAACCCAGCCTCCACTATTACACATGTAATACTCTCATATAACAAACAAGCACATGTACTCCCTGAATCTAAACTAAAAATAGAATTTAAACAAAGGAATCTTCATTTCTTTTGAATGGACTTTGGAGGATCTGGACTTAGTGACCATAGACGCCAAAAAAGTGTATATCCCGTAAGGATAGAAATACATTAAAAATGGCCTTAAAATTGGTGACACATGAATTAGGCAGTAATTATAAATAAGTATTGTTTTTAGTACTAAAAGAGCAGAGTCTATTTTTAAGTTTAAGTATGCCCCATTTTAATTTCATTACTGTGCATTAATTTGCTTTCTCAGTTCCAATTTTATTAGTTCAGAAGATACTGTGTTTATTATATTGTTTTCACCTTGCTAAGGCATTTTAAACTGTCATTGAAGATTCTACAATTGGTGTTATGTTTTGTATAAACTTCTCTCCTATCTGCTGCTTTTCTTTTTTGACTAAATATATCTAAAAAGTAAAGGGCCATAGAAAATACAGCCATAAGCTGCGTAACACCATTCTGGTCAATGATGGATGGCATATAGAATGGTGGTCCCATAAGACTACAATGGAGCTAAAAAATTCCCATCGCCTAATATTTACTATGCTGTGTTTTTATCGTTAATTTAGAGTGTGCTCCTTCTACTTATTAAAATATAAATGAACTATGAAACAGCCTGAGGCAGGTCCTTCAGGAGGTATTCCAGAAGAAGGCATTGCTATCATAGGAGATGACAGTTCCATGCCTGTTATTGCCCCTGAAGAACTTCTAGTGGGAGAAGATGTGGAAGTTGAAGATAGTAATATTGAGGATCCTGATACTGTGTAAGCCTCGGCTAATATGTGTGTTTGTATCTTAGTTTTTAACAAAAAAAAGCTTAAAAAGTTAAAATAACAAAATAGATAAAGGCTTATAGAATAAGAATATAATGAAAGAAAATATTTTTGTACAGCTCTGCAATGTGTTTCTGTTTTAAGCTAAGTGTTATTATAAAAGAGTCAAGCTGGGCATGGTGGCTCACGCCTGTAATCCCAGAACTTTGAGAGACCGAAGAGGGCAGATCATGAGTTCAGGAGTTCCAGACCAGCCTGGCCAATATGGTGACATCCCGTCTCTACTAAAAATACAAAAATTTGCCAGGCGTGGTGATGCACTCCTGTAGTTCCAGCTACTCGGGAGGCTGAGGCAGAAGAATTGCTTGAACCTGGGAGGCAGAGGTTGCAGTGAGCTGAGACTGTGCCACTGTACTTTAGACTGGGTGACAGAGTGAGACTCTGTCTCAAAAAAAAAAAAAAAGTCAAAAGGTTAAATAATTATATTTTTCAGAATTCTTCATTTGCTTCCACCAAGTCTGATGACAATAATGATGACAATGGTGATGAGGATGGACACAGTCATTTAAATCTCATCTGAACCTCATCTTTTTACTGTAATCTCATTTGTCAACTGCATCCTGGCTTCACTTCTATAGAGCTGTGTTCTATGCTCCTCCCAGATCTCCAGGCTTCCTTCACAGGCCCATTTTCTAGCTTTTATGGAGATTCTAAAAGAAATTATGCTGGGACTACTATGGCAGTTTTTCCTAAAGAGGTGTATGTGTCTGCTAGGCTCTAGGATAGCCCATTGCCAAAAGCTAACTGGTGAAGGGTCATGAAATCCCAGCTCCCTGCCACAAGGCACAACAAAATCTATGATGGAATTTATGCTCCAGAGCTCCCTATACAACTAGGCAAAGAGCACGATTTCACCTAAAGTCACATTATTGTTGGTCTCTTTCTTTCTTCTTCTGCTTCTTTACCAATTTCTCCTAAGTGCAATCATTTAATCAGTTATTTGCCCAAAATTTTTGTCTCAGGGTCTGTTTTTAGGAAAGTCTTGTGCCAAAAATGATGAATTACCTACCACTTTTGGATTACTATTTTTATTTTAAAGCAGTTATTGCTACTTAACACACACACATACACACAAGTTATTTTTTCTTTCTTGCAGCATGAGTAGTATGGCCTTTAAACGTAGCACTTGAGTTTTAAATTCTCTACTATGACCCCCACTGTGGCAATGTCCTTCTCCATGGGATGTGAAATCCATGAGGCTAAGGAGATGTCCCCATTAGAGCTAGCCCCACCTATACATCATGTTCCAGATGCATGGGACCTTGGAAATTCCTAATTAGATGGATAATTACCCAGTTCCAGTTCTAGAGCATACATGGGCTTCTTCCCCACTGTCTCTTTCCCCAAGAGTAGGCTAGTGAAATGTTTTCAATTCTTTCTTGGTTAGAGGAGGGCCAAAGTTGTATCTGTTTGTAGCGGAGGCAGTATATAGGGAGAGGCTCAACATAGGCACATGGGGCTCCTCTTGGTAAGATGCAATGGGAGGTTGATGAGAAGGGCTGGGAGAGAATGCAGGGTTCTACTTCAGCCTTTGCCTAGGAACCTGTAGATGTAATGAGTAATTGAGAAGAAGGAAAAAGACATTACAAAATTGTGAACTATAAATAGAAAAGTACAATTTGTAAAAGCTTATAAAAGACCACTCACATTGTCTTTCCTTTAGTGTAATAATTCATTGAATATTAAACATAAAGTTTTACTTTCAATATTTATCATAATTGATTAATAATGCAAGTTGAGATTATCCACCCCCATCACCTCAGTTTTACCATCTTTACCATAGAGTAAGTAAGTATACGTGTGTGTGTTTGTGTGTGTGTGTGTATGTGTGTGCATATGTGTGTTTCCAAGATCTACTGGGCTATCACTTGCAGATACTAGGATTAGATTCATACCTAACTCTGCCGTGTAGTAAAGACCAGGTTCCTCCATTCATGGTAAATGGCCAGTCAGGTCCAAGGTAAGTACACAAGTATCACTTCGGCTGTCTCTGGGTTTCTTTTTTTTTTTTTTATTTCCTGTCAGAAGACGTGACTGGCCCACCAGCATCAGAAGCTTAAGTAAGTCAGGGTACAATTGCTTACTCTTCTCCCGCAGTTGAGACTTACTTAAATTCTGTGAGACTTTAGTAAGGCGGCTCTTTAGGAACACTGCATTGTGTGGGGGGTGGGGGGGTGAGGCACCCCTCTTTTAAGGAACCAATTTAAAACTGCCCTCTGTTGTTAAATATTATGACATTAATTATATTCCAACTCAATCTGCCTACTGGGAATGGATAAAGAGACAAACAAATCAAAAACCCAACACACAAACAAAAACCCAACACACAAAGAGTAAAAACTCTTAATGTGGTGTCAATGTCATTGCCTGTGGTAAGTAGGAGAAAGTAAAGATTCAAATGAGATCTGCCAGACTATACTACAGTCTTTGTGTTACGGTACAGAATGGGTGTGATTATGAGAGAATTAAAAGACAAATTGGAAAAAAGAAAGACAACCACAGAGGCAAAAGAGTAACGTTTGATTTTTTGATTTTTTTTGCACCATGTATAGACTTTTAAGGTATAATAACTAATAGGTTGTATGGTGTGGTACTGCCCCTTAAAAACATTGATCAGAAACTCTGTGTGTGATATCACATTTGAATAGAGTCCAAGTATATCATTGTAAACATCTTTATAGTATGTGAAAAAGGTTCTATTCAGTTAAATATTTTAGGAATAGCAATCTAGAATTCTCTAACAGATCAATATCTTAATAGATAATATGTTGTCTCATGCTTCTGTCAGCTTTCTGGTGAAAATTGCTTAATATATAAAGTGTTAACACCACTTTTGTAGAAATATGCATTTGAATAAGAAAAGAAAACAGTACACTGATTCAAGTGCACAAAACTCTTTCCAGAAAAGAGATTTGAGATATGTCTTAATAATAGGAAATATGTCGCATTCTTAAAACATAAGAATTTTCATTTTGACAGCTTTTATATAATTAATTCTCAAACATTTTAATAGCTAATAAAGTTAAAAGAAGCTATACTGATATTCTGGAATATTTTATATCAGTATATAAAAAACTTGAAATAGTGTTAAAGCTTAATAGCATTCAAATAATAAAAAATAAATCACCCCAATTATAAGGATTTTTTATCACTGTAATTAAAATTTACAAAATATTACCACTGTGTAATTATGATAATGGCAATAAAAGACAATTTTCTTCAACAAGGTCACTCTTTGAAAGTTAGCTACAGTAATATAGTCATCATTTGAGGGAATTAGTTTCCAAAATTTCTATCAACTGTGTAAGTGCTTTTACTGTCTTTTTTCTGTGTAGTTTTTTAAAGAAACATGCACTCACTTAGAAGAGCAAAAACATATTATCTGTTTTTAAAATTTATAATATTTATTTTCAGAGTGTATGTACATCTATATGTGCATTTTAACTTTGAATAGGGATTTTTCTGGATTTTCTTCCATGTAAAATAATCAACCAAAGCCTATCTTGGAAGGCTGTGCTTTCCTTGTAATACTGTTTTATCAAAACTGCACAAATTGTATCATGACTTTAAGCATCTGAAGTAAACCAATTTATCCATATACCAAATAAACCACAGGCAATTGTAAGGTTCTCTGTGTGGTAGATGTGCCGACTTCCCCTTTGGTGCCCCTTCTTTTTATTCCCTTCCTCTCTGCCTCAGAATTTATTTCTACATTTGTCCTGCTTCTGAATTATTTCTAGTGACGTTTCCTGGTTTGATGTTTGGACCTAGAACATTCAGCTTCTCTAGCTTTGTCTTTTGGGTATTCAAGCACTTAAGTTGTAGGGATCCTTAATCTCTTTCCAATCATTTCCACCCTAGGTATCAGTCATGCCAGTCTGAGTTCAGGCTTCTGAGAGGCCACCCAGATAGCAGTCTGCTCAATTGGTACTTCTACTGGTATTGCACAATCCACCTAAGAGGCTTAAGCTCAAAAGTTCAATTATTCTTTCTCAAGCCTTGATCATCTAAAAGGTGCTCACTGTTAATTTAGTGGTTTTCAAAAACTTACTGCTACACGTACTCTGACATCATTCCTAGTTCTTTGAAGAATGATGTTAGTATTTTGATAGGAATTGTATTCAATCTGTAGATTGCTTCTGGCAGTATGGTCATTTTCTCAACATTGTTTCTACCCATTCATGGGCATAGGATGTGTTTCCATTCATTTCTGTCATTTATGATTTTTTTTCAGTGGTATTTTGTAGTTTTTCTTTTAGAGATCTTTCACCTCCTTGGTTAAGTATATTCCTAAGTATTTTTTTTTCAGTTGTTATAGAAGAGACTCAGTTCTTGATTTTATTCTCAACTTGGTCATTGTTGGTATATAGCAGTGCTACTGATTTGTGTACATTGATTTTGTATCCTGAGACTTTACTGAATTTGTTTATCTGATATAGGAGCTTTTGGGATGAGTCTTTAGGGTTTTCTAGGTATAAGTTCATATCATCAGTGAATAGTGACAGTTTGACTTCCTCTTTTTCCAGTTTGGATGCTCTTTGTTTTTTCTCTTGTCTGTTTGCTCTGGCCAGGTCTTCCAGTAGTATATTGAATAGAAGTGATGAAAATGGCATCCTTGTCTTTTTCTAGTTCTCAGGGAGCTAAATAATGGTTACATTTTACTTAAAATGATAAAGCTTTCAACTTTTCCCCATTTAGTATGATGTTGGCTGTGGGATTTACCATATATGGCATTTATTATTTTGAGGTAAGTTCCACTATTCCTGTTTTGTTGAGGGCTTTTATCATAAAGGAGTACTAGAATTTTATCCAGTGCTTTTTCTGCACCTGTTGAGATGATCATATGATTTTTTTTTAATTCTGTTTATGGGATGTATCACATTTATTGACTTGCCTATGTTAAGCCATTTCTGCATCCCTGGTATGAAACCAACTTGATCATAATGCTGTTGGATTCAGTTAGCCAGTATTTTGTTGAGGATTTTTGCATCTATGTTCATCAGGGATATTACTCTGTAGTTTTTGTTGTTGTTGTTGCTGTTATGTCCTTTCCTTCTTTTGGTATTAGGGTGATACTGGCTTCATATAGGGAGGAATTTAGGGAAGATTACCTCTTTATCTATCTTTTGTAATAGTTTCAGTAAAACTGGTACCAATTCTTCTTTGAATGTCTGATATAATTCGGTTGTGAGTCCATCTGGTAATGGACTTTTTTGTTGGCAATTGTTTAATTGCTCTTTCAATCTTGTTACATTTTACTGGACTGTTCAGAATTTCTATTTTTTGTCAGATTTAATCTAGGAGGGTTGTATATTTCCAGGAATTTTTCCATTTCCTCTACATTTTCTAGTTTGTGCATGTGAAGATGTTCATAGTAGCCTTGAATTATCTTTTGTATTTCTGTGGTATTGCTTGTAATGTCTCCAGATTTATTTCTAATTGAGCTTATTTGTATCTACACTCTTCCTTTCTTGGTTAATTTCACTAATGATCCATCAATTTTGTTAATCTTTTCAAAGAACTAGCTTTTTCTTTTATTTATCTTTTATATATATTTTGTTGTTGTTGCTGTTGTTTCAATTTCATTTAGTTCTGTTCTGATTTTTGTTACTTCTTTTCTTCTGGATTTGGATTGTTTGTTCTTGTTTCTCTAGTTCCTTGAGGTATGATATTAGGTTGTCTCTTTGTGCTGTTTTAGACTTTTTGATGTAGGCATTTAACGTTATGAAATTTCCTCTTAGCGCTTCTTTTGCTGTATCCAAGAGGTTTTGATAAGTGATGTCACTATTATCATTCAGTTCAAATAATATTTTTTAATTTCCATTTTGATTTTATTGTTAACCTAAAGGTCATTCAAAGGCAGATTATTTAATTTCTATGTATTTGTGTACTTTTGAAGGTTCCTTTGTCGCTGATTTTCATATATATTCCACTGTGGTCTGAGAGGATACTTGATATGATTTCTAGTTTCTTAAATTTATTGATACTTTTTTTATAGCCTATCATATGGTCTACCTTGGAGAATCTTCCATGTGCTGGTGAGAAGAATTTATGTTCTGCAGTTTTGGGGAAGAATGTTCTGCAAATATCTGTTAAGTGCATTTGTTCTAGGATATAGTTTAAGTCCATTGCTTCTTTGTTGACATTCTGACTTGATGGCCTGTCTAGTGCTGTTAATGGATATTGAAGTCCCCTATTATGATTGTGTTGTCGTCTATCTCATTTCTTAGGTCTAGTAGTAATTGTTTTATATATTTGGGAGCTCCAGTGTTAGGTGCTTATATTTTAGGATTGTGATATTTTCCTGTTGGACTAACCCTTTTACCATTATATAATGTTCTTCTTTGCCTCTTTTACTGTTGTTGCTTTCAAGTCTGTTTTATCTGATATAAGAGTAACTACTCCTGCTCACTTTCAGTCCATTTGCATGGAATATCTTTTTTCACCTCTTTACCTTAAGTTTATGTAAGTCCTTACTTGTGAGGTGTACCTCTTGAAGATAGCAGAGACTGGGAGAGCTGGGAGAAACCCCAGGTATGTCTGCAGTGGTGTACCGGGGGGAACAAGGACTCCTGCTCCAAGGCTCTTCACGATCCCAGAGGTTGCCTTCCTATTGGGGTAGAGGTGCACTGTGATTGTGCTTCTGCTGTAAGAAACATCTCACCAGTGGAAAGATCTGGGACTCAAAGCCTGTCATTCAGATTCTTTTGTCTCACAGGGTGTTCCCTGAATGTGGTGCTCTCCCCTTTCTCCTAGGAACGGGACTTCCTGAGAGACAACTGCAGTGATTATTATTGCTCTTCTGGGTCTAGCCATCCAATGGGTCTACCAAACTCCAGGCTGTTGCTCGGGAATGTCTGCAAGGGATCCAGTGATGTGACCGTTTTCAAGTCTCCCATCAGTGGCTACCGGCACCTGCTCTGATGGAAGTGGCAGGGGAGTAATGTAGATTCTGTGAGAGTTCTTGGTTGTAGATAGGCTTAGTATGCTGGCTTTCTTGAATGCTGGTTATACTAGTAGTGAATTTGTCACCTGAACAGATTCAGGACCTCTGGCTAGCCAGGATGTTGCAGGCAGTGGTATTAGCTAAGATACCACAGCTGTTCTCTCCTTCCTAGGAGCAGTGTTATTCCATGGAGAGGTGCTGTAATGGCCTGAGTTGGTTGGTTTCCAGCCAGGATGTGGTGTTTGCAAGAGCACCAGCTGCAGTAGTAGCAGTGGGATATGAGCTTGCCATAAGGTGCCCATGGGAAGTATTCTGGTTTCTCAGGTGATGGGTGGGGCCATAAATCGCCTAAAAGCTTATGTCCTTTGTGTTAAGCTACCAGGGTGGGTGGAGAAATACCACCAGGTAGGGACAGAGTTTTGCGGATCTCAGCTCAGACTCTCCTTGGGCAGGGTCTGATGTGGGAGGCCACTGTGGGAGATAAGGGCTGGTTCTCACGCCACTGGGGTAATGTTGCAGAGGCAGTATAACTGTCTCTGCTGTGCACAAGAGTTCACAAAGGGATTGAAGAGTAGCCGGCAGCAGTAAGCCTCACCTGGCTCCCATGCAGTTGGCAAGGCTGATCTTGTTCCTTCAGTGCTCAGCTAAAAGTGCCAGGTGTAGATCCAGGCAGCCAGCAGACAGGAATCAGACCTTCCTCAGGGTTCCATGCAAATAGCAAGCATGGTTTTCAAATCATATACCTTCCCATTTGCTCATAAGGCCAGGTGCCTGGCTCCTGTGTGCATATCTGCAGTACTTCCTGCTTACCCCACGGTTCTATTAAAGAAAATTTGTCCCCACTCGAAATTATATCACAAAATTCAGCTGGAAGCTTCTTTCACTCTGCAACTTCTCCCTGAGTTCACTGGCTGCCTTCTGCAAGGACTCCTGTGAGACAGAATCAGGAATGGCTTCCCTGGTCTTGCACTGGAGACTGGGAATGCCTACAAGGCACTTCATGCTGCTGCTTCTACTTTTATATTTCCTGCCACTCCCTAAATCAGTTCCAGCTTTGGGTAGGATTGAGTTCTTCTCCCATGGTCTGGATTTTCATATTTCCCAGTGGGGAATGTGTGCTCAGAGGCAGGTTTACCCCTTCACACTCTGGAAACTTATAGTTTTTTGCCTATCTTAAGAAGTAGACTGTAGCCTGCTACTTCTTTCAAAGGGTCTGTGGGTTCTTTCAGTTTTTCTGGTAAGTTCCTGTGATGGTTCTTGGGAAAAATATATTCACAGTGTGAATCTCTGCCCACTATTCTGTCCTTCCAAGTGGGAGAGGTATAACACTGCCTCCTATCTGCCGTCTTGAAGAGACTAGTCCCTCAAAAGCCTGAATGCTGAGTAGCCCATATTTTACCTCTGTTTAACCTAATATCAACTGTCTATCCATTTTAAACTACCATATTAATTTTCTTGCAATTTTGAAATAATACTTGAAGATTATGATCAAAGCATGAAATTTCAGTTCCAGACAAAATGTGGTGCATTCCATTTTATTCCTTCTGCTAATCCCAACAAAACTTTTAGGATAAGACACATAAGTTACCCACCAGAGAGCTCTGAAAAGTGAAGAAAATAAGGCAGATTGACTAGGGACCTTGGTTAACCTGGTAGTGAATTCTCTAATTTTTTTCTTGCCTCATATGTATTTTGACCTGAGTGTTAGAAAAGGCCACAACTTATAAATGTTAGTAGATAAAAGAAATAATCCCACAAAAAGACTGCTTTCTCTAGCCAAAGGAGAACAAAATTGGTAGGCCAGTTGGGTAGAAAACCTTTAGCTACATCTGCTCCAGGCAACACCATGAAAATAGCCATGCTCTGTCTCCACTCTAGCATGTGCTACAGCAGCAGAGGCCATTGGCAGAACCTAACTTTCATCCCAACCCCCACTAAATAGACGGGGTCAACTATCTCTGGGGTGCCTCTGAGCTAAGTCTTGTCTTTCCTTCTTTCCTTCAGTAATCTGATCTTTTCAGACTGGACCAGTATGGGGAGCTAAATAATGGTTACATTTTACTTAAAATGATAAAACATTGATGCTAGTGAATTGACATAAACTATGCATGCATATGCAATCCCTAGAATAACCATTTTAAAAATATAAAAAACGATACTCAGTACTAAACTACTGTTTAACATGAATAAAACACATTCATGTAACTCACAGAAAGACAAGAAAGGAGAAATAAGAAGAAAAAAAGGGGGAAGACACAGGAAGCAAATAATAAAATGGCAGACAAATTATATCAATTATTATGTTGGTTGTAAAAAGCCTAAGCCCATCAATAAAAAAGACAAAGATTGGCAGAAGAGAATAAAAATGATGACAACTTTATGATGGCCAAAATAACTTTACTTCAGATTTAAAGGTTAAAGGCTATGAAAAATTATATACTATACAAACGCTAAGAAAAAAAGTTGGAATGGCAATATTGACATCAGATAAAGTACACTTCAGAGCAAAAGAAGCATCGGGGTGAAAAAAGAGGTTACATATTGATAAGAGAGTCAATTCACCAAGAAGATATAACAATCTTTAATATGCACCAAACCATACCACTCTAAAATAAATGAAGCAAGCCAGGTGCGGAGGCTCACGCCTGTAATCCCAGCACTTTGGAGGCCGAGGTGGGTGGATCACCTAAGGCCAGGATTTTAAGACCAGCCTAACCAACATGGTGAAACTGCATTTCTACTAGAATTACAATATTAGCCAGGCATGGTGGCAGGTGCCTGTAATCCCAGCTACTTGGGAGGCTGAGGCAGGAGAATCACTTGATCCCGGGAGGTGGAGGCTGCAGTGAGCCGAGGTCATGTCACTGCACTCCAGCCTGGGTGACAGAGTGAGACTCCATATCAAAATAAATAAATAAATAAATACATAAATAAAGAATCACAACTGATAGACCTGAAAGAATAAATAGACAAATGTATAATTTTGGTTAGGAACTTCCACACCATTTATTCAGTAATTGGTAAAGCCACTAGGCAAAAATTCAACACAAATATAAAAAAACTGAAAAACATCATCAACCAATGGATTCTAAATATTTATAAAACACTCTGCTGAAGAACAAGACAATAAATATTCTCTTCATAACTGCAGGAGACATTTATCAAGATAGACCATACTATGAGTCATAAAATAAACTTCAACTATTTTAAATAATTAAAACAATACCAATATGTTCTCTAATCATAAAGAGTTGAAACTGAAAGGAAATAACAAAAAGGTAATAAAAAAAATCTCTGACATCCTGGATATTAATAAATGTTTAAATATTTTTGGGTCAAACAGGGAGTCTCTAGAGTAGTAAAACATGTATTTATTGAACTGAATGATAATGAAAGTACAACATATCAAGATCTATGGGACTAAGTGAAAGTGAGCACTAGAGGAAAAATTTATTGCGCTAAATACTTAAGTTAGAAAGGAACAAGGTCTCAACTCAATACTCTAAGCTTCCACCACAATAAACTAGAAAACTAACAAAATACATCAAAGTAAATGTAATAAAAAAGATAATAAAAATCATGACAGTCATTAATGAAATGAAGACAGAAAAATCAATGAAAAAAATCAGTCAAACTAAAAGCTGATTCTCTGAGAAATCTATAAAAATTTATACTTACAAATAAAAAAAAGAGAGTAAAAAAATGACCAATATCAAGAATGAAAAAGGAGATATCACTATAGATCATACAAGCACTAAAAGTATAACAAGGGAATACTACAAATCACATTTTCAGATAAAAATCAGATGATATAACTGAAATTAAGCAGTTCTTTGAAAACGATAAACTACTATAATTCATCCACGATAAAACAGATAAGTGGAATAGTCTTAGATTTATTAACAAAATTAAGTTAGTAATTAAAAGTTCCTCTATAGTCTCCAGTGTCAAATAGTTTTACTGGTGAATGTTACCAAATATTACAAAATAATTAGTATCACTTCTAACAAATTTCTTCCAGAAGATAAAAAAAGGGAGTAGTACCCTTTCCAACTCATTTTATAAAGCCATTTTTACTCTTATAACAAAACTAGACGAAGGCAGTACAAAAAAAAATGAAAGAAGAAAGAAAAAAGAAAAACACTGACGATATCCTTCATAATGATACCTTCAAAAAATTTCAAAAAAATATTAGAAAATCGACATTGCATTATATACAAAATACATTGGGACTAAGTGTGGTTTATTCAGAGAATGCAAAACTTGTTCCAGATTAAAAAGTAAATTAATATAATTCACCTCAATAATAGTCTAAAGAAGGAAAAAATGATCATTACAATTAATATAGAAGAAATATTTGGAAAAACTCTACGTCGCTCCTGATAAAAATTCTCAACAAACAACAGAAGGTAGTATTTTCAACTTTATCCTCAACATCTACAAAAAAAACACAGATAACATCATTCTTTATGGTGTAAGATTGTATGCTTTACCCCTAAAACTGGAAACAAGGAAAGAATGTCTGCTTTGACTTCTTCTATTCAGCACAGTGATGGTAACCCTAGCCAGTTCAGTAAGGCAAAAAGAGGAAATGAAAGACATACAGATTGGAAAAGAGAAAACGACCCTGTCCCAATGTGTAGATAATTTGATTGTCCATGTAGAAAATCCAGCAGAATTTACATAAGAAAAAGTATCTTCTAGAGCTAATTAATGAATTTAACAACATTACAGATACAAGATCAATATATGAAATTCAATCAAAATTCTCTATTATGGCAATAAAAAACAGAAAGTAAAAATAAAGTACACAATACCATTAATAATTGGTCCAAAAATTTAAAATACTTAAATACTAATCTGTAAACATGTACAGGATCAGTATACTAAAAACTATGGTAATGTTATAATTTTAAAAAGACCTAAATAAATGGAGGTATATCAAATTCATGGATTGGAAAATCCGCATAGTAAAAGTATTAATGCTCCCCAAATTTATCTACAAGTTTAACAATATTCCTATCAAAAGTCCTAGCTGGATTATATGTATATATATATATAAGTTGGTTTTAAAATGTATATAGAAACGGAAAGAACTAGGCCGGGCATGGTGGCTCACGCCTGTAATCTCAGCACTTTGGGAAGCTGAGGTGGGCAGATCACTTGAGGTCAGGAGTTCCAAACCAGTCTGGCCAACATGGTGAAACACCATCTCTAGTAAAAATACACAAAAAACTAGCCTGGTGTGGTGGCAGGTGCCTGTAGTCCCAGCTACTTGGGAGGCTGAGGCAGGATAATCACTCGAACCCGGAAGGCGGAGGTTGGAGTGAGCAGAGATCATGTTACTGCACTCTAGCCTAGGCAACAAAAAAGGGAAGGGGAGGGGAGCGGAGGAGGGAGGAAGGGAAGGGAAATGGAAGAACTAAAATTGTCAAAACAATTTTGAAAAAGAAGAATAAAGCTGAAAAAGTCACACTAATCTTATTTTAGGACTTACTGTAAAGGTACAATATTAAAAGCTGTGTGACTGATTTTGGTGGAGGATCGATACAGAGATCAATGGAACAGAACAGAAATTCTTATATTCTATTCTGAAAGAGAGTCACACTAGTAGGGCCAAATGACTTTTGACAGAATTACAAAACCATAAAATTAATTCAATGGAGGAGGTAGGGCCTTTTCAACAAATCATGTTGGAACATTTGAGCATTAGGAGGAAAATTTTAAAAACCCTTCCAAAGCTAAATACTCAAAAACCTTTAAACTAAACCTCAAACCTTGTACGAAAGTTAAATTGTGAAGACTATAGATCTAAACATAAAATGTATAAAAGTTTAAGGAAATATAAGAGAGAATCTTTGTGAATTATTAGTTTTTTTAGGATGAGTATGAGTACATATATAATGGATACAAATCTCTCCTTTTCCATCATTTTTTATAGAGACTTACTTCCTCTCTGAAGTTTTCCTGACGTTGAAATATACCACAACAAACTCAGTACTGTCAAAAGTACTGGTTCTTAAATACAGAGCACATGTGGGTATTGTTTCCATGGAGGTTCCATATTTTCTATGGTAACATCTCTGTTTTAATGTCTGCTGACTGTATTCATGAACGGGACTGGTGTTCTGTGTGTGTGTGTGTGTGTGTGTATGTACAAGTGTGTATGTTGTGTAGTGATGTTGGGCAGATAAAATAAAAACCAGAAGACTGAGTGAATAACCAAGAGAAGAAATTTGCACGTTTTCCTTTCACTTCGGCAAACATTCATTTTCTGGGGAAGGAATGACATTACTGTATTTTTTTATCGTTTAAAAAATGTTAAGTCATAATCTTCCTGATGGCAAAGAAACAGTTTCTTCTAGATTGGGATATTTCTGTAGTGCAACACTTTAAAAGATTAGGCATTTACATTACTTGGGCATTTAGTCCATTTGACCTAAGTAACTCACCATTCTGAGAAGCTCAATAATTGTGGAACTTAGCTTATGGACTAAAATATGTCCTTCACATTCTCAATCACGGGAATTCAATTTAAATTCAAACAAGTTATCTTTGACAATATCACCAAATAATATTGCAAAGATATGTTTGTTTAGAGGACTACTATGTTAATTAGTCCTGTGGTTGGTATTTTCTTGCTGTTTCTGAATTCTTTAACAGAGAAAACAAACAAGCAATCAGAGAGAGAGAGAATGGGACTTTTATTACTGCTGCTGCGCTTTTATCTGAATGTAGCTGCATAAGCACGATAGCAAGGGGGAATTACTCTGAATGATCCTTAGATAGTTATTATATGGAATGACCCCCATGTCAGGTCGGTGCAAATAAGGGAAACTTGGCTAGTCTTAACCTAGAAAGCTATAAAGTACGTCAAACGGATGCCTCTCAAGTGTGCAATAAAAATGCATCTTCACTGCTGCTAGCAATATTGTCCCTGACCTCAGAGCATTATTGAAGAGCGACCCACTGAATGTTTTAATTTCCACATAAACTGCTGATCATGATGGTTCAGACACGCCAGATGGCAGCAGGAGTGATAAATGATGTTGATGCCTCAGGAGAAATGAGCTACTAAAATTATATTATATTCAGCTGCAATTTTAAAACATGCAATACAATTAAAAGACTTATCCATAGCAAATGCTACACCTCTTTATTTAACGGTGTTAGATGAGGAGACTAATGTTTGCATTTGTTTTGTAGAGGATGCTTTTTTATATTCCTTAGATATCACTCCAGTGGAAGAGTTCATCAGATAGTGAGAATCTCACCTATAAATCTCAAGCATGCCTGCCAAGGAGTCTCAAGTCAGGAACAGAGGAGAAAATAGCCATCAAATAGGGCGTCTTGTCAGTATTATTCAAATGTAATAGAAAATCAAATTATAATAAAACATTTAACATACCAAGAAACATTCTATGGGAAATACTGAGACAGCTTATTCCTGAATTAGTATTGTGAGATCATAATGTTCACATCATTTAAGGATCTGGTTGATCTGATAAAGATTCTATCGGATGATGAGCAGATTCTTATTTTTAAATGAATGAAATAATGTACTTTGTATGTTTACTGTTGTTTAATTGAAAGCATGCGGTGGCTAGCATCGCTATTTTATTTTAGTTCCTCACTCAGCAAATGAGTATAGAACTGACTTTTTCTTTCTCTAATTCCCCTCTTAGATGACTCTCCTATCCCCATCACAAATATGTGAATATGTTAAGCAAATGTGCATGGTACAGATTAATGTTTTTAGGATTATGAGAATGACGCCCAGTAAATCAATAGCTGGCACTTTGAAAAACAATTTCTTCTTAGATTTTTTAAAACTGTGGTCAAATGCTGTTGGTTACTTAGGATTGGCTACTTAATTTTCCAGGTCTAATGCAAACGGAAAATGTGGTCCTCTTATTCAGAAAGCAGGGACGATGTCCTGCTAAATGTAATAAGAAATACGACTTTTTCCTTTCTTCCATGATCTCTCTCTGTAACGACGTTTTTAAAGATTTGCTACTTAGCATTGTTTCCCTTGGGCAGCTGCCAGGTCCTCCTCCCTCCAGCCTCCAGGCCCAAATTGTCCAGTCCAGAGGACAGACAGGCCATGGCAGTCTTGCCCAATTCTCTCAAGCCCTGGATTAGTGCTTATTGTACCATCAGACTTCACTTACTTGATTGCAGAGCATTAATCCCCAAGCATGTGGTCCTTCCAGGTTGGGAGCCTGAGAGACTGTCCTGGTCCTTTGTCCAGATTCTTTGGCCCTGTGGGTGCTCCCTTAAGATAATTAGAGCCATGTAATAGTTTGTGTGTATTTATCAAATTTAAAACCTTATACCACGCTCTGAAATTTTATAAGCCTAAAATTTTCATTTTAGTAGCATGGAAGATTCATATTTTAAGATATAATTTTTATATTTTATATTTTACTATATGTTATTTTTCACTATTCAACAAAATCAAATTTTTGTACTATTTGGGAAAAAAATATTTTCATTCATTTAGCAGGTATTAATGGTCCAGACCCCACAATTTAAACATTTTGAGGAAGATAGCAATCATAATAATTAGCATTTAATCTGTATTAAATATCAAAGCTCAAAAACAGACCTAACATTGTGGTTAGATTCCACTTAGGTAATTAATACAATATCCTGAGTATAAGTCCTAAAAAATGAACGCAACACTAAGCAAACCACTAATGAATCATGTTAAGAAAGACAAAGGCTTCAATTTGTTTAATCATGACCTTGTCCTGCTCTTTGTTCATCAGGCTGTGACCAAGCCTTAATGCACATCCTAAGCAGGCTAAGTTCTATTTCAAGTGAAGATTCCACCTGGCTGCTGATCTTCACCTTCACCGCACTACTGCCTCATTGATATGAATCATGTGAATGAGCAGTGCAGTATAACTGAAATGCAGTCAAGTTATCTCGAATGCAAATTACTGACTCCAAAGAAATGTCACTTAATCCTTGGAAGCACCACTTAAAACTATTGAGAAAACAGCTATAGAATCCCCTAAACTGGAGATCAGTTAACCTAAAGATTTAGTAGCCCTCAACAAAAGTATAGAAGAGCATTTAGGCTTTTAATGCATATAATACCATGCTCCTATGAGTGTCTTGACGTTGCACATTTAAGTAAGCAGACAATTAAAAAATCAAAACATGCATTGAAGAAGGTATAAAATTAAATTCAATAATGAAATATTGTTACTGGCAGATTAACACTCATTAAGTTTGTAGGAACCTCTCCCTTAGGAAAAAAAAAGTTGTTTCTAAGCTACTGAGTAATATGAATACATGCCACATCTTCTTTATCCATTCATCTGTTGATGGGCACGTAGGTCAATTCCGTAACTTGGCTACTGTGAATAGTGCTGTGATGAACAAGCAAGAGCAGACGTCTCTGACATAGTGATTTTAAGTAAAATTATATGAATGCAGAAGTGAATTGCTGGATCATAAGGTAATTCTAGTTTTAGGGTTTTTTTGAGGAAACTCTATACAGTTTTCCATAATGGCTGTACTAATTTACATTCCCACCAATAGTGTGCAAGGAAAAAAGCTATCTACTCTGATAGCAAACTTTCAATTCAGAGCTAAACTTTTAGAGAACTATCAGATAGAACACATTTATTGGCCATCTGCCTCAACTGCCTTCTAGTTTGAATGAGAAGTTCTATTGGACGTTTTGGAAACATTAAGAGAATTTGTTATGATTACTCTTTTTTTTCTGTTTCTGTAAAATATTAATTGCATTCATGAAAAAATAGTACTTCCATGCTTAGAACTTCAGTGACTAATAAGAAGTATGTAATAGATTTACAATACTGTTAAAGGATAACCATGGCAAACAACTGCACAGGAGGTATGATTCTCCATATAGAACATATATGCCATTTGAGAAAAGTTTAGCCACTTATTACCAGAATCAGGTATTTAGAGCCTTATAACTATGCAAAAATACTAAGTTGCTGAAAAATGCACAATTAGTCCATTTTCATGCTGCTGATAAAGACATACCCAAGATAAGGAATAAAAATAGGTTGAATGGACCCACATTTCCACATGGCTGCAGACAATCATGGCAAAGGTGAAAGGCACTTCTTCCACGGCAGTGGCAAGAGTAAATGAGAAAGAAGTGAAAGCAGAAACCCCTTATAAAACCATCAGATCTCCTGAGACTTATTCACTACTATGAGAACGGTGTGGGGGAAACCACCCCCGTGATTCAATTATCAGAACACATGGGGATTATGGGAGTATAATTCAAGATGAGATCTGGGTGGGGACATAGAGCACAGAGCCAAACTATATCAGTTATAGCAATTAGTTCAGATTTGAGTGTTTTTTTCTTTTTCATTTGCATCTCTTGGGTACTGAAACAATTTTGTTGTAATCCCTTCAAAGCAGAATAAAGTGAATCACTCTTTTCCATTCTCAATGTTTTTTACATTTTAGCATTTTAAATGAGAAACTACTCATGAAATCAATCACATGAAAAGGTTTTACATTTTAGCATTTTAAATGAGAAACTACTCATGAAATCAACCACACGAAAAGGTTTTACATTTTAGCATTTTAAATGAGAAACTACTCATGAAATCAATCACATGAAAAGGTTTTACATTTTAGCATTTTAAATGAGAAACTACTCATGAAATCAACCACATGAAAAGGTTTTACATTTTAGCATTTTAAATGAGAAACTACTCATGAAATCAATCACATGAAAAGGTTTTCCTTGAAACATGCATGGAAAGGTCTTGAATAAAAATTAAATAATCTGCCCCTTAATACTAGCTTTCCCTTTATCATACTTTAGTGAAAAATTTACTCAAAACAATATGGAGTTATTAAATATCACAAAATCTGTGGGATATAACAAATATCCCACCAACACCATTGTACATCCTGTCACAGTTTTTATTTTTATTGTAACTTCTCTCACATGTCCATCCTTCCACTCCACCTATTCTTAAAGGTAGCATAATTGGAATTACTTAAGAATCACCATATGCCACTCTTCTAAGCAGCATGAAATATTAATCTATATTAATGTTGATTGAATAAATATTTGACTAGAAAATGAAAAAATGCTATAAAATATTTTGTTAATAAGCAAGTGTTTTTCTATGCATCTGTGATTTCCTATTTATTTCAGGTATTCTTTCTTATTCATTTTATAGCACTCAGCGTTCTTAAATGTATCAAAATGCTAAATTTTCATGTTTTTTTTTCCTCTGTGTTTTTAACTTGAAAAGTATGTGTTGATTTCTACAAATGGTGGCATGTTAGATTGGGTTATACTTTGTAAAAGTAGGAACGACTACACCTTTTGAAGTCCTTTTTTCTTCCCAATAACCATGATAATTTTCTGTCCCCCTAATATGAGGAAATAATTCTTCATGGGTTCTTGTGTCTTTGCGTATCTTCTGAGCAAAAATCTTGATAGCATTTTTGGTTAGACTATCTTTTCAAGAATGTTTGTATAATGTATCTCGAAAGACAGAGGTAGCTTCTCCCTATAGGGCAGAGAGTAGATTTGTTTCAGGATAATAAAGATAATACATATAATCTGTCTGGACAAAATTTGGGCAGGTTTGCTACCCCCTCATAAGATGAAGGGTTTTCTTTGTACAAGGTTTCTTAGCTGTGACAAAGACCCACTGTTTGCACAGCATGTACTTGGGTCAACCTGCATCACCCATGGGACTTGGGGGGCAAGAGGAACTAATGGAAACATGAAGCTTATACCATCAGAAATCATATCTTTGTCTATGACCCAATGATGTAGGAGTTATTAAGAAAGTATTTTAGGCAGTTAGGGAAAAAGGAGTCCTTGGAAGATTTTTCACAGCTCTTGTCTAGCACGAAAGTCCTGGGCCTTAGACCCTGGGGGCAACCTTTGATATGCAAATGCAAGCCATTAGAAATTGGGTCCACCCAACATGGGGATTCCCATTGTTGCCCTCTTGCCCTTGCCCCTACATGTGTCTGGCAGCATGGCTGTGCCCACATATCACCACGTGTGCGGAACATCATGGTGCCCTGCACTTGCATATTAAAAGGCTAGGGCGGGAGGGCCATTTTTTTTGTGGGCTACATGTATGAAATGCCTGGTCAAACTAATCCCCTGACTCCTATGCAAATCAGACACCTCCTCCTCCAGCCATTGAATAGAGTTGGCTGATATTACCAAAGTGTGGGGTTCCCTCTCTCAGCTTTGGAGCTCCCCTCCCTCTGTCTTTGCACAGGGGAACCTCTTCTTTCTTTCTTCCCCTTTCTTTCTTGCCTATTAAACTCCCTGCTCCTTAAAACTACTCCAAGTGTGTCCATGTCGTTTTTTTCTAATTCGACTTGAGAAGAAGAACCTGGTGTTCTCCACTCATCAGAGCTGTATCACCAGGATACAGCTGGTGATACATCTACCAGCAATGATGAAACTGAGGCAGGCTAACTTGTTAGCATGTAAGTAGGTAAAATCTCTGACTCTTGCAGTCCTTGCCACTTCTACCATTCTACTAGTCTCCCAGGCAATTTTAAGATCAAAATATAATTAAAAAGATGAAAGAGATTATACAAAAGTAGAAATTAAAAAGTTAGTGAATTATTTTTTAAATGAAAAGAATATAATTTAGTGATCCAGTATTAAAATTAGGAAGATATTTTGCAACTCTAATCCAGGCATTTTATAATACAGATAAGTAAATTTAAAACTAGAGAGGTCATATAACATAAGTGTCATAAAGCTAGTTCATCAAAGAGTTTCGAATAAACAAGTCACCTGACTTACAGTCTGATGTTTTCTAAGATTACACCAGTAACATAGGAGCTTTTGGTTGAAGATTAAAAATGGCCACAATTATTTGCTACTCCTTTGACTTAGAGAAGTCTAATTTTGTTTTTTTCTGAATCTGAGCTGGTCTTGCTGACTTGCTTGACCAAGTGCATGTTGGGGAGTGAGTTTAGGAACTTCCAAGGCTGGGTCAAAAGAAGTCTTGAATCCTCTGCCTGGATGTCTTGGGACACTTGCTTAAGGTGCCCTGAATTACCATAAGATATGTGACTACCATACTGGATAGATCACATGGAAATGCCTAAGAATACAGAGACAGGTAGGAGGTGTCTGTGCTGAATTTTCCTTCCAGCCGGAACTGCCAAGCCCTGAGAAATGTGAATGGAGCAGCTTGGACTTTCCAGATCAGCTCAGCCACCTGATACCAGGAAAAGACCTCAGTCAGCAACATGGTATTCTGAATATCCACCATGGGACTGCATCTGTATCCAGCTGAGTCACATCAGTATTCCTGACCCACAATATAATGAGATAGAATAAATCCTTGTTTCTTGAAGCAAACATTTTAGCATAGTTTTGTTACACAATAATAGATAAATAGAATAGCTTCTAAATGTCTTTAAACATGCTGCACTTGGTGTAAACCATGTTTGTTTAAAATGTTAAATATAAAAAGTAATATTGTTTGTCCTCTTTCCATCCCCCTTTCTCTCCTTGAAGTTTTTTTTTTTCAGAATAGTCAGATATTATATTTTAGAATGGTATTTAGAAATAATTTCTCTTAGTGCTAAATTGTTCGAGTCAATTTTTACAGCAGTCGTAAACCTCTGAATAATAGGTTTTATAAAAAACTGACAACAAAACCTTAAATTTATCAGAAGTCCTTAGCAGTATTTTTACATTTATAAATAGATTCTTATTAATTAAAATAAATGGTGTCTGAAATGTGTCTCACTTCTCATTTGGGCACCAGAATAATGGCCAAAACTATATGTAGTATTTAGTTGGGTATTTTTACTCAAATAAATTTTAATTTGAATATTTAATTGAGTATTTTGAATTTTGATCTCTAAGCTAAATATATTGCCTATGTTTTAATATTAAAATGACATGACCTTAGCCATTATTTTTTGAACATAGTTTTATAGCTAATTGTGACCTTATTAAGACAATGACTAAAGTTGAAATTAGCTAATATCACTAGACAAAGGTAGTATCTTCATGAGGGCAGCCTAAATTAAAAAATGATTTTCTTTAATTTGTCTTTTTGTTAAGAGATCATACTTAGGAAGTGAAATATATTAAGTATGAAAACTTTTTAGAAATTTTAGAAAGATAGCTAGTTGACCTATATTTCCTTCGTATGCATAGTTGACATACTTGGACTGTCATTACAATGAGAAAGAATGTATTCAAGGTCAGCTGAAGGTTTGGATAGTAGAAGGGAAGGCTTTACGAATGGATTTGTGACTTCTCCTTGAGCTTCAGGGATACTGGGGAGATGTACTCCCTCGTCAATTCACCCTAAATGATAACTCAAAGAATTCTTAGAAGCTCACCTCTACAAGATCCAATATAAATGTGAATCTAGCTGAGGACTTTCTACTGAAACAAACACATATACCCCCTTGTTGGGGTTATTTATTTTGAGAAATAAATACTCAATACTGATGAGTCGCAGCTATTCCTCTGGATGGTATATAAGCCATGCATATCTGAATAGGCTATGCGACTAGCTAGTGATGTCTATACGGCAGTGTGGCTATTACTTTTAATGAAGCCTGAGAAGACTTCAGGCTGAAGTCCTCACTGAATTGGCTCATGAATACTCAGATTCTTCTTTATTGGTCAGGCATATTCTGAGTGAAGAATGTCTACAAAAATCAAAAGGAGTTAGGGACTAGGAACAGCTACGGCTGGAGGCTCTCACTGAGAAGAATGTAAATGGCAAGTAAATCCTGCACCAGCAAGGTATCCAGGTTCTCTCATTGGGACTGACTAGGTGTTTGCCATGACCCATGAAGAGTGAAGAACAGTAGGGTGGTGTGATGGCCCACCTAGGAGCCACATGGGGGAAAGGGAGCTCCCAACCCCAGCCAAGGAAGGCTGAGTGATTGTGCTACTCTGCCCTGGAAACCACACTTTTTCCACGTATCTGTGCAACCTAAGGATCAGGAGATCCTCCTCGTGAGCCCATGCCAGCAGGGACTTGGGTCCCAAGCACAGAGATGTGCAGATTCTCATCAGCCACTTGGCTGGAAACTGCCTCAGGCTACTGAGTTCCCAGGATGAGGGGTGGCTATCATCATTGTGGTTGCCTGCTGCCTAAGACAACTGTCCTCCCAAGGGAGGGATGGCAACCATCACTGCAGCTCTAGTCTTCCCTTTTTCCCCTGCTGCTGCCAGGGAGCCTGGATAGTTTGGACCCAGGAAGAATTCCCCACAGAACAGCATAGCAGCTGTGGCAGACCATGGCCAGACTGCCTCTTTAGGCTGGACCCTGACCCATCCCTCCTCACCAGGCAGGGCCTCCCTGAAGGAGTTTAAGCAACTTCAGCCAGGAGTTTAGGAACAGAACTATGATCTCCCTGGGACTGAGTCCCTGGTGGGGAAGGGCAGCTGTGGTCTTTGTGAATGAGCAGATTTATTCTATCTCCCTGCTGACTCTGAGGAATCGGGGCAGTCCAGATAAGTGGGATTCCTCCCAGTGCAGGATGCTCCCTCCGCCAAGGGGCAGCCAGAGTGCTTCCTTAAGTGTGTCCTGGATCTCATGCTTTCTGACTTGGTGATAACCACCACCCCCAACAGGGGTCACCAGACACCTTATAGAGGAGCGTTCCCACTGGTATCAGGTAAGTGCCCCTCTGGGATGGAGATCCCAGAGGAAGGGGCAGGCTGCCATCTTTACTGTTCTGTAGCCTCCACTGGTGACACGTCCAGGTGCAGGAGGAACCCAGGCAAAAAGGGTCTGTAGAAGACCCCCAGCAAACTGCAGCAGCCCTACAGAAAAGCCTGACTGTTAAAAGAAAAACGAACTAACAGAAAGCAACAACAGCAACAGTATCAACAAAATGTCTCCCCAAAAACCCCATCCAAAGGCCAGCAGCCTCAAAGATTAAAGCTAGATAAACTCACAAAGATGAGAAAAAAATCAATGCAAAAACACTAAAAACTCAAAAAGCCAGAGTGCCTCTTCTCCAAATGATTGCAATACCTCTCCAGCAAGGGCACAGAACTGGGCAGATGCTGAGATGGATGAATTGTCAGAAGTAGTCTCCAGAAGGTAGGTAATAACAAACTTTGCTAAGCTAAAGGAGCATGTTCTAACCCAATGCAAAGATGCTAAGAACCATGCTAAAACATTATAGGAGCCATTTACCAGGATAACCAGTTTAGAGAGGAACATAAATAACCTGATGGAGCTGAAAAACACAACAGAAGACCTTCATGATGAAAACACAATTATCAATAGCTGAATAGACTAAGTGGAGAAAAGAATTTAAGAGCTTGAAGACTGTATTCCTGAAATAAGACATGCAGACAAGATTAGAGGAAGAGAAGGAACAAAACCTCTGAGAAATATGGGATTATGTAAAAAGACTAAACTTATGACTGATTAGGTTACCTGAAAGAGACAGAAAGAATGGAACCAAGTTGGAAAACATACATCAAGATATCATCCAGGAGAACTTCCCCAACTTAACAAGACAGGCCAACATTCAAATTCAGGAAATTCAGAGAATCCATTAAGATATTCCATGAGAAGATCAACCCCAAGACACATACTCATCAGATTCTCCAAGGTCAAAAGGAAGGAAATAATGTTAAGGGCAGCCGGAGAGAAAGGCCAGGACACCTACAAAGGGAAGCCCATCAGACTAACAGTGGACCTCTCAGCAGACACCCTATAAGCCAGAAGAGATTGGGAACCAATAGTCAACATTCTCAAAGGAAATAATTTTTAACCCAAATCTTATATCCAGACAAACTAAGCTTCATCAGCAAAAGAGAAATAAAATCCTCTTCAGACAAGCAAATGCTGAGGGAATTCATTTCCACCAGGCCTGCCTTGCAAGAATTCCTGAAAGAAGCATGAAATATAGAAGGAAAAACTATTACTAGCCACTACAAAAACACAGTAAAGTACAAAGACCAATGAAACTATGAAACAACTACATAAACAAGTCTGCAAAATAACCAGCTAGCATCATGAGGACAGGATCAAACTCACACATAACAATATTAACCTTATATGTAAATGTGCTAAATGCCCCAATTAAAAGAAACAGAATGGCAAGCTGGATAAAGAGTCAAGATCTATTGGTGTGCTGTATTCAAAAGACCCATCTCACATGCAAAGACACACATAGGGTCAAAATAAAGGGATGAAGGAAAATTTACCAAGCAATGAGAAGCAGGAAAAAGCAAGGGTTGCAATCCTAGTTTCTGACAAAACAGACTTTAAAACAACAGAGATCAAAAAAGTCAAAAAAGAGCATTACATAATGGTAAAGGAATAAATTCAACATGAAAAGTTAACTATTGTAAATATATGCAACCCCATACAGGAGGACTCAGATTCATCAAACAAGTTCTTAGAGACCTACAAAGAGACTTAAACTCCCACACAATAATAATGGGAGACTTTAACATCCCACTGTCAATACTAGACCATTGAGACAGAAAATTACTAAGGATATTCAGGACTTCAACTCAGCACTGGATCAAGTGGACCTGGTAGATATCTACAGAATTCTCCACATAAAAACAACAGAATATATATTCTTCTCAGCAACACAAGGCACTTAGTCTAAAATCTATCACATAATTGGAAGTAAAACACTCCTCAGCAAATGCAAAAGAACTAAAATCATAACAAACAGTCTCTCAGACCACAGCACAATCAAATTAGAATTCAAGATTAACAAACTCACTCAAAACCACACAACTACATGGAAGTTGAACAACCTGCTCCTGAATGACTCCTGGGTAAATAACAAAATTAAGATAGAAATCAAGAAGTTCTTTGAAACCAATGAGAAAAAAGAGACAATGTACCACATAGCTAAAGCAGTGTTAAGAGGGAAATTTATAGCACTAAATGCCCACATTAAAAAGCTAGAAAGATCTCCAATTGACACCTTAACTCCACAACTAAAAGAACTAGAGAACCAAGAGTAAAGAAACTTCAAAGTTAGCAGAAGGCAAGAAATAACCAAGATCAGAGTGGAACTGAAGGGGAGAGAGACACAAAAAACACTTCAAAAAATAAATGAATCCAGGAGCTGTTTTTTGAAAAAAATTAATTAGACTGCTAGCTAGACTAATAAAGAAGAAAAGAAGGAAGAATCAAATAGACACAATAAAAAATCATAAGGGGGATATCACCCCTGTCCCCACAGAAATACAAACTACCATCAGACAATACTATAAACACCTCTGTGCAAATAAACTAGAGCATCTAGAAGTAATGAATAAATTCCTGGACACATACACTCTCCCAAGACTGAACCAGGAAGAAGCTGAACCCCTGAATAGACCAATAACAAGTTCTGAAATTGAGGCAGTAAGAAATAGCCTACCAACCAAAAAAAAGCCCAGGTCCAGATGAATTTACATCTGAATTCTATCAGAGGTACAAAGGGAGTTGGTACCATTCTGAAACTATTCCAAACAATTAAAAAGGAGAGAATATTCCCAAACTCATTTTATGAGACCAGCATTATCCTGATGCCAAAACCTTGCAGAGATGCAAAAAAAAAAAAAAAAAAAGAAAGAAAGAAGGAAAAAAAAGAAAACTACAGACCAATATCCCTGATAGACATCAATTCAAATACCCTCAATAAAATGCTAGCAAAACAACTCCAGCAGCACATCAAAAAGCTTATCCACCATGAACAAATCAGCTTCACCCCAGGATGCAAAACTGGTTCAGCATATGCAAATCAGTAAACATAATTCATCACATAAACAGACCTAAAACCAAAAACCACATGATTGTCTCAATAGATGCAGAAAAGGGCTTTGATAAATTTCAACCTTCCTTTATGTTAAAAACTCTCAATAAACTAGGTATTGGTGAAACATACCTAAAAATAAAAATAGAACTACCATATGATACAGCAATCACACTTCCGGTTATATATCCAAAGGAATTGAATTCAGTGAGAAGCAATACCTGCACTCCCATGTTCACTGCAGCATTATTCAGAATACCTGAGATCTGGAAGCAACCTGAGTCCACCAATGGATGAATGGATAAAGATAATGTGACATATTGGGATACAGTTGAATACAATTCCACTAAATACTATTCAGCATTTAAAAAAAAGAAAATTATGTCAATTGGCACAACATGGATGAATCTGAAGAACACTATGCCAAGGGAAATAAGCCAGGCACAGAAAGACAAGCATTGCATGATCTCATTTATATGTAAAACCGAAAAAGCCAAACTCACAGAAGCCATGAGTAGAATGGTAGTTACCAGAGGCTGGTGTTGTGGGGGAATTGGACAGGAAAAGAGGAAACGTTGGTCAAAGGGTACAAAGTTTCAGTTGGACAGAGGAAATAATTTTTAGTGATTTGTTGCACAGCATGGTGACTGTAGTTAACAGTGATATATTACTTATTTCAAAATTGCTATTTTAAATAAGTAATTTTAATATTCTTTTTTTAGATTTTAAATCTTCTCATCACAAATAAATAATAAGTATTTGATGTGATGGATATGTTAATTAGCTTGATTTAAATTATTCCACAATGTGTACATGCATTGAACCTTCACATTGTACCCTATTAATATATACAATTATTTTTCAATGAAAAATAATTAAACTAAATTTGAAACTATCATGCAGTATGGTGTAATTGAGGCAGTCTCTCACTATGCACACATGCAAACACAAACTCACATAATTATTGATTGATGGCTTCTTTAGATAAGGTAATGTACTTGGTACTTTTGTGATTTTCATATTTTCTACAGTGAGCATATATTTTAATTATTCAGAAAATTTTAACGAGTGTTGCTTTAAATATCATATGATAGGTCATTGAAAAGAGAGGCCCCATTGATGAGATAGTATTTTGATTAATCTAGAAGATATAAGTTTTGGATACAAATTTTAGAAAGAAGAACATTGTGCATAGATAGAAAAGCTGGTGAAAATATGTGCAAACAATAGAGCACACAGAGATAAATGTAAATATTCCACTAGAATCAATTATTACAACTGATCCACTCCACAAACTAAAGAACAAAACACAGCCATCATATCATGTGGTTTGCTAAATTTTTTTCTATTTTAAAAACAATTGAATTAGCTTACTATGATAAACTTCAGGTAGCTATTTATAAATCATACACCTAGAAAGCTACCAGAAGTCAAAATCATTGATTTTCCTTCTTATTCATTGAAAAAAAAAACAATAGGAAAACAATAATAGATTCCTACTGTTTATTTTAGTATTGACACATGTAAAATGTTAGATTTGTTCAAGACCCAATATACCATCATTCCATTTTGCACTTTTTCTTCATGTCACTTACAACAAAGTTAATGAGATAATATTTTTAAATGATTGTTTAATGCTTTGTATTCCACCAAACCATAAGCTCCCTGTAATACAGGGACCTCATTCATCTCCGCATTGTTGTATTATCTGTATTCTCTTGTATCTGCCTGGTATATGTGCAATAATTGTCTATTTAATGAATGTTTATTTAACAATGAAGAACTGAAGTCCTGAATTCTATGTCTACCTAGAAATCTGTATACCAGATAACTTGCTTCTGTCCTGCTACCTAGGTGAGGCTCAGCTGTTGTTTGATACCTTATTGCCTGCTTAACATATTTGCAAGAGTATTCTTGCCAACTTCAGTCACTGAGGTAATAACATTCCTTTGCTGTTGAACAACGTAACCAACACTCTGGCTGATTTACTTTCATAATGCTAAGAATCCTTTAATTTGTAACATTTGGGAATTGTCTTGGGAAAAAATTAAAACTGAAGATTTTATCTCTTTGCACTGAGTTTTGTTTAGAGTACTTAAGTTTGCTAGATAGGAGTTTCTCAGAAAAATTGAACCAATTTTTCTACATGAATTCACATAAAATTGGCAGACTCATACTGAATCTACTATTAGTGAAAGTATAGAAATTAGTAGACTACTTGACAATATAAATAAAATCAGGCAATCATGCAAAACAGAATAAGCTAAAAAATAAACTATACTGCCATTTGTGGTCATTTCTCATTATAGTCATCGAGTTTCTTATAAAGATGCCTGTTTTCAGAATTACAGTATGGTTGCTATAGTGATACACACTTTATAAATCATGTACAAAGCCTGTCTTCATTTCCACTGTGCTCTGAAATAATAAAGAAGATTATTAAAGTCACAAGAGTCTGTAAAGAACTGTGGCGAGAGCAAGTGAAACAACGAAGATGTTAAACGTTAAAAACAAAATTTCAAAAGATTCCTCAAAGATCTCATTAAGTATTTGCGGTAGCCTTGGGGTTATTCAACGATATTTTGGATAGTTTTCAGAACCTTCCTGAGAGATAAAATGTTGATGATTGATGATGAGTTGCTCATTGATATTCGACAGCACTGACAGTTTTCCTGTGTGATTTGGGATTATTTTCTTTCATAAGAGATGAATGGGTTAGAATCTCTGTGTTAGAATTTCAAACACAGAGTATCCCTTGAGGGGTTCAGTACTTTTCACATTTTCTTTCAATCTTTACCATTTTAGAGCCATATATAGTACATTTTTATTTCTTTAAATATAAAAAGAAATGATTTATACTCTGCTCTACAGTCAAAATTGTACTGGCTGCCACAGGTTGGAGAGGAATTATACAACATGTTACCACTTCAAAAGCAATTTTCTCTTATACGCATATTTGCCTCATGACTGTTTTTGTTTTTCACTGTGTTCATTGGGAGAGAAAGGTTTCAGATTACAGTTGTTAGATCCATTCTACTGGGAGAAGCTGAAAAACATTACAGAAAAGACCATGGAAAATTAATAGCAAGATTGTCCTCTGTCAAGAGCTTTCATCAGAGGGAGCCCCTGTTCAATTAACATTGCTTCAACTGGGAGAGACTTTCTCTTTCAATTGGCGTTTTAAATTGGATGGTTCTGCTATCACTCTATTTTCTATCATCTGTTTGTCTACTCCGTGGAATAAGCACTGCCAATACATTTGCAGAAACCAGCAGGGTTGACCAAACTGTAAATTAGGATATCATATGAAGTTCAGCGATAAGGGGATTATAAAACACCTAAAGATGACTGTTGTTTAATTGAAGGCTGTCCAGCAAGTGACACCTATTACCACCTCCAAGGGAGGGGTCTCACTGCGTGGAGGATAGAGAGTATCAGTGCCTACCACCAGAAGCAGTAGTTCCAGGATGTCACTCTCTTCCATGATTTTCAGGTATCAGAGTCACCAAGAAAGACATCTCAGGCACTGGACGAACAATGTTTTACTCACAAATAAAAGAGACAGAGAAAGAGAAGCTTCAATAGCATTGATTCCTCATGGCCAGCGGATCTCACTTCTCAGCTGATGCAGGCAAATGACTTCCACTTATTCCTCTCCTTTGCTGCAGGCAACATATTCCATTTCCTTTGTTAAAGTAAATTACAGTGGAGACCTGGCCTGCAGAATCCTTGAGCAGACAAAAACAGTTAAGTCTCATAAGTGATCTCAACCTTACCTGATTTCCAAACATATGCAAAACTTAACTGGAGTTATGTCATGTAAATGTCTATATTAAGGAAAAATCAAATTTAATCTCCACCAAGCAGAAGTGGCCAACATACTTATAATTATATAACTACGGATTTTCCACTGGACTAGTCCAAATAAGGCAACTGTGTCACTAAACCAACCAAACATTTTCTCTGCTTTACCTCTGTGTTTCTCCTTTAAAAGCTTCCCTGCCGTGTGCCACTGGTGGAGCTGCTAAACCACTTCTGATGTGAAGCTGCCTGATGCATGAATGAATGCTTCCTCAAATAAACTCTTTAAAATTTTATAGTGCCTCAATTTATCTTTTAAAAGTTTAATTTCAGAAATGTAAAAGGGATCCCTGATGACCCCCAGGAGGGATGAGTAACCAGGTATAAGTATCTGCTGAGCCCATAGTGCTCACTGCTTTCTCATCACATTTGGTGGTCACTGGGTACGTCCTTCTTGGATGTCAAGATCTGAAAATTGTGTCCTTAGCTCTCTAACTTTATTTGAGCAATTTTTATTTTAGAGGTTAGACTGGGCCTGACAAAACTGGACAAGGTCCAGTCTAGTGCATGTGCTTCCATGTTAGAAGGGCGAGGTTCAGAATCCAGACTGCCATCCAGAAGTCAAATTGTGTTCAGCAGGAACTGGACTCGGTTCAGTTGGAGACCTGTGATAAGCAAAATTTAAGGCAAAGTATTATCGGTTCATCAGAATCCAAGGAGTCTAGGACACTTTAATCTGGAACTCCAGCTAATTTTATGTTCAGAAGTCTTGGACCCAGACCTAGGTCTTTCTAAAGAAATTGGTGTACCTCAGGAAGACAAGGAATTACAGTAGCAACAAGGAAGAGGTTTTACTCCTTATGAAATTATTTTTGTATGGGTGCATTAGAAAAAAAGGACCCCCAAAACCTCAGAAACAATGAGATACATTTTTTGATTGGTATGTAGAAGCTTCCAAAACCCAGAATGACTCGAAAAATTAGTTTCTCTAAAAGAATCTTTACAGTGTGTAATGAAAAATTAACCTTAATCTTTAACATCAACTTTCTTTAAAAATTAGATCTTCAAATAAGACAGAAGAATCTGCAAACACAACTTTTAACTCTTAATCTTGCATATAAATCCAACCTATTATAAAAGCAACTGCTTAAGGTAAAGAGGAAAAAAAAAACTAATTGGAAAGAGACTGGATGTCTCCTCAGTCATTCATCTAAAATTTAGCCCACAGTCTCAATAAATTGACTCCTGATGATAAGCGAATATGCCCAGAACTCCTTCCTGGAGAATACTTAACATCCTTTCTCTCTGCCTTTGAGATGTCTAAATCATTAAAAGGCCTCAGGGAAATGACTTGTCAGAAACTGAGTAGAAAAAGGGAAACTTTTAAGAACTTAACTAGCAAATGAAAAATCTAAAAAGTTTCTTCCACAAATATCAATAGAAGGCGTTAGCCATCTAAACAGGCCAATATAACTACCAGAGACACAATTTGGATCTAGCTAGTGAGTAAGTACATTATTGTACCTGGCACATAGCTAAAATTTCAGCATAGAAGCCATGACTGTCTGTTTGTGTTTGTTTGTATGCTTATGTATGTCTTAATATATGTATATTATTTACTTATTTGTAATAGTATTCCACCCTCAGATGGTATTATTACAAATAATCTTGAAAGAGCTATATTTAATTGGACTAAGGAAAAAATGAGCATTTATATAAATTATTTTCTCAGAAAAAAAGGTACTTATCCAAATGCTTTTCAAGTTCATGACTTAAGTAATCTTTAATAAATAAGAATGTTGGTTAATTTAGTAAAATATTTTACTAGTCAAATAGGCTTGTTTTCTTTGTCACAAAGATACACAGCTTTACTAATCAAATAAGCTTGTTACCTTTGTCACAAAATGTATCAACAAGAAAAGTAACTTGAGATGACAGTTTTGTTTAATGTTATGTCTATATAAAAACAGTTTTAAAAATCTGTTTGATAACTTAAAATCTTAAAACTATACTTTGTTAAATTAAATAATAGATATTTATTAAGTATCTATATTATCTCCAAATAAGATTAAGTATAAAAGCATTAATTTTTGGCTGGGCATGTTGGCTTGGACCTATAATCCCAGCTATTTGAAAAGCCAATGAACATGGAAGACTACTTGAGGCCAGGAGATCGAGACCAGCCTGAGCAACACAGCAATACTGTCTTAAAACAAAACTAAATGTTAATTTCTGAAGATAATATTAACTTTACATATTTTTGGCTTATTTTAAAGAAGAACTAGAGATATTTGAGTCTGCTGGTAAGCATGTCCTAAACTATGAGGAGCCACATGCTATTGAAACAGTGAAATCATATACTTCCTTATTTTCACTAGATATTGGAGTTACTAAGGATTAAAAATTTTAATTAATATATACAATTAAAATGATCAGTAATAAGGATGCAAGAAATAAAACTGTATATAAATATGCATTAAAAAGTAGGATGTTCATTTAATAATGATAGAGGCAGGAGGCAGACAAATCCTAGGCAGACAGAAGTGGGTCCCTGGTGAAACTCCATCTTCAAGCCAAAAAACAGTCTGAAACCCACAACCTGGAGTGAGGACTTCTGTTTCCATTTGCCCACTCTTTCCCAACTGGTTCTTCCTGAGAAACGCTTTTTAACCCATCAAATGGTATCTTTTCCAATGCCACCTATGGCCCACTCATCCCCATTCTGTGCCTATAAAAGCCCTGGACTCAGACACATTGAGAGAAACCACCTGACTTCGGTGGAGGACCACCCTTGTGTCCCCTCACCACTGAGAGCTGCTCTGTCACCCAATAAAATTATTCTCTGCCCTTCTCACTCTTCAATTATCAGTGTGTCCTCATTCTTCTTGGATATGGAACAACAACTTGGGAACTACCAAATGTGTGTACAAGCTATAACACAGGTGGGTAGGGGTATGCCTGGCCCAGGTGCAGGCTGAGCCAGTGTGCAAACCAGGCATGGCCTGGGAAGGCTGAGTGTGTGGGCTGCCTCCTGCAGCAGGTAGTGTGCCCAAGCAAGGCCTCAGTTGGGGGTGTCTGGCTAGCAAAGTGACTGAGAAAAATCCTGTGTCATTTCTGGGCACTCATCTGGGATCCCTGAAGGGTGAGTAAATGTGGACCTAGACTCTTCACTTTTTTTCCAAGCCTTCTTGTCCTCAGACTTTTTCTGAAGGCTGATGAAGCACTGAACCTCTGATTAGCCAGTTAAGAGTGAACACACAGCTACAGAAGACAGGGTGCTGGAGAGGACCCTGCCACTGCCCCTGTTGCTCTCAAGGGTTGGGAATATTGGCTTTGTTCCAATTTAGTCTTTTCTATGGCAGTTTCCTTCTTTCTTTGGGGGCTGTGATGGCACCTATCTCTTTTTTTATAATGTTGAGGGTGTCATTGCAGGCTACAGATACATTACTGGGTAGGATAGGCAGTTGGCCCAGTCATCTAAAATGTGATTCAGAACAATGCAGTTTCTGTTTATTCTTAGAAGTGGAGAGGATGTAGCAATTAAGAGGTTTTTTTCCCCCTGTTGAAGGAAACCATTTGCATACAGCAATAGGCTTTTTGCCCCAAGGCACCTATCCCTTCCCTGCACTTAAGCTGTTTCATATTTTTTTTTCTCCATGATGTCAAGAGTTCACATAGCCCTGCAAATAAAATACAGGGAGCTTTTCTATGTGTGAGGGTTTTTTTGCTGATTTTGGGAGGCACCTGACTAGACGAGGTCTCCAATTCATAGGACTTTCTTTCTCTCCCTCCTTTGAGGAAGACCTGTTTCCACAACTTCACCTTAGCACACTGTTTATGATAAGAAAGCAGTGAAGGAGTAGCACCGCTGAATACTGGCTGCAGTTTGGCAAGGACCACTTGAGACTTAACTTAGTGAGTCCATGCACCTTCCTTAGGTAACTTTTTGTCCCAAACTCAATTCCAAGCTTCAGGTTGAAGCCCTAGAAAGGAAAACAGCAGAAGTCTAAGGGCACAGGGCAGATAAGCATGACTAATTCCTTCCAGTTACACTCCCTCCATTTCATGGACGAAGGTCCTGCCCATATTCATAGCATAGATGAGGTCTAGAGAACTCAAAGGTTACTGATGGCAGGGAGGATAGACCAGAACAGAGGTGAGTGCAAATATTTCTACCCTTTAGGCATCCCTGTTACATGGGTGAAGGCTGCATTGGCACCCATGGGTGGCACCTGCCAAGCATTGCCAGAACTCAGGGATAGAAGGACAGAAGAAAAAAAGGGGAAGCTTTTTATTTCCTCTCCCTCACCTACCCTGGGTGTTCGCTGGGAACAGAAAGAAAGTAAGGGATGCCTTTCTTCCTCTTTCCAGTTGGGTAACCAACCATCTTCAGTCTGTATTTCTCTTGAATGCATCATGAATCACTGGGACTTTTTTTTTTTAAGCCTTCTTTTTCGTATTTCCTCCTCTGTCCTCTCTTCACAGAGAAATCGCATCTCTGTACCACAGGACACTCCCCTAGGAAGCATCCCCTAAATCAGGAAAAGCTTAATTTCCCCAAACCTTAAACTGGCTTAAAAATGAACTGGGAAAGAATTACCAATTTAACTGAACATTCTCTTCAGGAGGGACAACTTTTACAATATGCAGATAATGTCTTTTTTGCTCCCCCTTTACAGGACTCCAGAGTCAAAAGGGCTCCATAGCTTCGGGGGAGAGATCCCAGAATCCTGACATGCCAGCAAAGGGGTAAAAGTTTTTTACTAGTCAGACTTCCGGCTTCTCTCTCTCGCTGTTTGTGCAAACTGAGAGATTTGAATGAATGGCAAAAATCACTGTTTATATCCTCTGTAAAGTTTTTGATTAATGGAAAAAAAGGATTTGTGAGGCTAGTCTTAAACTGTAGCCAATCTGGTGTGCTTTGTGTGTCTTTCTGTATGGTTCTGTCATAAGGAGGAATACCTTAGTATAGAACATGGGCCTAGGACCCTATAAGCCCACTGTTCAAGTCAGCCCAGCAAATTGGTCAGTAACAAACTTTGCTACAAACAAAAAGCTGAACGAAGTTTCCCTCTTGTCTTGTATGTCCTTGGGAGCTTGACCTTAAAACTACGTGGCTCTACTTTCTTTTGATCTCTGCCATTTTACAATGGCAGCCTGGGTTCAAACCTGGTTTAAGTAGTGAGTACTTTCTGGTTAATATCTATGGGACTTTTACCATTTGCTCATTCTTTTCCCCTCCATGAACAATATCTAGCTTTCTTTCTTAAATCTTCCTTTCTCTGAGCTACTTTTCAAGATTCTAGATTTTGTAAAAACTGCTTATCACTTCTTTGAAAATACCTCATACACTTGCAGTTAAGTCATCTCCTTATTTTGAGGCTCCTTGGTTTCACTGGTGAGGTTACTTTTGATAAAGTTCAAAAGCCAGAAATATTGCCTACTTGGTGTGGCTAAAGTCAGGTTATAAAGGATTTAAAAGGATTTTTTTTAAAGAGCTCTATGGTTAAAAGTAATCTTAATTAAGAGTGAATAGCCAAGCTATAGGTATATTTAAAAAGCCTTTATGTCTTTTTTTCTCTTCTTGGATCTTGTTTTGTTGGAAAAACTCTTTTTCTTCTCAGTCAACTGAATTATTTTTCTCCATTTTGTCTTTCCAATCTTAATGCATGCAAGAGAGGTCCTAAGATAGCTTCTGATAGCGTAGGACCACATGGGAAAAACAGAACCCATCATGGACCCCATTTTAGGAAAAAAAAAACTCTGTTTTCTTCATGGAGCCCCAAGAACTAAAAGTGGATAAATCCCTCTCAAAATCTGTTTTTGTCCTCCAGCTATATCTGCTTATTAGGCCCTAGAAACTGCATGGGTTTTTTAGCCATGTTTCTTCAAGGGCTCCACACAGAGGCCAGTAGTCCAATTAGGAGATTGGCAAGTAAGAAGTCTTACAACTACTGCATCTTTTTCTGTCTGTCTGTGTAGTTACATATGTGTTATATATGTGATGTTTTTATAAACAAGAGCTCTAATTGATTGACTTAAAGAAAATAAGCACTTAGATCAAATATTTTTAAAGGAAAAATAAAAGCTGCAATGTCTTTTAGTTCACATGACTTTAATCTTTTGAGAAATAAAAAGCAGTTTTAAAGATTATTGGTAAAATACAAATGTCTTCAACATGTAAATACATGGTCTAAATTATGCAGGTCAAATACTAAGTTTACTAAATGCTTTAAGCTCATAAACTGCTTCTTTCTTCAGCTTTTGAAAATTGTTCGACTTGCCTGCTTTACTGTTTGGTAAGGCCTGGGGACACATGGAGTTAACCACATCCCTGACTATGCTGGAAACAGTCAGACTTTATCTGTGCCTAGTACAGAATTAAAACAACTTACCAGGTTTTACATTAAAATTAAAAATTGCTAAGAGTTATCATTATAACATATAATGGAGATTACTGAAAAGAGATTGCATGCAAGGTATTTAAGGAAAGTAAGATGTGTTATTAGTAAAAGATTATAAGAAGGCATGGAAATGTAAAATTTTTGCCTAGTTTAGATGGTTAAAGGACTGTTTTAAATTAAATGAGATAAAACTAAAGGTTTAAACAAGTTGTGGAAGGTTTGTAAAAATTAATCTTGTAAAATAAACTCGTGTATTAACATATTGACTAAGTTCAAAAAGGTATTATTATTTGTTTTTTTCATACACTAAGCATTGTAATAAAAACAAACAAGGTTTTCTTAAGGCATTAATCTGGTCTTAAAAAAATTTATAAAGGGTTATAAAAGGTTTATAAGAATCTCACCTCATGGACAAACAGATTAAGATTGGATAGAATTATCTATTATATTTCATTAAAAAAACTGTAGTTGACATTTATAGTAGACTAATGTGAGGGTGAAATTTGGTTTTCCCTCTCTTGAATGAGATTTTCATGTAATATTAAAGGATAATGGAATATTTTTGTTTGCCTTGCAAATAAACTACTGAAAAAAGAAGGGAAATAAAAGAGACGTTGTTTGGAAAGCTGTCTTCCCTCTTAATGAGTAAAGGTTGATGCCTTTTAAATAAAACTTGGAGTCATCATCTTGACGAAATAAGTTACTTAAGGTAACTTTGAATTATTTTTTATAATATCAAAGTGTTTTTAAACCTTTAAAATATTTAATAGGCTTCCCAAAATCAAGTTTCAGCTTTTAAATTGTCTTTTCTGACCACTAATGTTTGGATGCCTCAGAGGGCCCTGAAACATTCAAAATAGAGATAAACAGGATTATTTAACCTGTTTAGTTACATGGGAGAGCCAAAATAAAACTAATGTTTAACCTTCTTCAGGTTATATTTTAGTGAATAATAATATATGTTCAAAAATCATATGAGATTTTGAAAATTCTGATGTCTGAATATATGCTATCAATCATAATTAGAGTTATTATGTTAAATTATTATAAACTGCAGAAATAACCAACTTTCTTTGTCAATTTTGTTTTTATCTATAACTACCCTGGAAATTTTTATCATTCACAGACAATTGCTATCTTGTTTTGATCCTTTTCAAAAGATGGTTTCTAATTAGCTATGGGACTTTGACAGGTGCTCTTAAGTTCAGATTTCTGATAATTTTTAAGATTGTGACATTGGAATAGAGGAAAATGTACAGGACTCATGAAGAGCTGAAATGTTCATGAATATCAAGTAGAACAAGAGTTAATGGAATAATATGAACTAACAGAAAACTGAAGTAATTCTTTTTAACTTTTTGCTTAAAATGTTGCTGATCCTTTGTTTTTCAAAGTCAGAAAAACTTTTATTTTGAGCTATTTATAGCTTTTAATATTTGAATAAGATATATTCCTGTGAACAAAACTTGGAGCATATTTGTTTCTCTCTGCCTGGTCTCTTCAAAATTTGGAAGCTGCTTCTGAATATTCTTAACTTATGGCAATATAATTATTTGCAAATTGCAGTAAGAATCCATTTCTTTTACAACAGGATGCAATTGGAAAAACTGGTTGTTTCACCAAGGTTTTGACTAGAAGGTCATCTTTCCCTTTAAGAAATCAAGCTTGACTTGCAGAGCCAATAAAAGCCTCATGGGAAAAATGGCCTCATACCTTGTCTACACAGTCCCTGTACAGAGTTCCCAACCTGTGATGAGTAAAGAATGTCACTTTCTAATAGGCCCAGGAACCCCAAGTTTTCTTGAGACCTCAATAAGACAGGAATTTTCCCAACTCATAGGTATTTGTGGGTACAAACCCATGGCTGGGTTCGGCTTAAAAAAGTCTTATCTGAGATTCCTTATAGAACAGGGTTCCATCTAAGCCAGTTTTTAAAATCCTATGTGAAAATAATTATTCTTGCTGCACTTTATGCAAATAATCAGGCCCAGTATAAAATTAAAGTTTATTTTGCAAACAACTCAGCCTTATCATGATTTGTTTTTCAGACAAATGAGGACTGGAGAGAGAAAAGTTATGTTTCAAAACTTATACACTTGTCATTAAATTCTAGTTTCATTAGTTGTCTTCAAGTTTTTGTCTACATTTTGGACTAACCCTGCTTATTCCTGTCAACCAACCAGTGATCTCTGGTTGCAGCTCAGAAGGAACAAGAGAGATGGGTAATGTAAAAATCTGTATCAATATTCTACTTCCAGGCAATCATCCTGCAAATCCTGCGAGTTGATAAGAATAAATAGGTTGCACATAACGAAGAGGTTTCTTTTTGGGGAAAATAAAAGCAAGGAAGCTAACCAAAGCCAAACACCATGCACCCAGATCTTAGTAGACATAACAATAGCCACCAGTTATCTGGGCTTTTTGGCAGCCTCAGGGGTTTTGAGCTGTCCTTACTTTTTTGTTTCACTTTGATCCATGCTTCTAATAATCTGGTTTGTCTCTTCTTGCCTTCAGGCCATCAAACTCCAAAAGGTCATGCAACTGGAGCCTCAGATGATGGCTGACTTTTACCAGGAACCCTTAGATAGGCCTCTGACTGCTGTTTTCCCCAAATAGTGCCCCTTGTCAACAGGAAACAGTTAAGATTGGCCATTGTCCTTATCCTAATGGCAGTTAGATGTACCTCTTCAGATGGGAGATAGATAGAGGCAAGAGGCAGACAAATTCTAGGCAGACAGGAGAAGGTCCCCAGTGAAACCCCACCTTTAAGCCAAAAACAGCCTGAAACCTGTGACCTGGAGTGAGAAATTCTATTCCTGTTTGCCCACTCTTTCCGGATTAGTTCTTCCTGAATAGTGCTTTTTAACCAATCAAATATTACCTTTTCCAGTGCTACCAGTGACCTGCCCCTTCCCATTCTGTGCCTATAAAAGCCTCAGATTCAGCTACACTGAAAGGGAAACCACCTCATTTTGGGTGGAGGACCACCCCATGACCCCTGTCTACTGAGAGCTGCTCCGTCACTCAATAAAATTATTCTCTGCCCTCCTCACTCTTCAATTGTCAGTGTATCTTCATTCTTCTTGGATGTGGGAAAATAACTCGGGAACTGCCGAATGTGGGTACAAGCTATGACACAGGCAGGCGGGGGCATGCCCGGCCTAGCCACAGGCTGCACCGGTGCACAATCCAGGCATGTCCCATGTGGGCTGTGTTGGCTGGCTTCCTCCCACAGGAGGTAGCATGCCTAAGAGAGGCCCAGGCAGGGAGCATCACCAAATGGAGGTCCCTGGCTGGCAAAGTGAAGGAGAAAAATCCTGCATCAATAAGAAAAGTATGGGCCGGGCGCGGTGGCTCAAGCCTGTAATCCCAGCACTTTAGGAGGCCGAGGTGGGCGGATCCCGTGGTCAGGAGATCGAGACCATCCTGGCTAACACGGTGAAACCCTGTCTCTACTAAAAATACAAAAATTTAGCCAGGCGTGGTGGCGGGCACCTGTAGTGCCAGCTACTCGGGAGGCTGAGGCAGGAGAATGGCGCGAACCCAGGGGGCGGAGCTTGCAGTGAGCCGAGATTGCGCCACTGCACTCCAGCCTGGGCGACAGACCGAGACTCCGTCTCAAAAAAAAAAAAAAAAGAAAAGTATGTAGGAATATTCTCATTTTTATGGCAATATGAGAATATCCATAAGTTCAATTAGAATCTATTTTCCTTGTAATAGGACATAATTGGGTTAGTTCTTGCCTTAGCTTCTTAGCCCATGGAGCTTTTTAAAAGTCCAACCAAAGATTCCTCATTACCAGCTAGTTTTAAAAAATTAAGGCTGACTGATACTAAGTCAATAAAAACCCTTGGATACTAACAAAGCTCCAGCTAAAATATCTTATTTTAAAATATACATGACATTATTATTCTTGTTACATATATAAATACTCAAGTTAGATAAAAGTAGATTTATTTTGTAATTACTTTTGACAAAAATAGAAACCACTGAAAAAAGGAGATTATGTTTTAATAGAAAACTATAATGCACCCATGATCAGATTCTGGTCCTGTTCATTTTCTTTGAGGTTTTCTTATCCAACTGTAAACTGAATTGAATCCTACATTTTTCTAGTTTAACAAAAAACTAAAACTGCTCTTTTCCCAAGCCTGGCAAGCTGAAACTGGAAGACTTTAAACCTCATAAAAATCAGTACAACATATTATGTGTGGACATCCTTCATGCCTACTGGTATATTGTTTACTCTGAGAGTTCATTAAAACACCAAATGACATATCCAGAGACATTCAAAACTGCAAACCAGGAAAATACATCAGATTGCCACTGTAATTGTCATTTCACAATCTAAAGATGCTTCAAACTCAGATCTAGAAATCTTGACTAGCTGTCCTCTGAAATCAAAAATTAAGATCAAACCTTTCTCCAAATATAAAAATTTGTTTATTGTTTGTTTTCATAGGATGATACTTTGAATTTCCTCCAGGCAATACCTGTAATGTACAATTTAGCCTCAGTAGTACTCCAAAATAGAAGCCTTTAATGCCTAAGAGCTTAAGAAAGAGAAGCTTGTGCTCTTATTGATAAAAATGTTGTTTCTATGTTAATAAATTAGAAATTGTTTCCCTAAATGTAAAGCCTTTTAAGGAGCAAATATATCTTTCATCAGATAGGTGCCGCCTCTTCCATTGATTTATTTAATTGGTTAAACTTTGGCTCCTGTCAATCCCTATTTCAGAGAATTTTTCAATATTTGGCTATTATTCTCCTTAAAGTCATTGTATTCACCTCCCTGTTGCGTTGTATTTCCTCAAGGGCTTTGAAACATATTTTTAAATGCTTTCCAGCAACCACTTACACATCAAATGATTGTCATTAGTTTAGACAAATTGAAGAGCTCAACAACTCAACCACTCAAGCCTATGACATAGATATTGGTCACTATATGACCTTACATCACAATGCAATTGTTGATGATGAAAATATCTATATGACTCTTCATTCCAGAGAGTCTATCAATAGCGATAACTGTGCATAACACTATACTATTTGCTTGTTGAGAAGATAACCAAAATGGAGCATTGTTAAAGTAAATTAAAATGGAGACCAGGCCTGAAGAATCTCTATGCAGACAAAAATAGTTAGGTCTCATAAGTGACCTCAAACTTGCTTGATTTCCAAACATAAGCAAAACTTAATTTCAGCTATTTCTTGTAAATATCTATATTGAAGAAAAACAGAACTTCAACTCAACTTATCAGAAGTAGCAAACTTAAAATTATATAATTAAGGTATTTCCAAAGGCATAGACCGAATAAGTCAGTTGTATGACTATAAGCAATAAAGTTCTTTCTCTGCTTTACTTCTGTGTTTCTTCTGTAAAAGCTGCTCCTTTCATTCCCTTGGTGGGGTTTCTAAACAACTTCTGGTTTGAAGCTGGCCAATGAATGATTCATTATTTGCTCAAACTCTTTTAAATTTTATTTCGCCTCTGTTTACTTCAACACCTCTTTGCTGGGAGTGAGTATAGAACTGAGGTTGGCCAGGTGCCATATGATGCTCTCACTTTAAGAGGACAAAAGAGAACACATTGAATCCAGAAAAGAGAAAAGTATTTCTACACAAAACGATAAGTCTAGTGAAGGCTGTGAGGGCTCTTTGTCTCTTGAATAGAAAGGTTCCAGCTCTGAGACCCATTCTTAAGTGACCAAGGCACTGTATGAAGACTACATGCATATGAGTGACTTTTATAATAGTCCACCCCCATTGACTATTACTCAGCCACCAAAATAACAGATAAAAGACATCAACTCTGGTAGAACCATTGCCCAACCCAAATTTGGAGGCAGAGCTAAATAAATGTGGACCCCATACAACTCATATGTGTACATTTGTTCTCAGAGCTTCCCTGTCATTTTGAGACAGCATTTTACCAGGGTCACTAGGAGAACCAGACCCAGGAAGATAACCAGGTCTCCCTGGAAAATGGTCTTCAACCAGGAAATCCAAGTGTTAGGCTTAGGATGACTATAAAGAGGTAAATAATTGAGTCTAGTGGGGACTGCAGGTGTACAGCTGATAAGCATCCTGCTTGGGCTTAGGTCTTTTCCAGCCCAGTTTTTACCTTCCCCAAAATGTTAACATACACACAGTAAGAGGTATTGGCAGTAACACAAACATTGTTTCATTCCATCAACAGACAACGGGCAATTTAGAACCATTAGGTTGTTCACCACCTTGACTGGTGAGTTTAGTGGGTCCTGTTTGTCTTGACTGATTTGAAAAGGGTCTGAGTTGTTGTGTACCAGCCAGCCCATTACAATGGGAGTGTGGGATAAGGCGACTCCAGTCTGGGGTGACGAATCTAGCATTATTTAAGATTGCACATTGCATCTTTTCACCACAGCTGTCCTGGTTCTTTTCAGGGTGTTTTTGTGCCAGGCACCACAGTGTCTTCTGGAGAAATGAAAAAAAAAATTAATGTTCCCACTCACCTTTTGCTTTACAAACCTCCTAAAGTGGAAGATGCTCTTATCTAATAACCTAGAGTGAGGATTGCCCAAATGTAGCTACCCAAGCTACCTGCCATAGTCGTGAGGTTACAGCTTCTGTGAAGACCCATTGTTTCTGTCCCTTGACCCATATAGTTTGGCCTTAGTTGTCTAATCCAAGAAGGAAGGTTACGCCCTGATCAAATTTGACATATCCTGTAATGTCACATGCCTAAATTGAGGGATCAAGAGTACCAAGTACAACCAAGAAAACACAGCATGTCCATATATTTTTACCCCTTCCTCATTCCTGTGGGGCACCACAGGAGGGAGATGCCCGAAGGTAGTGTTGCCTCCAGGTTTGAATCAGAAAGCCCTATTGGTGCATCACTACAGCCTAGATCACAAGCCACCCTTGAGGAGTATGTTTCAGAAGAAACAATGAAAGAATGGTGGTGTACTAAAATTGGGATTTCACAGGCATAGCCTAATTATCCCACTACCTGGCCCTTTGTGCCCTCTAAGCTCAGTATTTCTTAACATGTGTTGCAATGCCATGTTTCCCATGCTGGAGTGCAGTGTTTAATTTCCAAATGCCTTTTTTAGATGGGGATGTCTTCTGCTAAATTATTTTTCCTGAAGATCTTTGTGTAGTTGAGCCTCTCATTCCATCATGCTAACACTCCATTCTCCTGGGGTTCCATCCAATGCCATGGGAGCGTGCACACTGCTGCACAGCTTCTGCAGCAAATGCAGTGTCTCAGTCATACTGAAGTTTTGTTAGATATCCAAACATGGCTGAGGTGGGGTTTTTTTTTTTTGTCACAATAATAGTTTTTGCATTTACATGGTGCCTTGAAATGGCAGTCCCACATCTGAAGTATGTGTTCATGGCCATAAGGCACCACCAGAAATCATGGCTGGAAACTAATGGTCTGATGTGGTCAATTTGTCACACTTACATGGGTCCCCTGTCCAGTGAATATGGCTCAATTAGCTGCATTGTATAGCCTGGGCTTGTTGGTGGGAGTCATATGAGTGTGCTGCATTTTGGGGGGTTGTTTTTTTGAGGGTCAGTCCTCCCATTTGGCTCATTCTTGCATCTGAGTTGGGCTTCCATGTCCCACTTTGTGGTGAATCCAATGGGCAATTATTAAAATTTGTTGAAGGCATGCTAGATCAGCTTGTAAATTCCATTTGTGTTTTCTTTTGAATGGTCCTTTGTCATGGGTGGCATGACATGGGTATCACATGAGTGGTAAATAAATATCTCTTGCAGTTCAAAAGTTGCTATCATAGTCCCCGTTCCTAAACAGGAGCGCCTTTAATGGTCCACTTATTAATTCATCAGTCATTGGACCATATGGCTAGCCCATTTTCAATGACCCATGAGTCTATAAATATGTAGCAGGAATTTGCTGTTGGAGTAGCCAGTACAGCCATCAGTACTACATGGACTTGGCCCATTCAGCAGAACATCTCATCTGGTCTCAGTCAAAATATGACCATCCTTGGGGCAGGGGCTGCAGTGGCCCAGTGGTCTCCATCAGCTTTGAATTTCATATATCCATCCATGAACCAAGCCATATTATCAGCTGGAACATTTTTAAACTGTGGGATTCATTTAGCTAACAGAGGGACAGGGGTATCTCCTATGGGTATTTTGACCTCCTCCAGTGAGGCGGCTACATATTCATGGAGTTGGCTGACTCACTGAGGCCTTGGTCTAACATTATTTTGGATGTGTTATTTTCATTTAATGATGGAGCTTTGCTGAGCCTATTTTACACTATTAGTGAAATTTGTGAATACCCACATGAGGATAAGTTGCTCAGGTCTTTAGGTGACATATGTTGCTCTGTTTTCATTAGGGCCCAACAGCAGGCTAGTGGTTGCCATTTGAAGAAGTTGTACCTAGGAGCTGCCTCAAATAATTTACATGTTTGATAGGTCAAGTCATTTTGGTAGCAGTATCTCATTGCTATAGGCTCCAATCTATATGAGTAGGAGTCACTGAGACTAGCAGTTCCATAAGGCTGGCTAGCTTCATTGATCCCAGAGGCTGGGCCCATGCCATGGCAAGGTTCATGGCCTCAAGAGTCTGCTGCTGTTGGGGCTCCATTTAAAGGTGGCCACCTTATTGGTAACCTTCAACAGAGGGATCAAAAGAATATGCTCATGTGGTGCATATTATTGCCAGCAGTCAAACAGGCCTGCCAGCCATTGAGTTGAATCTCTTTTCATTGGTGGGATCTGTTAAGGGCAGCATTTTTCATTTAACCTTGTCAGAAACATTTTTCTGATTATTGGCCCAGGAGGTTCCCAGGAACTTCACTTGACGAGCAGGTTCCCGGACTTTATCAGAGGTGATGACCCAATCCTTATGTATCATAGTATCTTATGACTTTGTGTAGGGCCTGATCAATGTGTTCCTTAGGCCAGCAATGAGAATTTCATCAATATAATGAATGACAAGTACTCCCGGGGATAATCAGACTTTTTCAGATGTAGCCCTACCACTGATGGCAAACTGCAGGGGAATTGTGGTATCTCTGTCAAAGTAAGATGAAAGTATACAGCCAGATACTTTCCTGCAGTATTCAAGATAAGACCAGCTTGAATGCAAGCTGGTCCTATCTTCTTCCCATAGAGAGGTCAAGAAGAAGGCATTAGCCAGATTTATAATAGCGTATCAGTCTCCCATGTGGTGCTACCACCCAGGTTACAGTGATAAATGTTAAGTATCGCAAGACATTCAGCCTGCAGTTGTCCACTGTCAGCCTCCAGGCTTGTAAGACTTTTTTTTTTTTAATAGGATCATATTGGATTGTTAAACTACAACAGAGTGGTATATGGCACTCCTGCCTGCAGCAAGTCCTGAATTAACACACTAACAATTTTTTCTCAACTTGCTAGGAGGTATTGCTTTTGTCAAATAGCCTGTTGGGACTTGGTTAACTTAGCTGGCAGGAAAGAAGTGGATATGCCTCACTGTAATGATTCAAATCCTTTATTGTGAGAAGGAATTCCCCCTGAGGTGTCACTGATGTTCCACGCTGCTAGTGGCCAAAATATCAACACCTATAGTACATTTTCAGTGTTAGGAACCATGATCACAGCTACCTGAAATGGCCCAAAGGGCTCTGCCCATAAGTACAAATAAACTTATCTGCCATGGATCATCATGTTCATCCCCCAAACCTACAATGTTACCAGTTTACCCCTATTCCTTTGGAGGTCTGGGATTACTATCACCTGGGCACCAATATCCAAGAGACCCATTAAAGTTTGAATTCATTCCCCATTTTTTCCACCTTGATAAGGCATAAGGCTGCTGGTTTTCTCTGACATGTTGGCCCCATCTCTTGTCCTTTTCCTGGAAAGAGGTAAGATCTGAGTGCATGGGAGGGGGGATTTTCCTCCTCGTCTTACTTTTTGTGCTCCCAGTCTGAATAGTCTTTCCTTATTGTCCTGGTCAGGGAGTAGGGAAGCCTTAGCAACTTGTACATTCCTCATCCCTGGACTGTGTCCAGAGACTTGGAGGGTTTCTATGTGGGATTATAAGTCTTTCCAACCTTTGGAAACCTCTTTTCCTAGCCTTTCTTTGACTCAGGCTACAATCCTAACCTCCAATGAAGAGAGATCCCCTTCCACTTGATAGTGTTGGTGGGGGTCTCTTGTTATGATCCCGTCTATTTTCATTTTGTCTATTCCCTATTTTAACAACAAAAGCTATGATATTCTGAGAGTTGGCCATATTTTCCCCCTTTTTCTTTTCCTTTTTACCTTCTGGACTCCCGTTTTGACCATTTGGGCAAAGCTTCTCATGGTTGTGTTCTCATTGATCTAGGACAAATCCCTAGAAACTACCATTTTCTTGCTTTTTTCACAAAGTGGGACATTTCTGTAGAGCTTCTCCTCAGGTGTCCCTGTAGTCATTTCAGGGGACAAGAGTAGAGAGATGGGAATCTTTCACTGGGGAGGACTCTGTCACATAAAGTCCTCCAGTGCGATCAGGAATAGACTGTGTCATCTATGTCTCCAGGGGCAGGTTCATATAGCCAGGTGTTTATGGCTTTCACCCTTTAAAACAGCTATGACCTCATGAATATTTTTAAGGGGTATTACTCTTAAGGAAGTCCTGTGCAGTTGGAGCCACCACTCTTCTATTCACTGCCATCCAGATCAAAAGTGACATGGGCTTATCTCTGTCCTTGTCATGTTCAATGTGGGCAAAATGCACTGCAGCAGGTGGTCAGTAGTTAGTTTTCCCAGACTGTGCTATTAGGCCCCAGGCATTTGGATATACAAGCTCCCTCATTAAATAGGTGCACCAATCAAGTCACATAGGACTTCCATGGCTTCTGCCATATCTAGCTCTCAGATTTTGTATTCCACTCTCAGAGAAGAACCTCATTTTAACAGTTTCATTTGCAGCAATACCATCAATGATTTTGCCTTGAGTGAAAACTGGCTTTACTTGAGGTCTGCAAGTGACCTGGATTGGTTGGAGCTCCCTGAAGGGTCCTCTCAATTCCCTAAGATATTGTCTCTGATCCTTGCTGATGTGGTTTGGCTGTGTCCTCAAACAAATCTCATCTTGAATTCCCACGTGTTGTGGGAGGGACCTGGTGGGAGGTATCTGGATCACAGGGCCAGGTCTTTCCCATGGTGTTCTCCTGGTGGTGGGTGGGTCTCATGAGACCTGATGGTATTATTAGGGGGAGTTTCCCTGCACAGTTTTTTCTTTGCCTACTGCCATCCATGTAAGAAGTGATTTGCTCCTCCTTGCTTTCCACCATGATTGTGAGGCTTCCCCATGTGGAACTGTAAGTCCATATCAAATTTATTTTTTGTAAATTGCCCAGTCGTGGATATGTCTTTATCAGCAGTGTGAAAATGGACTAATACACTTGGGACATTGTGGGAGTTTGAAGATAGCCTAGAAGTACAAAAGCAGCCAGAAGTCAAGGTATAGTCTTTGTACCCTTCCAGGACCCACTTCTAGAATCTCTGTCCTTTTCCATTGCACCAACTCATCAATGTTGACAGGAATGACATTTCCATGTGGCCAGAGGGAAGCCAGCACCTCAGTCAGCCTGTCCTCCCTGCCCACCTCCCAGGGAACTAGTGCCTCTCTGGAATGGTTGCACTGGCGAATCCTTGCACCTCTACCATGCCATGACAACTTTGTTGGTGACCTTGCTTGCTACATCAAATTGTAGAGCCAGTGGCATCTCTTGCCATATTCAGTGGAGGATCCTCACCACATGGAGGATGGGAAATAGCACAACAATATATATTACAAGTAGCAGTAGCCTCAAGATGTCAACTCTGGTTTTCAGGTGGCAACCCTAGATTGCCAAGAAGACATGAACTCAGACATCATTAGGTCCTCTCTGGCCGGTGAGTCTCCTTTCATAGCCACAGAAGATGGTCTGCATATACCCCTCTTGCACTGCAGGTCAAAGACCCCATATCCTCCCTGCTGCTAATGGATATAATAGTGGGGTTGGCCAGGTGCAATATGACACATGCATTTAGCATGCCAAAAGGGCAAACACTGAGTTCAGAACAGAGAAAGATACGCCAGCCCAAGGTGCTAAGCCTAGCACAGGCGGGGAGGGATCTCTTTATCTCTTGGCAAGGAATTACTCCAAGCCCCAGGCCCATTTCTGTGCTGCCTAACTAGGGCAGGGAGACTGCACACTTAACTGCCTTTCCCCATAAAGGTATTTAGAGTTCCTATTTCAGTGTAGATAGATTCTGTACATGGGAACTCTTCTTGGGGAACAATGACAGGTTCATATTTAAGGCATGCAATCAAAAATCAGTATTTTCCAGCATATTGGAACTTATTTGATTCATGTGTAGATTCTATTTAGGCTAGAACTTGTATATTCATTCATATGTATGTGTTATGAATAAAATGTAGACAAGAAAATTGTTATTTAATTATTCTGTCAATGGAGAAAAAGTGAACTGTATTAGAAAACTAGTTGTATGTAAGAGAGTTCATCTATATGTGAATTGTTTAAGTGGGTTTGTTTTTAGTGTTGATCTAAGTATCATATATGATTATTTACGTGTTGAGATAAAAATGTGTGGCAATGAATGACAAATTAGTTTTGTAAATGTATCCTTACAGGTATCACATGTGGATATGCATCTGAGGGGCTGTTTTTGATAGTTAAAATGGACTTGACATTTTCCTGGAGAAGTTGCCAAATATCATATCCATTTCTAGACTGTGCATTATCACACAACTATGTTATGTTGTCCAATCTATCTTTAAGTTTATTTTTCCTCTATTCTATTCTTCCTCTTTAATGAAAAGTTTTTTGAGTGAACTGTAAGCTAGTTGTTATATACATATAATAAATTACATGTTTGGAGTATTGCATCCAGGTGAATTATTGTATTTCATTATAAGAACTAATTTCCAGTTATTGAATCTAAACCCTTTTGTTCTTCAGAATTATACAATCTTAGCCTTCTGGGTTGATTAAATAATATATTTGAAATTATTTGTAATTGTGAAAATGTTACAGATATAAGATAATCATATGTTCTATTATTGATGAGTGTATTCTCTGGTTCGACAATGCTATGGTAAGTGTAATTGCATTGTTTCTATTTATATTTTCTTATAAAACCACTAGATTACCAGATGAAGTTTGATATATAAACTCGGTCTTTTTCCAGTATTGTTCAGATATGGAAGAATTTTTAGATAATCACAAAATATTCTGCTGTCATCTATGTTCCTGATCATATCTAGGTCTATTAATAGTATATTTTTGCCACTCTAGTGATGGTGGGGAATATATCACACAATAGCATTAGGGGCATTATTATTCTCTCATGTAAACTAAACACTTTGTTAAGTGCCAGAGAGAACATTTGCTAGGGATCCAACTATTTCTCACCGATGACTATTTCCTCTACTCCTCCAATATGACATGTACCGTTAGGATTATCTCCAGTTCATATACTCAAACATTAAATTGCATTAAACAAAGCAACTGATAATACCATTCTAAATTTTATAATATTCAGAAATTAATTTTCTAATTTTTCTATTTTAATGATTTCCTTTAAACTTAATTAACTTGTTTGCATATGAGTTTGACATGAATTTGTAGTTGACTAATAAGAAAAATCGTATCTATTTGTGTTTAGTATGGAGAGATGTGAGTTTTGTGTCATATCTTCAGCCTGTAACTTGGTGTTTGTGAGAGGCTTATGATAGTTCTGTAAACTTCTCTTTTTCTTTCATCAAAACCAGACTGACAGCATATGTTAATCCAAGAACACTTAAAAATTAATTATTTAAGAAGTGCTTTGAGGTATCTAAGAGAAAGATTTATTATTTGTAGTTCTGTTGAATACAATATACACTGTATTATTTAATACATTTGAGCTTTCTGGTTTTTTTATGTATTTTATAAAACATCAAAGTATGCACTATCTTAGGGAGATTGAAGTGGTTTTAGGGAGTGCTGGATTAGAAGGCAAAGGAATACAGCAGCAGTGATTAATAAAGTTTGCTCCAATTTGTAATGCTATGATCATTCATTTATTTTTCCTTTAACAAATTTATATACCAAGAAGACACATTTCAGGAATAATAATAATGCCTAATTGAAATTCTTTAGCTTCTGAGAAGTCTGATAAAAATAGAAAGGAGTAAATTTATTTCTCATTTCATCAAATAACAGTCACACACATAATCTTCTAATAGAATTATCAACTTTTCATAATGATATCAAATTTTACAACTGTGTGATAATAACTTTGAACCAAAATTATAAATAATATTTTTCATTTAATTTATGGACATGCATAACTTCCACTGATAGGTCTAATGAACCTCAGTGTTGTTGTCAAAAAGTCTGACTATAATCTTTTCTTTCCTTTATGAGTCAGATGCTCTTTTCTTCTATGTGTCCCCAAAATATATTGATTCTTTCTTTTTTCTAACTTTCATAATTTTTTTTAGAATATGCTCTGGTATTGATGAAAGTCAACATTTCAAGGCACACAGTGTTATTTCTCAATATGTAGCTTTTTGTTTCTTTTTCCTTAAAAAAAAGTTTAAAGTTATGTTTTAGAATGTATATTTTATGTCCTTGCTTTGGTTTTCTTTTTCAGGGGCTCTTATGATCTACAGGTTTAAATTTCCTTATCTATTTTCAATATCTTGACTATTTTTTTTCTAAATCCTTTTGTCTCCTTTTAGAAATTTATCTGTTTGTTTTAAATTTCTTTTTACTTTCTATTTGTCTTAATGCATTATTTTATTGTTGCGTTCTTTTGTTTTAATGCTCTTTTTTAACTATTTGTGTTAATGCATTATTTTATTGTATTCTTTCGTCGTCAGTACTAATTTCTTAAATCGTTAGTACTAATTTCCTAAATATTTTTCTAGTATCTTCAATTATTTCTTGAGTTCTGAGATCTCAATTCTGAGTTTTCTATTTCTGATTTATGTTGCTCTTTCATGTCTTGTATTATTTTATTAATGTCTTTTAGTTCATTTTGAAATAGTAGGTTATAGTTTTGATCTCTTTTGTGCACCAGTCTTTCTGGCAAGCTCTCCTTGTCTGTACAGATAGTATTCTTCTTTATTCTCTTTATTATTATAATAACTTGGCATGCATGCGATTTGATATTTATGCTGTTCTCTTTTTCAATTTTAGGTGAAATAAGATTTCCTGAGCTTTTCAATGGAACAGAGTTCAACTAAACTTTTCCATCTTCTCAGAGCTCCTGCTTTGGATATTTTACATCCAGAATTCAACAGTGTGGTAGATTGCTTTCTGTGAAATCCTGGCTATCTTCCCTTCCCTAGTGTAGTCTGGACCTTCCCTCTTGTTCATCTGTTTCCCCTATCTTGTTGAATCTTTATTTCCCTTGCAGCCGTTGCTCCCCAGAGCAGGGGCTTATACTAGAAGGAAGCCTTCTCTGTTCAGTTCTGAGAGTCACCTGGCACTGATATGCTCTGTCTCCTCTGGCCTTCTTACTACTGGTACCCGCTACTGGCTGCTCATCCAAGCCCTCAAGTTTCAGGTGCTTTTCTCAGACAGGCTATCTGTGGTTTTCAACAAATTCATGTCGGCTATATTGGGGTCTGTGGATGTTCTGTCAGAAGCTTCCCTTGTGGCTTTCTCCTTCTTTCCCACAGACAGGTTTGACACCAATTGCTTGAGGTTTGGGGTTGAAGGGGATACCTTTTTTTAAATTAAGTTTAGCCTACAGCTACCTCCTTACATAGTTTAAGTTCAGCCTAAAGGTCTCTCCGTACATAGTGAACTGTAACCTAACTGGGTGTGTACACAGACTGTAACCTACCCATCTCAACAATCATCGAGATGGCCAAATGTTCAAGCCATGTTCAAACAAGGCAAACACCAAGTTGTAACCACTCCAGCTGTTTCTGTACCTCACTTTTCTTTTTCTGTCCATAAATCTACTTTGACCATGTGCAAGAGTCTTTCTGAATTTATTCTGGTTTGAGGCTGCCTGTTCTTTGCTCTGTTAAATTTAATTTGTTGAAGGTTTTTCTTTTAACACTTTTCACCTAGTTTGGCTATAAATGGGGTTTGTGGATGTGTTTTGCTATCCATTGCTCTGTCTGTTTTTCTGGGGAGATGGAAAAAATATGCTGCTGTTGTCTTTGCTACCTTTCTATGTCTCTAGTTATTAAAAATTATTAAATTCTAATATACATAGAGAAAAATGAATATAATGTGTAGCTTTAAATGTAGATTACCTGTGTTACCAGCACCCAGATAAAGAAATATAACACTAGCACAAATTACCTTAATGCTGAGATAATTTTAGAGATATACACACATAAATATTTTCTGGATAATTTCAAAATCTCCAGTCCATAATTTTCTCTCAGAATTCCTCTTAGCAGATAATAGCTTTAAAAAAAAGTACATCTACATTGAAACAGGTTTAGTAGTTCAACTGAAAATACACAGAAAGACCTTCTTATGCATAGTTAAGTCATCCTTTAAGTCTGTATTTTTGCTTTAACATGTATATAAGTAATCTTTTTTCTTCTAGGTAGAGGATTTCAGATTTGAAAACAGCATTTTGAACCTGAGAAAATATTTAATATGTTTGGATTGATTAAAATCTAATGCAGTTAAAAATTAGTGTCCAAGATATTGAAAAGAAAAAGTTATTTTCTTTGAATGAGGCTTAGTTTGCCTTTTTGAGAAGTTTCTCTCCCTCCTTTTCTCTGTTTAATGTTTCTTTTATTATAATTTTCTATCTGAATTTTTGGGGAGCAAGCAGTGACTTGATAATTTGACTACATAAATTACAATATAATGTGATTTGTTTTCTTTCTTACAGCAAGGCATTTAATGGTTGAAAAGTTGATATTTTCCAAGATAATTTAAAAATTATTGGTATGTATCATTTTAATATTATGATGAAACTTTCCTAACCTCTGTGTGTGTGTTTTAGTTTTAACATACAATATTTCATACAATATTTTTTATTATTTATTTACTCATTTTTTTTTTTTTTTTGAGATGGAGTGTCACTCTGTCTCCCAGGCTGGAGTGCAGTTGTGCGATCTCGGCTCACGGCAACCTCTGCCTCCCAAGTTCAAGCAATTCTCCTGCCACAGCCTCCTGAGTAGCTGGGACTACAGGTGCATGCCACCACACCCAGGTAATTTTTGTATTTTTAGTAGAGGCGGGGTTTCACCATGTTGGCCAGGCTGGTCTCAACCTCCTGACCTCATGTGATCCACCCGCCTTGACCTCCCAAAGTGCTGATGAGATTACAGGCGTGAGCCACTGTGCCTGGCCTACTATTTAAATTATATCTTTGATAGCTTTATGTTCAGTGGCTAGTACTTCCTCATTCATTACCCTTATACCCCTGGAGGGGTGGGATTCATTTTTTTAATTTAGCAATTTTTAAAAAATGCAGTTATCAGATTCTTTATTTGCTTTAGCCTGAGGTGGGGGCGGGGGGTGGGTGGGTGTGTAGACTGCAGACAGAGGCAATTAAAAAAAAAAAAGATTTGCTTTTGAACATTGCACACCACAAAATGTCAAGAAATCTAACCGTATAATAATTTGAGTAACACTGAATTCTAATTCATTATTGTGTTATATAGGAAAGATAATTTTGTTTTTATTTTCCACCTTAAGGTTTTTCTCTGTTAAAAAAAAAAAAAAATCATTCAGGTGTGGTGGCTCATGCCTGTAATCCCAGCACTTTGGAAGACCAAGGCAGGAGGATTCCTTGAGCCTAGGAATTCAAGACCAGCCTGAACAGCATGGTAAGACCCCATCTCTACAAAATTGAAAAAAAAAAAAATAGCTGGGAATGGTGGCACTTGCCTGTAGTCCCAGGTAGTCAGGAGGCTGAGGTGGGAGGATTCCTTGAGCCCAGGAGATAAAGGCTACATTGAGCTGTGTTTGCACCACTGACCTGCAGCCTGGGCAACAGAGTGAGACCCTGTAGCGAGAAAAACAAAAAAAACTCCAACCAAACAAACAAAAAAACCACAAAAACAGAAAACAAAAAACAAAAACACTTGTTTTTATTTTCAAGATTTGTAACCAGTAATGTAACAGTTTAGAAAAGCTTAACTTGGTGCCAAAATATTCTGATTAAAGGAAGTGTTATCCTTAACACAATTGCTTAAAATTCAGGAATATAAAGGAGGCTACCACAGAAAAAAGAGTTCAGAATTCCACAGTTCAAAAATGTTGTCAGAAGCCCCTGTGACAGAGATGGCTAGGTGCAAGCAAGCTTATTTCTTCTTCCTGGCTATGTCAACTTCATTTTCTGGCTGACCTTTCAGTTTCTCGTGGCCATATAACTGAGTTCTACTTAATAGAATGCTAACAGAAACGATATACACTTGAATTATAAATGTGGAAACTAAGTGTAGAAAGGATCTATCCAAGACAAATGGGCCCAGGATTTTTGGATCACCCCTTTAGAAAATAACTGTCCAACAATTAGAAGCAGCTCTTCAACACTCCCATATAATTTTCTCCTGTGTTAACTAACTTCTGAGATAAAAAAATTATCCACTGATAAGCAGCTCTCTTTCATGAGAAATTTTCATATGAAATTATTTTAAACTCTCCCAGGGAGTGGGGGAAGATTAAAATTATCATGCTATTAGAAACATGTCTTAGCTTGGAGATGTTAATCTCTTGTTACCTATTTAAATTGCAAATACTTTGCCATTTTTCCATTGTGTAAGGTTCTCTTATTATATGGAAATACGGTAGAACCAAACCTTTTAATCTTTATTCTGTATTAAATCCATGCTCTCTTTATGAAAGAATTTATCTGCCTAGAATTGTTGGAATATTCTTCTATTTTTTTCTTGGAAACCTTAATTTTTTCCAGTCTAAAAGCAATATAATGAGAAAAGTAGATTATCGATTGAGTGAATTGGGGCAGAGTTCTATAATCAGCAAATAATATTTTTATATTATTGTTTTTGTATAAGAATTTTTAAAAACTACATATATATATATTTTTTTCTAATTTTTAATTAATTGAGATTATATTTATGGCCTTATTCATATATTATTTCCATAAACATTCATGTAGTGTATGAAGTGTATGTTTAAACACTGCCTGATATTGCATTTTTATATATAATTAAGACAAGCTTGACTTTAAAGATTCAGTTCCCCTAAAGCCTTTCTATCTTTTGGGTATTTAACCCATTGATTTCTGAGATGGCTTTAGTACTGTCTTCTTTTACAAATATGGGTTTTTCAAAAAAAATTATATGTTTTGTCACTTGCATTGGTTTTCTGATGCTGCTATTACAGGTTATCACAAATTTAAAGGCTTAAACAATACTTTTGTTTCTTCTCTTACATTCTGAATGTCAGACATACAAAATCAATTTCAGTAGGCTAAAATCAAGGTGTCAGCAAGGCTGATCCTTTTCTGTCAGCTATAGGGGAGTGAAATGGTTTGCATGTTTGTTTCCCCCAAAACTCATATTGAAACTTCATCTACAATGTGGCAGTATTACGAAGTGGAACTTCCATGAGGTGATTGGTCTATAAGGGCTCTGCCCTCTTGAATGGATTAATCCATTCATGGATTAATAGATTAATGTGTTAATGAGTTAATGGGTTATCATGGGAATGAGGCTAATGGCTTTGTAAGAAGAGGAAGAGAAAGCTAAGCTAGCATGCTCAGCTCCTTTGCCATGGGATGTCCTGTACTGCCATGGGATTCTGCAGAGTCCCTATGAGCACAGGCTCCCACCAGATGAGGCCCCTCAAACTTGGACTCCTCAGCTTCCACAACTGTAAGAAATAAATATTCTTAAGTAAATTACTCAGTTTCAGGTATTATGTTATAAGCAAAAGAAAATGAACTAAGACAGGGAGGATCTGTTTTTCTACCTTTTCCAGCTTCTAAAGGCTTTCTTTATTCCTTAACTTGTGCTCTCTACCTTCAAAGACAACGGTGTATTATCTTAAAATCTCTCTCTTACTCTGTCTCTGTTTCTTTCTCTCAACTCTGCTTCCATCATCACATCTCCTTCTCCTGCCTCTTATAAAGTCCCTTATGATTACATTGGTTACACCTAGATAATCCATGATAATCTCCTCACTTCAATATCCTTGATCACATTTACCAAATCCCTTTAGCCATGTAAGGCAACATATTTCCAGGTTCTGTGGGTTAAAGATGTGGACATTCTTCAGCCTGCCCTATCACTATATTTTTAAGAATTGCCAAGTGAATAGTCATTCCTATTATATCTTATTTGAGGATATTATTCTTTTGTCTTTGAAAATATAAGACAATCCCTTTTGCTTTTTTGATCTTAAGATGTATCTGATGTTAATAATTTTCAGAAGTGTTTTCTTTGATTGACATGCTATATTCTGTTATTTTCTTCATTGTGCTCTTCCTTTAGATATGTTCTTTCTCAACGGAATATAGCTAGAACTCAATGTGAGAGCACTTCTTTAGTAAAATAATTTAACCAGTTTCTATTAAATATGCTAACTAATGTGTTTGGTTTATGATTTCTTTTTTATACTGCATTTTTTACTTATTTTTACACTTTTTATTTTTTCTGATAGTCCATGAGCCTAATTACTTTTTTTATGTTTACCTGTTATGGTTTCACATCTTTTATTGGATACACTGCTACAAATCCCTATTTACTAGTAGTTTCCTTCATATTTTACATTCTCATATGTTCCCTGATTTACCAATCTCTACCTGTCTTCCTTATACTACTACTCCAACATATGAATTTGTTGAAAATTTACAAAATTTGATTTCAAGGTTATTTTTTCATTTTACTTTGAGTATCTGCATTCTGCCTTTATTTTATTTTACTTTTGGCTAAATGCTTTCCTTAAATACTTCCACAAGATATTCGTGGATGACATATTGCCGAATTTCTTGCATGTTCCACAGGTCTTTTCTTTGCTTTCCCATATGTATGTTAATTGTGCTTATGTTAGGTTATTGGATGATAATAACTCTTTTCTCTCAAAGCCTCCACACTTTACTCTCAATCTTACGTGAACCTGATCCTGTGATCAGATTAAATAAAATGATGCCTATTTAATTTTTTGCCTTCATGAAGTGAACTGTTCTCATTATCATAGGCCTGTGTGGTAGCTCTTTACAGAGACGGCAAAATATTACAAAACTATGTCTAGGTCTATGTATTTTTTTCAATAATTGTATTTAATATTTTCCTTTTAAATCTAAAAATAACTTTAGATAATCACACAAATTTCTTTGCAAATTACTATTTTTTCTAATTTATTTTTCTCTCCCTTATTATGTGTTATTTAAATAGATAATCAAGGTAAATATATATGTGTTTTTTAGTAATCTACTTAATACATATTTCTTTGACTATTTATTACATTCTTATAAAATAATTCCATCATATAGTAGATTAGTTATGTCCACAGTAGAATAGTTAACCCCAGAATTTGTGCAGGACAATTCTTGTGATGAGGAGAGAAAGCGTTCAGCATTTTTGTCAGTCACAGATAACATGTGGCATGCTGCATAGGAGATCTACAGTATAGAGGGATGAACAGTGGTACCTTCAGCTTCTTTCTCACTTTTTCTATATTAAAACCTATTTCAGGTCATATGTGTATATTGCACTTTCTCTTATATCTTTTTATTTATGATCAGATTTATGTCTTTCTTCTCCACAATGCTCTAACCACAGTAAGGACTGTCATTTTGACTCTCTGTGACTAAACTGTGCTTTAGGAAGCATAAATAATTTATGGTAAAAAAAATTACTGTCCATGGAGGGTGAACAGAAAATGTCAGCACAGTCCTCTGTGCACCAGAAATGTTCAAACCAGGATTTCTGACACCTGCTTGAAACTAGTGCCATGAATACTTAATCAAGATTAGCTTGAAAAATATACATCAAATGTGGCAAAATCACAAATAGAGCACATAAAATAAACTTAAGTGTAGAAAATGTCTGTGACTATGTTTCATGAGGCAGTTTCTTCTCTGTACTTAATTCTCTATCTGCTCATTATGCTAAGATTTTAATAATAGAGTTTAAAAAAAGAAAAAAGAACTTAAAAAGGGAAAAATTGAAATGAGGGTTACAGTAAACACATCAAAATGCACTGTTGTTTTTGAGGGACTTCCTTCATCATAATGAAATAATCTCTACAGCTACCACTGGTATCCCTCTGGTCTAGTGCTGGCATCAGGCAATATAAAAGTCCTGCTCGAGTTGTGGTTTCTTGCAATATTCTTATTTAAACAGAAACAAGACTCATTGGGAAAGAGAACCTTCCCAATATTTATGGAAATAATGCATTTTGGGTTTAAATCATCTAATTTTTGCTAGAAATCATTTAGCTTTAGGGATTTCTACATAAGAGTTAATATGTATAAGAACTATATGTGTAATATATATGTAATAATAAGCTCTCATATATATATGTAAGGGCTTCCACCATTAGAGCTGATGATTTGATGTTTAAAAGCAAGTTTCAAAGGCAAAAAGTTATGTATATGTGGGTACCTTGAAATCATCATGAAAGTAAAGAGAGAAAGTAATATAAAATGTACAAAAAGTAGATTATATGCTTTTATGAGATTTAACATAATATATAAACTTTGGGAATTTTATGTATTTATCAAAAGAAATTCCAAATTACAATAAGATTTTTGGCCAGTATCTAAGAATTAAAACAAAATGTTTTGATTCTCAACCCCACCAAAATGTTTGGATCTCGGATAAACTGTGAAGGAAGGAATAGCACCATATTACCATGTTTTATCTGGCATAGCCTTGCCACAATCTGCTATGTTCCTACTCTCTTCTTGAGAGACAGCCTTTGTCCACCCCAAGCTGCTACACAGCTTTTTTTCAGGGGAGAAAAAATGCCCAGAAATTGCTACTCAATTGAAAGAGTGCCTCCTAAGTGGTTCATCACTTTACTTTGGTGCCCTAAAACAAGATCCCCATCACCACCAAACCCCACTTTTGGTTAATAAAACCAGTATTCTATTACATGGCTTAGAAGTTACTATTTTCATTCTATGAATTTGAGCTGAGTGCCGATAAATACCTACCACATGGAAGAGCTCAGATCAGAACCCATTAATTCCAAGAAAAGAGTCATCAGGTCATGAGACTCAGGAACATAAGAGGCTCTATTCTACCTGCCATTCACTGAAGAAGTGAACTGCTCCTTCCTTTTCCACTGACATGAACTCCCCCTAGGAAAGCAAACTATCTGCCCCACTTGCTGATGCCAGTCATCACACTCTTCGAGGACTGTTAATTGAGAAGGTACACTAGCAGCTTTGATATCTTGTGATTAAAAGTCTAGTTTTCGGCAGGGCGTGGTGGCTCACGCCTGTAATCCTAGCACTTTGGGAGGCCGAGGCAGGCAGATCATGAAGTCAGAAGGTGGAGACCATCCTGGCTAACAGGGTGAAACCCTGTCTCTATTAAAAATACAAACAATTAGCCTGGCGTGGTGGCGGGCGCCTGTAGTCCCAGCTACTCGGGAGGCTGAGGCAGGAGAACGGCATGAACCCGGGAGGCGGAGCTTGCAGTGAGCTGAGATTGCGCCACTGCACTCTGAGACTCTCTCACAAAAAAAAAAAAAAAAAAAATCTAATTTTCTCTGAAAAAGGAATCCCTTTTGTTGAAGACTAATATACAACAGTTGTTGCTGTTAAATTGTTGTTTTCCTGCCAATCCTTTCTATTCATATGACAATTTGTAATGTTTTATAAAAATTCATACATTATTTTAAAACAAAGAAATATAAAGAAAACTGTTACCATTTAACATAGCATGATGTGAGAAACAAGCCATATGCTGGATACATTGCAATATTACTTATATTTAAAAGCCTTTCCAATGGCCTATTCATAAGAACATTTAAATTAGTCATTTAAAATTTTCCAACAAATACTATTTGTGTATGCTCTGAGCTCTGAATTCATTAAAATACAGTGTACTTGGAAAAGTTTTATATGCAAATTATTGACGTTCAATAAAATAAAGTCAATGTTACTATCATGCCTCCCATTTACACATTTAGATTCAGTTTTGTGTTTTGTGTGATAATTGAAATTAGTATTTCCATATTCTTACTTAAAAACAAATCAAATGCACCAAACCAACCAGCAAGTGCACACACACACACACACACACACACCACACACGTGCGCACACACGCTTTGGTTAGGGATAGCCTATGTTTAAATTCTGGTAACGCTGTTTCCATGCGTGTGACATTTGACAAGTTATCTAACCATTATATTAGGTGCCTTTATTTCTTCATCTTTAAATTAAGCATTGTAATAATGCAACCTCATGCAAATGTTTTCAAATAAGATTAGATAATACACATAAAACACATGAAGCAGTACCCAACACACAGGAAATGCTTAATAAATGATAGCTATTGCTATGTTTATTATTTTAAAAGATGTTTACCAACATTTAATTTTGCCAATAACGTCCTCACAAAGCAAAACAGAATCTTTTTCACTAGACTATTAAGAAAGTGACTGTAGAAGAACAAGCAAATGAAACCCTAAAATAATATTGTTTTTATTTGTGTATTACATAAAATTTATTAATCTATTTAGGACATTTAAATGAAGAAATATTTTCTCACAATATTTATTGCCTTCATAATATATTAATAAGTCCCTCTGAAGTATTTTGGGAATGCAAAGAGATACTGTAGATCAAAGTGCAACAAATCCTAGATCAGAAGAAACAGACTATTCTAATAGTTCTAGCAGTCTGCGAAGGCAGGTATAGAAAGAACAAAAGCAGTCTTCTGATGTTTTGTTTATATGTCAATTGAAAGCCAATAGGAGCATTCAGAAAAAGTTGATGGCAATTAATTTAGTATCTTTATTCTTTATTTTTCTCATCTGATTAATGAGCCCACTGGATCTGATCATTTCTCAAGTGCTTGCAGTTTTAAAATGTTTTGATAACCAAAATACAAATAATTTAAGACCTTTGTTACTTTTCTATTGCTTTGTAACACAATTACCACAAAATTGGTGGCTTTAAACACTACAAATTTATTATCTCACAGTTCTAGAGGTCAGAAATTCTTAAATGAAGTTATCAGCCCCCTGCTACTCAGGGACTGATAACTTGATTTAAGAATTTTTGACCTCTAGAATGGTTTCTCCTGGAGGCCCTAGGGAAGAAGCCATTCCCTTGTCTTTTCTAGTTTACAGAGGCTGCTGGAATTCTTGGCTGGTGGCCCAATTTACCTTCAAAAACCATCGGTTGCCAGTAGAGCTTTTCTCACATCAAATTACACTGATAGTTCCTTTTGTTTCCCTTTTCCACATTTGAAGATTCCTGAATAATCTGGGATAATGTCTTTATTTTAAGATGAGATTATTTAAAAACCCAATTCCGTCTGTTACCATGTTTCCTCTTTGCTAGATAGTGCAATATATTTACAGGTTTTGGAGACTGAAATATGGACTTCTTCTGGAGACCATTATTCTGCCTACCGGAAGTTTAACGGCAAAAAAAAAATCCTTTCATAAACGGTTTCACGTATTTATTTATAAATTGCACTAATTAACAACTCTAATATGTAGTTTTTAAATTTATAATATAGCAATAATAAATTTATAATAGTTTTGGTATTGTGAAATTAAGTGGAAGTGTCAGAAGCATTTAAACCAGAGTGACCCCATCTTGGGTAGGGGCTGGGTAAAATAAGGGGAGACCTACTGGGCTTCATTCCCAGGAGGTTGGTCATTCTAAGTCACAAGATGAGATAGGAGGTTGGCACAAAATACAGGTCACGAAGACTTTGCTGAGAAAACAAGTTGCGGCAAAGAAGCCAGAGAAAACGCATCAAAACCAAGATGGCAGTGAAAGTGACCTCTGGTGGTCTTTGTTGCTTATTATATGATAATTATAATGCATTAGCATGCTGAAAGACACTCTCCCCCATGCTATGACAGTTTACAAATGCCATGACAACCTCAAAAATTACCCTATATGGTCTAAAATGGAGACAAACTCTCAGTTCCAGGAAATTGCCCACCCCTTTCCCTGAAAACTCATGAATAATCCACCCCTTGTTTAGCATATAGTCAAAAAATAACTATAAATATTGTTAGTCGAGCAGCCCATGTCTCTGCTCTGCCTGTGGAGTAGCCATTCTTTATTGCTTTACTTTCTTAATAAACGTGCTCTCACTTTACTCTATGGATTCACCTCAAATACTTAAGTGAGATACAAGAAACCTCTCTTGGGGTCTAAATGATGACTCCTTTCTGGTAATGGAAGCACATTTGTAAATTAGTAAATTGCCAGGCACACAATGCTCAATATTTAAGTAAACACTCAAAGGATCGATGCTATAATAGTAAGTCATAGTAATAGTATCTTAATTTGTAGAGTTATTCAGTTTTTTTTTGTCACCATGGCACAAAAAACAGATAATATAAGATCTTTACAACCACTTAAAAAGCAAGGCCCTGCCCTTAATGCTCTTTAGAAATAAGTGGATTTATATAGTCTACAGATACTATATGCAATACAGATATCTCCTTCATACCCATTGAATTATTTATTCTTGAAATAATCTTTTGTTTCTTAGAAAATGTCAGACACATTCTCAAAATTTGGTTTTTAAATAATTATTAAAGATGTTTGTGTCAATTAAAAATCTAATTTCCATTTGAATACATTCCTATTATGTGGATTTGAAGGTTAACTATAGCTACAAAAACAGCAGTGGGCCAATAATTTGAGGAAGGAAGTTAATTTCAGTATTCTAGACTTAACAGAAAAGGTGGGCGTAAGAAGAAGATTTGAAAGAATGTACTTAGTAGATGCTGATTAAGATGCCATTTTCAGCATAGGGTGAAGCCTGGAAGTATAAGGAGTGGCAGAGGGGAAAAAAAGGTACCTGTCAGGATGGACGTCTTGTGGCATTCGGGACTGTGCGTGGGATGAACTTGAGCTAGAAATGTAGACAGTTCAAAGCCAGCAGATTAATGCAAGTTTAGAACCTTGGGTTATAATTTTGTGAGATATTTTCAGACTAGAAGGGAGATTTTAAAATGAGCTGACATGAATAAGGTCTCGGAACAGTAAAAGATTTAAGTATAGAGATTTCAAAGTGCTGTAAGAAGGACCAGAGACATTTTACTGAGCCAAACAATGACATTCTGAAAGAGAATAAAATGAAATCATAATTCATTTTTGGAATCTCACTGCAAAAAGTGTTAGCAAAAAAGTTGAGAAGGCTGTAGAGGAAAAAGGAAATCTAAATCATTTTCATGACTGGAAAAACTTTTTAATATAGAATTAAAGAAGAGAAACTATAGTAAAAATGTGAACAGTAAATGGAAAGTTTTCAGAAGACAATATAGAACAGATGATATCTTTAGAAGAAAAACCTCTAGATATTTGTTAAAATAGGTAAAAATAATTCCTAATGATAGCAAAAGTCAATGTTCATTGAATGCTCAGTGTGTATGTATTGCATACTGTACTATGTGCTTAGAATACATTAACTCATTTTGTCCTTTTTTTTTTTTTTTTTTTTGAGATGGCGTCTCACTCTGTCACCCAGGCTGGAATGCAATGGTGTAGTCTTGCTCACTGCAACCTCTGCCTCCCAGGCAGTGATTCTCGTGCCTCAAGCGATTCTCGTGCCTCAACCTCCCGAGGTTCAAGCGATTCTCGTGCCTCAACCTCCCTAGTAGCTGGGATTACAAGCGCCTGCCACCACACCCAGCTAATTTTTTGTATTTTTTAGTAGAGACAGGGTTTCACCATGTTGGTCAGGCTGGTCTCGAACTCCTGACCCCAGGTGGTCCACCTTCCTCGGCCTCCCAAAGTGCTGGGATTACAGGCATGAGACCCATTTTGTTTATATTATAACCCATCAGATGTTGTTATCCCCATTGTAAAAGTGAGACAACTGAGGCAAAAAGATACAAAGTAATTTTCCTACAAATGCACAGCTAAAATTAGCAAAGCTGGGCTTTGAGAGCTGGCACACTGGCTTGAAACCATAAAATAATTGCCTCTATTCTTAAAAAAAGTAAGTCTATTTCTCATTAATAAACACAATTAATAAACACAATTTAATAAAGGCTTGTGATGTTTCAGCCTCACTAAAGAATCAAATAAATCATTGTACTTACTTTTAACTATGCAGCAAATCAAGTCTTATTTTATCCATTTCTAAGATCAGAGACTGAGGATTATACATGCAGCAGAATTTGAAGACAGAAAAAAAAAAAACATGATTACTGACCCTCTAAGGCCTAGGAAGCCTACTATCTAGTAGGTGATTAGCACTACATAAATGAAATGGATGCATAAACTCAAAATGGGATAAACACTGTGAAGGAAAGTTATAATGTCAAGGAATGAAATTACAGAAAATAATTAATTAAGATTGAAGATTTAGGGACATTTTCTCTGGGGAAGTGAAATTTTTATTGAGGCTTGACAGATGGATAAGAGATAACTGTGAGGCAGATAGCAGAAAAAGAGCTTGTTGATTTGGACGAAGCAAAAGCAGCAAGAGCAGAGCAAGTAGAGTGTCATTACTGTGTGGAAAAAGATGAAGAGTTGAGTGAGAACGAAATAATTAATACGTGGTTTGACAAAGTAAGGAGTTTGGATTTTATATAAATTTAAGTAAAGAGGAGTGTTGGAGATATGATTTGCAATTTATTAAATTTAATCTTCCTACTGCAGGAGAAGACTTTGACAGTAATCCTTGAAGGTGAAAGAATAATTTGCTGGGTTAGGGGTAGTTGGGTCAGATGGAAATAAGCAGATTTGGAGGTAGAATGGACACATGGCTGATTGATTGTGTATAGGCTTAACTAAAGAATTAAATATCAAGAATGAGCCTCACTGCTCTGATCCATGCAATTATCCTGAATTTCAGTTTTGAGCATATTTTGACCTATAAGCTTGAAATTCATAGGAGAGGTTGTAGTCAAATAGAATTTGAGAATTTGGGGCATGGTATTTAAAGCTGTAGGAAAGAATATTTACACAGAGAATGTAGAATGGGAAGTTAAGAAAAAACCTGGTTGAAACTTAATATACATTAAAAATTAGACATCAATTTACCAGGAAGGAGTGAAATGAGACAGAAAAGGAAAAAAGCAAAAGTATGGAAAGAATATAAGGAAAGTGCAATGTCATTGAAATGAAGAAAATATGAATGTATGGCAGAGGCAGGAGTCAGCATCTTTAATGATTCAGAAAGTTCTTGGGGGGTGTGGGGGAAGCGAGTTCTAAATGATACTGTGTTTGTGAAGCTGGAGCTCAATGGTGAACACAGCAAAAACAATCTGAGGGTGATAGATGGGTAAAAAATTATATGGTAGGGAACTGAACAGTGAAATTAAAGTGCAACTTTGTGGCAGCACATGCATACGTTGTTCTAGAAAGCCTAACTATAAAAGTGGCAGAGATACAGGTTCATAAAAGAAGATAGGAAAGCAGACCTGTGGTGCCTTCCTCTATATCAGACAGGAAAAAACTGGTATGCAGGACAAAGGAGTCAATTAGAAATTTGAGCTTCAGAGATTCAGTCTTCCCCAGGAAGGCATGTTCCTCTGTGCCTGTGTCTTGCCTGTATCTTTTGAACCTTAGTGCCTTGGGTAAAACACATGATTTCTGTGAGTTTGCCTTGACCATTCAGTCCTGTGTGTTACATATAGAGGCAAATTAGGGCTCAGAAAAGTTAATAATGCTATTTAAGGTAGACAGGTCATAGCATGATTGAAATTGGATTTAAATCTAAGATTTTCTAACTCCAAAACCTGTGATATTAACAAATACTGTGCAGTCTTTCCCAATAGCCCAAAAGAAATGAAAAGTAATAATAGCATATTCTTTATTCATTCTGAATATATAGATAGCCCTTTTTCAACAGGATTTGTAGGGCTTACATTTTAAGTATAAACAAAATATGAAAGACAGAGCATATAACCAATATAAATGAGCTCAGACTAAGATAAAACATAGTTTTTATCAATTGACATGTATTTGGATCCAGGGATTCTGATCACATGGTATTTTAGTTAAAAAACAACAACTGAGTGCTACATATCACAAGTATCTGATTTAACACGTATTACTAAAGCTGTTTTAACTTGAAAAATTAAATAAATACTTAAATTAGAGATAAATTCATCGTCTGAACAAGGGAAGGCCGTCTAGATAATACTCAAAGCATGGTAAGTTGCGTTTCTCATAATGCTCTATACGAGTCCTATACATTGTACAAACCTAATACTTGCTTGTCAAATGGAAAAGTCCAAGTGTGAAATAAAAGGGGGCAGGAAAAAAATTTGACTTGTGTGGTAATCTTACAAACCTCTTACCTTACCTGAATAAATTACAACAGTTATTGAACAAATATAATTAATATTTGTTGTTAGATGGTGTCTTAAATCTGCATGATTAAACAAACGAATGAGAAAAAGTATGGCAACATAATTAAAGTAAAATTACTCATTTGTAGGAAAATAAAGTTGAGTTTGATATAAAGACACAGGTAATTACTGTATTATAATTAATATATGGTGAGTGACAATTGCTTTTAGAAAACAGGTAGAAGAAATGTAAATTAACTGTATGTTTAGTAACTCAAGTAGAGTATGCAATGTGGTCATTGCTTAACCTATGCAGTCATTAATATCGACTCCAAATGTAGAGCCATTCTCAGATTAAACTGAAAGACAATCATCATAAATTTCTTTTTTTAATCTTTTATTTTTATTTTTATTTTTAGTTTTGTACCCTAAAACTTAAAGTATAATAAAAAAACGTCATAAATTTCTTATAGATATTAGATGAGATGAATGTATTGACAGTGATGAATGTAAAAGATAATATTAATTAGCTTATTTTTAAAGCATAAAGTAATATTATGAGGTATCTAAATATAGAGAAAACACAAAATAATTATCTGCTTCATTAAACAAGAAAGTGTTTATTGGTAAAGGATGATAGAGTTCCTAGGGAAATATTTTAAAATGAAGAAAAGTGGCCGGGTACGGCCGCTCACGCTTGGAACCCCAGCACTTTGGGAGGCCGAGGTGGATGGATCACCTGAGTTTGAGACCAGCCTGACCAACATGGTGAAACTCTGTGTCTACTAAAAATACAAAAATTAGCCGGTTGTGGTGGCAGGCACCTGTAATCCCAGCTACTTGGGAGGCCGAGGCACGAGAATTGCCTGAATCCAGGAGGCAGAGGTTGCAGTGAGCCAAGATAGAGCCACTGTACTCCAGCCTGAGCAACAGAGTGAGATTCTGTCTCTCTCACACACACACACACACATATACACACACACAAAAAGGAAGAAAGGGAAGGGCAGTAAATTCTGAGATCGAATTTCTCAAAGTTATAATTCTTTGAGGGGCCAATTGCAGTGGCTCAGGCCTGTAATCCCAGTGCTTTGGGAGGCTGAGGCAGGATTGCTTCAAAATCAGCTTGTGCAACATAGAGAGACCTTGTCTTCACAAAAAGTACAAAATTGGCCAGGCACGGTGTCGCGTATCTGTAGTCCCAGCTATGTGGCAGGCTGAGGCAGGAGGATCCTTGGGCCCCGTAATTGGAGACTGTGGTGGGGTATAATCACGCCACTGCTGTCAAGCCTGGGCAACAGAGTGAGACCTTGTCTCTTAAAAAAAAAAAAAAGTCATTATGAAATTATCATCTTCCTCAGGGGCCCCAAACACTGATTGAGATAACTGAGACATTAATATTCATGTGGTAAATAAAAGGTTTCCCCTCTGGCAAAGGAGAGGATGGCAATTAAGTTACTGGTCTCCCATGATGCCTTTCTTCATACTGTGTCTTTTGTTATTTTTTATTTTGTCTGGCCTCCCCAGTGAGTTTTATTTTTTAGCTACTTTGTGAAACCTATGTAAATACAAGTTTAGAATTGTTAAGGATTTTAAAATAGTCTTCTACTCAAATCTTAATAAGTGAAATTCTTCATACTATTATGATCATTTGTGGTACTTTATGAATGACCTGTGGCTTTTTTATTTCAGTTCTTCGCACTAAATACTTGAAACAGTATTTTTTTTCAGTATTTTAACAGTATTATTTTCCATTTTAATTATTTTATTCACAAGCTGTCTTTTTCTTCTCCTTACACAGTTAAACATTTGATATGCCTTTCTTTGAATTGTTTTTTTCTTTTCTTTCTTTGTATAGCTACAGGGGGTACCTGTGCAGGTTTGTTACATGTCTATGTAACATATATTGCATAATGGTGAGATTTGGGCTTGTAGGCTACCCGTAACTGAGCAGGCAGCCCAGCTTACTCCCTCTTCAACCACAGTATTTCCCATTGCCTCTCTAATGAATTTCAGTGTTTTCTCACAAAATATATGTTTAGAGTGTGAAGATTTACTGGATATTTTGGTTCCTCTCCATGGAAGAGGAGCACTGTAGCTACATCTAATCAGCCATCTTGAGCCTCAAAAATTATTGACTGGATTTGTGTACTATTGTTTTCTGTCAGTAAAAATATATACGGTAGCAAGTCTAATTTTAATTGCATAGTATACATGACCCTCTAAGAAAGTAACTTTAAAAATAACTTTTGGCCGGGCGCGGTGGCTCACGCCTGTAATCCCAGCACTTTGGGAGGCCGAGGCGGGCGGATCACGAGGTCAGGAGATCGAGACCATCCCGGCTAAAACGGTGAAACCCCGTCTCTACTAAAAATACAAAAAAAATTAGCCGGGCGTAGTGGCGGGCGCCTGTAGTCCCAGCTACTTGGGAGGCTGAGGCAGGAGAATGGCGTGAACCCGGGAGGCGGAGCTTGCAGTGAGCCGAGATCCCGCCACTGCACTCCAGCCTGGGCGACAGAGCGAGACTCCGTCTCAAAAAAAAATAACTTTTCAGCCCCATATTTTAATTTGTGGGATGTAAATAAGAATCAACTGTTATTATTTTCCTTCATATATATTTTATATTACACAAAACTCATCAGTGGAAACACTTTCAACTCAACTTTTGTTTGTGACATAATTCTTATTTTAAAGCAATGCATTCAACCTAAAGCTTCAAAAATGATCACTGCAAATTAGCTTTGCGACAAAAAGCCACATGTTCACAGTCAACAGAACAGAACACTGGGTTGTCGAGGTAAATGCTTCCAAAAAGCTGCATAAGGGCGAGCAGAACAGAATGTGGGTTTAAGAAATCTTTCAAGAGCTCAGAAGCCCCCCTTTGAGGGCAATGAAATGTAGTAACAGGCAGAAGAAAGCTACAAAGCACCACAGTGTGCAAACAATTAGAAGCATACTCTGTCCAAAGAGAAGCAAAGTGTTATCCATAACGCAATAGAGCTGCAGATAATGGAATCCACCCCAGGAACGACTGAGACAAAACACCACAGATTGATGTAATAGTACTTTCAGATACATACATATCCTTTCAGAAAATAGCACTATTAGCCACAGCATCTTTGGCTAACAGTATCAAAAATCACATAGAAAATAAAAAATTTTAAAGCAAAAACTGAAATCTTACCTACATTCTAATGCTTTATATTCCTTTGAGGAATGCAGGCTACATATTTGCTGATTATCTTATTTCCTACCCTCTATATAATGCATCTCAGCATTCATTTTCTGGGCTTCTGATTTTAATACACTAAAAGTCAATCATATGCCTAGATTTCAAAATGTCTGCACACAATCATTAAACTGTTTTTTTGGGGTCATAATTTCACTTTGAAAACATGTGCATTCTGTTTAGCTACAGAAATGATTGGAAGCAATGTAAACTTAAATGGCTCTATGTAATACTCTGTAAACATGGAGGATAAAAGGTTAACTTTGAAAAAAATTGACTAAGATGTTACACTAAATTATAGGGTACATTGGCTCATGCCTATAATCCCAGCACTTTGGGAGGCCGAGGTGGGCGGATCACAAGTTCATGAGATCGAGACCAGCCTGGCTAACACGGTGAAACCCCCTCTCTCCTAAAAAACACACAAAAATTAGCCGGTCATGGTGGTGGGCACCTGTGGTCCCAGCTACTGGGGAGGCTGAGCCAGGAGAATGGCGTGAACCCTGGAGGCAGAGCTTGCAGTGAGCTGAGATCGTGCCACTGCACTCCAGCCTGGGCAACAGAGCAAGACTCGGTCTCAAAAAAAAAAAAAAAAAGAAAAGAAATAGAATTAACAGAGCACAACGCAAACCCTGGGTTAATAAGGTGCAACTCGTATTAGAGATGCTAGGAAGAAACTCTGGACAGAAAATCTGTCCCATAGAGCCTAAAATTCCCCAAACTCCTCTGGAATAGCTAATAGTAAACTGCTATTTTAGTAGAATTCTATTTATCATTCAAATTAGCTTCAATAACCTTTTATAGAGCTTGTCCTCTTAAATAAAATTATGACAGTGACAGTTATTCAAAGTTCACTTTTCAGAATGCATTACTTCTTGCTACTACTAAAAGTTGAATTATATCATCTAAGTATTTCTAAACATTCGATCAAGTATTTCACAGAACTGAAGTACAAATTTTAATTTATCTTTAGTCATATTCATTGCTATGAAAAATTTATATGCATATAAAATAAAGCCAAATAAGTTAAATTTTGAAAACATCAAAACTATGATTTTAATACATTAGATTATATAAAGAACTACAATCCCTACTTCCCATCATCAAACCTACATATGTAAAGCAAATCAGAACAACTTTAATGAAGTTAATTCTATGGATTCTTATATTTACTTTAAAAGATACAGACTCCCAAAAGCAACACTGAAATACATATTTTAATCTCCATCTTAGCCCAACCTCAGTATGTGTCCAAATTGATCATGACTTTATTATATTATGCTTTTTACTGTCTCAACTTGGCTGTCAGTACACTCACAGTTTTGATTTTCCTGCTACGTAACTAGTCACTCTGTTCCTGTTTTCTTTGCATGTTCTTTATCTTCCTTTTTGCTCCTTCGCTTGTACTATCCTAGGGCTCAGTCCTTGGTGCTCAGCTCTTTTTTTTTTTTTTTTTTTTTGTGAGACGGAGTCTTGCTCTGTCGCCCAGGCTGGATGGAGTGCAGTGGTGAGATCTCGGCTCACTGCAAGCTCTGCCTCCCAGGTTCACGCCATTCTCCCGCCTCAGCCTCCCGAGTAGCTGGGACTACAGGCACCCACCACCACGCCCGGCTAATTTTTTGTATTTTTAGTAGAGACGGGGTTTCACCGTGTTACCCAGGATGGTCTCGATCTCCTGACCTTGTGATCCGCCCACCTCGGCCTCCCAAAGTGCTGGGATTACAGGCGTGAGCCACTGCGCCCAGCTAGCTCTTTTTGTTCTATACACTCACCTTTTGCTAATGTCATTTACTTTCGCGGCCTTCAATTGTGGCTTTAAGTCAATGATTCTCAAACTGGTTCTTCCAAACCAGATTACTCTTTCTAATTCTGAGTTTTACAGCTCCACTTATAGTCATCTCTACTTGGATGTCCAGTAGACATCTCAAGCTTAAAATTTTCAAAGGTGAACTGTTGATTTTCCCCTTCCTGCTTAAACCTGCATCATGTGTGGCTATTTTCATTATAGTTATGGCCTCTCTAACCCTCCTATTTGTTAGGTCCAATGTTTGTAGTAGTTTTTAATTCTGTTCTTTCTCTTATTTTCTGTATCCAATTCATCAGGAAATCCACTTGGCTCTATAATCACAATATGTGGAGAAACTCAGCCTATTAGCATTTTTTTTCTAATACCTGCATTCAAACTACCATTGTCGTGGATTATTGAAATAGCATCCTCACTGATTTTTTTTTTAATGACTACCTTTCACCCTTTGTTTTTTCTCAAAATAGTAGCCAACATGACCCATAAACCATAAATAAGACATGTTATTCCTCACTGAAAACTTTCCAGCGGTTACCTATCACACTCACAATAAAAGCAGAAGTCTTTAGAGTAAACAACAAAGTCCTTCATGGTCTGTCATCAAGCCCATCACCCATCCCTGCTACTTTTTGGACTTCCTATGACTCTTGTCGTGCTGATCACGTGCCAAAGACATCAGGAGTGCTCTCACTGCAGCGATTTGCTCCAATTATTCTTTGTCTTAAATGCTTTCCACCAGATATCCACATATCTAAATCCCTCACCTTCAAAACCCATCTTCACCATTATCTTACCTTGCTCAATTCTCACCTCAGTAAAGTCTACCCTAGCAAGTCTATTTATTTATTTATTCATTTTATTTTATTTTATTTTTTTGAGACGGAGTCTCACTCTGTTGCCCAGGCTGGAGTGCAGTGGCGCCATCTCGGCTCACTGCAAGCTCCGCCTCCTGGGTTCCCGCCATTCTCCTGCCTCAGCCTCCTGAGTAGCTGGGACTACAGGTGCCCGCCACCACACCTGGCTAATTTTTTTGTATTTTTAGTAGAGACGGGGTTTCATCGTGTTAGCCAGGATGGTCTCGATCTCCTGACCTCGTGATCCGCCCGCCTCGGCTTCCCAAAGTGTTGGGATTACAGGCGTGAGCCACTGTGCCTGGCTGCAAGTCTATTTAATACTGCAGCTTTCCCCTCCCCAATTTCCCCCAATTTTATGTATGCTGCTCTAACTTTTCACAAGTTGTAAAACAATTCATTCATTTATTATATTTATTATTTAATATCTATTACCCACACTAACTTAAGACAGCATTAGAGTAGGGAAGCTTTGTTTCTTTCATTCACTGATGAATCTCAAAAGCCAAGAAGAATGCCTGACACATTTTCAGGACTTAATAAGTATTTGTTGAATGCAAACCAAAGAATTCATAGAGGGTTGAATATAATTATTCCATATTCTCTTTTATTCAATACATATTTATTAATAAGCTACTATCATCTGAACATCATATTAGACCCTGGAGATTCAATGATAAGCAGTTAATATTTACTTACATAGATGGAAGTTGCTTTCTAATGGAACAAATAGATATTAATTAAATCACACAAATCAACAAAAACTTAACAATGTATGAAGTAGCAGTATATAGTGATATAAAAATACAGGAAGTGGCTATCAAGGTAGACAGGGGCTAGCCTATCCAGATCCTTTTAGTCCAGGTTAAGGACTTTGGTCTTTATTGCAAAAGCCAAAGGAAGATATTGAAATACCGCAAGCAGCAGATATTGAAATACTGTAAGCAGCAGGGTATCTGATTAGGTGTGTATTTACAGACATCACTGGGGCTCCTGTGTTGGAAACAGAGGGATTTGGGAGTCAAATAAGGATGCTGGATTATATTAGGGTGAGACCAATGGAGAAAGAGACATATAGGAATTTCGAGAGATCTTCAAGAGCTAAAATAAACATAACTCTGAAAGATTGGCCCTTGTCAATGAAAGAGAAGTAGGTGTTGAGTGTGATTCCTGGTCCCAACACTTTTCTTAAGGATTTCTATTCTCCACCTTTCAGGTGATTAAACTATTTTGAGTTTTTACCTTGTTTCATACAGTTATTTTGTGAAAGCTTAAGGATAGGGACAAAAATATTAACAGAAAATCAGTTAAAGCCTGTGGTAAGGTATGTAAACAAACTCAACCGTATTACTGTATGTTAGGTAAATGTGAGCAGCATAGCTAGTCAGAAGTATTTGGAAAATAATAATTCAACACAGATAAAGCCAGAATTAAAATTAAATAAGAATTAAGAGTTTAGGTTCAATAAATATTGATTGGATATATAAAAAATAACAAAAAAGTAAAAAAAGAGTAGAAAATTTTGACAAAAAATTTGTTTTCTATCAAAATTCAGGTTTAGAATTCAAGAGAAAATTAGCAGGTCCTACATTTTATGTCAATATTTTGCATCCATTCAAAATTAATTTAGAAACATTAAAAAAAGAATTTTCTCAACTTCAGAAAAAACTGAAGGATGATAACTGTTTAAATACGGAATTGTGAAGTAAAATATTTATATTTATATATACATATTTATACAGTATTTATATCAATATTCACAGATTTATAATTTGTTCCCAGTTTCTCTTTGAACCTTTGGGGGGGATATGAAATAGAAAAATGTGTTTTTATGTTGCATACACAATGTAGCCCTAAAAATGTATGAAAATAATGGACTCAGAAGGAATAAACATTGATAACAAGCATGTCAAGTTGCATGAAGCTCACAGTGCATCACAGCATAAAACAGTCTTTACCATATTGTGATAATATATGCAAAATATATGTGCATATATATGTATGTATGTGTATGTATATACACATATCTACATCTATTTATACATCTATCTTTCCATCTCTCTATTATGGCACTCAAGCCTTTGAGGAGAAAAATTTCTTGCACATGTTATGTTGGAAGCTGCTATTGATGCAACTCTCAGCATGCAACATAAGTTTCACGTTTGTGTCATTCTCAGAAATGTTACTTTAATGAATCAGATAAAGTACGTCCCCTGTCCTTCAGATTCTCCACATTCTGAGTGTTATATATCAGTGAGGAATAGTGAACTGACTACATTTGAAAGAAATACTCTGATTGCATGGGTTCCCAAAGATACCATACTTCTAAGATTTCTCTTAAATAGTTATGCTCAATGAAGAATCACGGAGTTCATAAATTTGGAGAGGAAAGCATTATTTCTTATAAAGGGTCACAACCTGCAACTGTGAAGCACAGCATCTGACAGAAACCCAAAGCAGGCACTTTGAAGAAGGAAGGTGAGACAGGAATTTATTCTGAATGAGTTGACTGAGCATACATACTCAATAGGTTATAGGAAGAGCTATGAATATGAATGCAGAAGGCACTTGCGTGCGTAATAAGCAAACATGCATGTTACAAACTTCCCATATTCACTTTGTGTTGGAGACAACATTTAAATACACTAAAATTAGGCCTATACATCAAAAGATGAAACAGAAGACACAGAGGCACTATGTGTCCAGCCCTCATGGACCAGCCAAAGCCAGTTTGTGGTGGTCGTCTCTTATCAGAAAGGAACGCTGGTCAGTTCTTGTGTTGAAACCACAAAAAGAGACGGGGTTTTGGTTACAGCTTCTTCAGCTGGCTGAAATCAGCAGTGGAGCAAGTGTTTTGAAAGGGCTGATTTCTGTACAACTCTGAGAAAAAAAAAGTCTAATGGTGGTTAATGAGGGAGGAGGTATAATGTGGAATGTCTCAACTCCCATTGATCATGGCGGGGAACTCAGTTTTCAAGGTTTCTCTGGAGTCTCCTTGGCCATGAGAGGGTTCATTCAGTCAGCTGGGGAACTTAGTATTTTATTTTTATTTCTCAGTTAGATGTGTTGGTGTAAGCTGAAAAAGGCCTGAAGGTGGTTAAGTGTGTTCCTGTTATTTAGGGTGATTTGCCCCAGGGATGTCTAGGTAGACTGTTTCTAAGTTGCTATCAGGGGTGGATGTCTTGAGTGGCTCATCTTAGGAAGGTCCAGGTACATTAGTTCTCTTCAGTGATATTCCTGTTATCCAGTAAGAAAATAAGACTTCCAGGCCTGGTGCAGTGGCTTGCGCCAGTAATCCCAGCACTTTGGGAGGCCAAGGCGGACGGATCACCTGAGGTCAGGGGTTCAAGACCAGCCTGGCCAACATGGCGAGACCCTGTCTCTAGTAAAGATACAAAAATTAGCTCGGCGTGGTGGCGGGTGCCTGTAATCCCAGCTACACAGGAGGCTGAGGCAGGAGAATCACTTGAACCCAGGAGGCTGAGGTTGCAGTGAGCTAAGATCGTACCACTGCACTCCAGCCTGGGCGACAGAGTGAGACTCTGTCTCAATAAATTAAAAAAAAAAGAATAAAGAAATAAAGAAAATAAGACTCCCTTTTGTCCTTTAAAACAGGGGTTGACAAATTACATTTCAAGTGCCAAATTCCTCCCACTTGTTTTTGTAAAGTCTTATTAGAACACACTCATACCCACTCACATATTGTCTACAACAACAAAGTCGAGTGTAGAGTTGTGACAGAGGCTGTGTGGACCACAAATTCTAAATTATTTACTATTTGCCTCTTAAAAAAGAGTTAGATGACCCCTGCTATAAAAATAATAAAAAGTTCTTATACTTAAAGCGGAGGTAGAAATTCAAGATGAATTTTGTTTTAAATATTAATTTACAACAAAAAGTATTAGTGAAACCAACCTTTATTTTTCAACATTTGGTTCATTAAGGATTTCTCTCAGTATCACTTTTACTGAATATAATTGTAAAACACACAAAATGATTGCAAAACAATTAAAAGGATGCTTGGCCAATACAAAATAACTAAAATACAAGAAATACAAAAGTTTAGGAAAAATAGCCAATGGTCTTTTTGGGAATCCAGTGCTCCAAAAACATATGAATCTTTCTATAGAAAGCAGCTACATCTCAGAAATATCCACTGGTTGAAAAAAACTCATAAGCAGGCCAGCCTCTTAGGTCAAACCCAAATTAAAATAATGATCCTCAGATACTATATTAATACATGATCCCTATTAAGAAAACTGAAGAATCAATTTAGGAGGACAAATACCATATTTAATGGATATTTGGTATGCTGAGCTGTTCAGTGTTTTTGACTTTCTTATTTATATTACAAGTATGAATAAAGAAATTTTTATTCCTAAGTTTGTAGTGAAAGAAAATTGATTTCTTTGTATTCAATAGGATTAGTTTCAGCCATAATGGAAAAAAAATGCACAAATATCCTTCACAGCCAGTTAGGACTGGTGTATTAACCAGAGTTCTCCAGAGAGACAGAACCAGTAAAAGATGATAGATAGATAGATAGATAGATAAATAGATAGATAGATAGATAGATGATAGATAGATAGATAATGGATAGACAGATGAGGGATAGATGGACAGATAGATGAGGGATAGATTGATAGATAGGAAATGGATAGATGGATAGATGGATGGTGGAAGGACGGATGGATAGATAGATGATGGATGGATAGATTAATAGGTAATGGATGGATGGTTAGAGGGATAGATAGATGATGGATGGATGGATAGATGGATGGATAGATAGGTAATGGATGGATGGATGGCTAGATCAATAGATAGATGGATGATGGATGAATAGATAGATGAGAAGGCATTTACTAGAAAAATTATGGAGGTTGAGGAGTCCCATAATAGGCCATCTGTAAGCCTATCAAGGATGTAAGGAATATGGATCAGTTCAAGTCTGAAAGCATCAGGGAATCAGAGAAGCCGATGGTCAAACTCTCAGTCCAGGCTAAAGGCATGGGGACCTGTAGGTTACTGAGGCCAAGTCCTGAATTCCAAGGGCTGTAGAAACTGAAGTTCTGATGTCTAAGGGTGGGAGAAGAGTGCTCTAGCTCCAGGAGAGAGAATGAATTTGTCTTTTCTCTGCCTTTTTGTTCTATTGGGGGCGCCAGCTAAATGGATGTTACCTGCCCATGTTGAGGGCAGATCTTCCCCACTCATTCTATTAACTCACATGCCAGTCTTCTCTGGAAACACTCACAAAGACACACCTAGGAATAATGCTTTAGCAGCTACCTGTGTATTCCGTAATCCAGTCAAGGTGACACCTAAAATTAACTATCACATATGTGGATATATGTGTATATACGTAAAGATGAATTGCAAGGAATTGGCTCGCATGCTTCTGTGGCCAGGCACATTACAGAATCTACAGCTGATTCAGGAAGCTGGAGGCTCCAAAGAGCCAGTGATATGGTTCCTATCCAAAAGCTGGCAGGCTTGAGACAGAAAGTTTCAGTTTGTGCCTCAAGGCAGTTAAATACCCAAAATATTGGTTTCAACAAAGTCTAATATGAAAAATTCTCTTTTTCTTGGGGAAGGATAAGCCTTTTGGCTCTATTCAAGCCTTCAATTGATTGAATGAGGCCTACCCACATTAGGGAGGACAATCTGATTTATTCATTCTACTGATTCAAATGCTAAACTCGCCCCAAAACACCCTCACAAAAACACCCTGCATAATGTTTGATCAAACAGTCTGAAAGGCCTATGGCCCAATGAAGTTGACAGATAAAATTAACTATCACAACTAACACAGTGACTGTGTTCTGTGAGATCTTGCAAGCAAACTCCTTGCACCATATCTTTCTGTCACCTGTAGAATAAGCATCTTATTCTGAAAGCCAAAGCTGTGGGTAGGTCTCCAGACATTGCATAACATTCTACTGAGTATGACGCAAAAGGAAGGAAGAAAAAAGGTAAAGGATCTTTGCCAGCTATCTTTCAGGAAATGCTTTTAGAGGGTGCAATGCAGCCTTTCAAGCTATCTTTCAGGAAATGCTTTTAGAGAGTGCAATGCAGCCTTTCAACACACAACTTTTGAGGATGCTAGGAAGCTCTTGTTCCTATATCAACAGTTCATACCCTTTCTCAACTTGGGGGCACTATCATTTTAGTCAACATCCACTTCATATTTATGAAGTGATCCAATATGACAGGCACAAATTTTAGGAGTCAATAGTTAGCAGTAAAATACAGAAAAAGGAAAAACAAAATCAAACAAAAATCCCCACAATCCTAACGCTTACATTTCTAATGGAGTAAGACCAACAATATGCAACATATATCAGTAAAATGTGTTCCTAGTTGTCATGATTGTCACTGCTCCATAAGTTCACAGAGAGTTCCAATAGACAGTAATAGGGTCGTCAGGTTAGGTCTCATTTTGAAAGTGTCATATGTGTAAAATCTGAAGGAAATGAAGAAGAAACTATTCAGATTTTCTTGGAGGATAAGAGAAAACATAATTGCAAGTGCAAATGGTCTGAGGCTGGAGAAGGTCTAGCAAGTTCAGTAATAGCAAGAAGAAAATAATCTAGGAGGCAAGACAATGAATGGCCTCATGGGAGACTAGGCTTTTACTCTGAGTGAGATTGGAAGCTACTGGAGGACTTAGGAAAAGGAGTGGCATTATATGACTCACTTGTTAACAGAAAAACTCTGGCTATTGTGTTGAGAGTAGACCAGAAGTAAGCAAAGGCAATAAAAAGGAAAATGGCAATCCATTCCTTTTATTCACCCAAATCCAAATTTGTTTTTATTGTTGTTTTTACACCTATAGAAGAGTCTCACCTCTCCCCAAGAGAGATGACTGACAGTCACATCTGGTTGCTGCTTTTAAGGAATAGCCCAGGAAAACTGGGTGATACACAGCTTTTCAAGCTCCAGAAACATATAAAAGTTACCAGCACACAACATACTCAACACACAGTGCTGGAATATGAACCTGTGGCCCATTCAGAATTGGAAAAAGTGAAAAACACAGAGAAGTCTTTTGCCTACAGAATTATTATTTTTCCACTTCTTTTGTAGAGTATAGGAATTTTTCCTTTATGGAAATAAATTCTTCAGTTAGTAATTATGGCCATGTCTGGTTCTGCTCTCTGGAAATAATTCAGTTTTTGATATCTTCTGTGACCTATCTATGCCTTAGCCATACCCTTCAAGTCCTCATCTGAGAAAAAATATTTCTTGAGGCATACACAGCTTTCTATGCCTACTTTTTGTTGGTGCAGTTTGAGGGTACCTGGAGTTGCTTTAGGATTAGAAAAGTTGCAATGTTTGCAGGCCAGATTTTAACTTGTAGTATTTTTTGCATAAAATTCCCTGAAAATCTATTAAGCTTTAGTGAGTCCTCGTTATTATCATTTTATCTAGATATAGGTTTTATTGTAAAGACTCTAGTCTTTCAATTACTTGTCATGGTGCTGTTACTGTTCTCACTATCTATCTCTCATTTTTATTATTTAAAGCAATGGTCATGGCTCGTGGTCACCAGCAATGCTGGCAAATGCCTTCGTACAGCATGACACCGTACTTACCTTCTGCTGTGTTGATTGCTCTGAAGGTACTGCTGGTGAATGTTTGCAAGTCTCCATAGTCTTGTGATTTCCATCTTTCTACACTTCAGATCCCTGGAAGATACCTTCTGACTCAGGAAATCCAGATGCAGAAGAAGTTGGGAGTGTCTTCTGAGAAAAAGAAAAGTGGGGAGATTTCAAGATAATATCCATCCTAAACTGAGAAAGTGTGCTCCCTTCTCTCATGGGGCCCAGAGAATATGGCAGTTAGATTTCAAACTTTAGTCCATTCAGACTGCTACAAAAGGATCTCATCCATTGTGTGGCTTAAGCAACAAACATTTATTTTTCACAATTCTCAAGCCTGGAAGTCCAAAATCAAGCTGCCAGCATGGCTCTCCTCCAAGTTCCAGACTCTTAACTCTATGCTGAGTCCTGGCAAGGGGGAAAGGGGGAGGGAGCTTTAAATAACTGTGAGGTGTTTTTTGTTTTTGTAAGAGCACTAATTCCATATATGAGAGGTGAATATGTGTCATAGGATTTGTATTCATATGACACATATTCACCTTCCAAATGTCCTATCTCCTAATACCATCAAATTGGGTGTTGGGATTTAAACATACAAATTGTGGGGGACACAAATATTGAGTCTATAGCATTCCATCCTGACCCCTCAAAATTTATGTTCTTCTCACATACAAAATGCATTCTTTACATCCAAGCAGCCTCAAAAGTATAAACTGTTTCCAGCAGCAACTCTAGAGTCTAAATATCAAAATCTCTGAATATCCTCTAAATCAGGTGATATTTGAGACTAAATACATTTCAACCTGAGGAAAATTGCTCTCCAACTGAGATCCTGTGGAACCAAACAAGTTATATCCTTCCAAAATACAATAATGGGTTAGGAATAAGATAGATACTTCTATTGCAAAAGGGAGAAACAGGAAAGAAGAAAGGGATAAAATATTTCAAATAAGTTCAAATTGAAAAGCATTCTCCATGAGTAACACTTTTTGGTTTGAGGCTCTGCCTTTCAGGTCCACTGGGGAAGGTCCCATCCCATAGCTTTGGGTCAAGACCATCTGGCTTGTTGAATGCAATGCAATGGTCCCCCTTCTGAAACTGAGGAAGTATCCCTGATAATCTCTGAATCAACTTTGGGGTTATTCTTCCCCTGTAATGAAAAATAGCACATATTCACAGTCAAATAGCTCCATATCTTATTCTATAAAATCCATGAAATCTAACAGACTTCATTCATTCCTTCTCAACTCCTTCCTCTGCGTTCAAACTGACACTTTTCCTGCTGGGGTTGCTGATTAAATCTGTGGCTGAGCCTATACTAATCTCTGTATCAAATGGACACCAGGACACACCCTAAGTATTTTCATTTTTAAAATATGAATAGGCTAAGAATTTTCCAAATCTTTCAATTCTTTTTTTTTTTTTTTTTTTTTTTTTGAGACACAGTCTTCTTCTGTCGCCCAGGCTGGAGTGCAGTGGCACAATCTCGGCTCACTGCAATCTCAGCTGGGCTCTGCCACCACACCAGGCTAATTTTTTTTTTTTTCTATTTTTAGTAGAGACAGTGTTTTGCCATTTTGGCAAGGCTGGTCTCGACTACCTGACCTCAGGTGATCCAACTGCCCACCTCAGCCTCCCAAAGTGCTGCCCACCTCAGCCTCCCAAACTACCTGAGGTTGGGTAGTTCATAGATTTACTGCCCATATTTCTACCAACATTCTAATAATCGCTACTTAGGAATTCTATAAAGAGATTGAGGGTTTCTTTAAAAGTCTTCTCCTTTCTTTCTGGGTTCTTACCAAAATCAGCTATAATGGTCCATTCGTAGCAATATAGGATTGTTTAAGCATGCACCTTTTATTAGTCATGGTTCTCCAGAGGAACAGAATTAATAGGTTATAGATGATGATGATAAGAAGTAGATAAGAAGTTATTTATTATGGGAATTGGCTCACATGATTATGGAGATTGAAAAGTCCCATAATATGCCACCTGCAACCTGGAGAAACACAGAAGCTGGTGGCATAGCTTAGTTCAAGTCCTAAGGCCTGAGAGCTAGAGAAGCCAATGGTGTAACTTTCAGTCTGAAGCCAAACACCTAAGGCGGGGTTGGGGGAGTTAGGGGAATGCCAGTGAAAATTCTGCAGTTCAAAAGCTGGAGAACCTGGAGTTCTGATGTCAAAGAAAGAGAAGATGCATGTCCCAGCTTCAAAATAGGGAAGAAATTTGGCTTTCCTATGCTTTTTGGTTCTATCCAGATCCACAATCAATTGGATGACATCTGGCCACATTGGATGGAGTTGGATCTTCTTTAATCAATTCACTGATTCAAATGTCAAACTTTTCTGGAAACCCCCTTGAAGACATCCCCAGAAATAATGCTAGCTATCTGGGTATCCCTTAACCCAATCAAGCTGATATCTAAAATCAACCACTCCACACCTTAGAACTCTTTTAGTCTCTACCCTTTACACAGTTCCAAAGCCATTTTCACATATTTAAGTGTTACAAGAGCATTCCATTTATGGTACCAATTTCTGTCTTAGTCCATTTTGGCTGCTACAGCAGAATGTTCTAGACTAGGTGGATTAAACAACAAAACTGTATTCTTCACAGTTCCCAAGCCTGGAAGTCCAGGATCAGGGTGCCAGCATGGTTGAGTTCTAGTGAGAGCCCTCTTCTGTGTTGCAGACTGTTGACTCCTAACTGCATCCTCAGAATGTGGGCCATGGCAGAAGGTGAGAGAGCTCTCTGGGATCTCTTTTGTAAGAGGTTCCACCCTCATGACCTAATTGTCTCCCAACGGTCTTGTTTCCTAATACCATATAATTACCTTGAGGGTTAGGATTTCACATATAAATTTGGGGGTGACACAAAGTTTTACTCTGTAGTAGTCAATAAAAAATAGTGATGCAACATTTTTCTGTGCAATTACTTATACAGAACATAAAAGTTTGTCTCGTATAGACCAGAATCAAAACTTGAAAAATAATAACTCCTTTAAGTGATGCCATGAATACCATTCCATTCTCTGAAATTTAGCTGGAAATTAGAAGAGCCTGATTTTAGATTAAGATATTCTAATTCTCAACTTCCTGGAGCTAAGGTATTTCAGTAATGTGCATTCTGAGTAGGAAGGGAAGGAAAAATGTTATTCTAAAAGCAATCTCAGTATTAGAAAGAGGGGAGAGTTATTAAACATTTAAAATGGTGAGGAGATTTGGCAAAGTCTCTGATGCCTACATTGAATGTTACAATACCTTGCTTAATGAGTGAAAAACAGAAATGTAACTAATATTGAGTGCCTACTCCATTCTTTGTGTTTTACACGTCCCACCCATTTAATCCTCACATCAACTATAAAAAAAATAGGTATTACCATCATCCTCATTTATAGGTGAGGAGACTAAAGCAGTAAAAGATTAAATGACTAGAAAAAATATTTACTGAAAATACCTTAGTCACTTGGGTAATAAGTGGCTTAGCCAGGCTTTTAACTCAGCCTGACTGACTTTTATTAGTAACATAGGAAGTTTTAAGCACTATTTAAAATATTGCTGAGTAGCAATTATCCCCAAGAAACTATGCATCTTTAGCTAATTCAGGTCCTGGTGACTGGCAATGTTATTTAGCTTATAAAAATATATGTTCAAATATTTCAAATTAAAATGATTGTGCTTTCCATGTAACACGAGGTTCCTGTTAAGTCATAAAATTATTGTCATCTTTCAAATCTCTGAGCTGTAGCACATTCCTCTCTAGATAACTTTAAAGGGGAAGCAAAAAGCATTCATAATAAAATAGTCATAAGTTGTGTAAGCAGCACTCACCTGCCTGTGCATTTGTCTTTACGTGTGTGTCTCTAACACACGAATCTAATTCCATACAAGCCTTCGGAGCAGAAAGCAAACTTTTTTCCTCTTCAGACTTGAACCTTCTAGTAGATACTGTCTTAGTCAGTTTGGGCTGCCATAACAAAATTCCAAAGACTGGGGGGCTTAAACGACAGAAATTGATTTCTTACAGTTTCAAGACCAAGGTGCTGACAAGGCAGCTTTCATTCTGAAGCTGCTTCTCTTGGCTTGTAGGCAGCTGGCTGCCAACTCCCTCTATGCTCACAGGACCTCAAGTTATTTTTGTGCTTCTGGAAGGAGAGAAAGTGCAAGCTCACAGGTCCCTTCTTAAATACTAATCTCATTATCCAACTTCATGACCTCATTTAAGCCTAGTTACCTTCCAAAAACCTCATCTCCAAACACCATCACATTGGAAGTTAGTTAAGGCTTCAACATATGAATTGGGTAGAAGATTGTACAATTCATTCTATGGGCAGGTATGTTAGGGAAAATGCTTTGCAGTTATTATAAATGCACCCCGGCTGTAAGAACAATTGAGAAAAAATAAATAAGAATGTGCATATGCCATAAAATCAATGTACAAAATAGCCAGCATATAGAGAAAGCCGGGGAAAGAGTTCAGAACAAAGCAATGTGCAGGTTAGAGAAATGCAATAAAACCTAGCAGGATGAAATTTAACAAAGATAAAAGTAAACTCCTGTATGGATTGAACTCCAAAGCTTCCAATGTACAAATACATGTGGGAAGAAAATTGACTAAGAAGCAGAACATTAAAAGAAAGAGTTCAAGGATTTAGTCTACAGTAAGCTAAACATAAAAGCAATTTGATATGGTCTTCAAAGTTAGTGCGATAGCAAACTTTGTTTAGAAATAAGCATATTCAAAACTAAACCCTTTTCTAAAGCTTGTGCTTCTTTCTGTATTTTATACCTTGATTAATGAAACCATTATTTACCCTCTTTGACAACAAGAAACCCAAAGTCCTGACATAAGTCTTTATGATTCTTATACCAATGCTTTCTAACCCCTGTTGTGTTTCAAAATCACTTCTACAGCTTTATAAAAATACAGCCATTTGAACCCCAAAACACTAAGATTTTGTAAGGCCTGACATTTTGCAATTTGGGGGGCTGGATCATGTTTTTATTCCTCAAGAAAAATAATGCAAAATTGTAATTACAAAGCTGGTATGAAAGCAAATATGAGTATTTACTTATATATAATTTTATAATTGTTATTATTATTTTTTAGAGATGGTCTCGCTCTGTCGCCCAGGCTGGAGTACAGTGGCACAATCATGGTTGACTGCAGCCTCAATCTCCTGGGCTCAAGCAATCCTCTCACTTCAGCCTACTGAGTAGCCGGGACTGTAAGCATTTCGTACCCTGCCTGGCTATTTAAAAAAATTTTTTTTTTGTAGAGATGAGATCTGGCTATGTTGCCAGTGCTGGTCTCCAACTTCTGGCCTCAAGCAATTCTCCGTCCTCTGCTTCCCAAACTGCTGAGATCACAGGCATCAGCCACCATACTCAGCCAAAATATGTATTTAGAATGAGAAAAAAAAATCACGATGACAAATATTTAAAAATACACAAATATCAAAAATCAGAAAATAACACAATACTTTTTATTAATTATCTAGCTACTACAAACCTGTAACAATTTCTCTAATTAATTTTTGGCAACATGCTATCTTATTATCTATAATAGTAATTTTGTACAATTTTTTTTCTAGAGGAAATGAATCTCTAATTCATCATTCTTCCTCACATGGTTAATACAATTTTTGCTATTAATTTCATTTTGGAAAAAAATTGTTCTGCTTACATGCATTTCTAGTACTGTTCATTAATTTGGAAAATAGCCTATTAATTTTATTTTATATGTAAAAATATAAAAGAAAGTTCATGACAACTTTTCTTGAGTTTTGACTAAGTTTAGAAATTCTTTGAGTTGATAACATTTGTTCACCAATTTATTCTCCATATCTATGTGGAGTGGCATATAATGAGTTTTATGTGTTTCTCCTCTGTATTAGCCTGTTCTCACTCTGCTAATAAAGATATACCCAAGACTGGGTAATTTATAAAGGAAAGAGGTTTAATGGAGCCACAGTTCCACATGGCTGTGGAGGCCTAACAATCATGACGGAAGGCAAACAGAAGCAAAGGCATGTCTTACAGGGCAACAGGCAAGAGAGCTTGTGTAGGGGAACTCCCATTTATAAAACCATCAGATCTCATGAGACTTATTCACTACCATGAGAACAGTATAGGGGAAACCACCCCTATGATTCAATGATCTTCACCTGCCTCCACCCTTCACTCATGGGGATTATTACAACTCAAGGTAAGATTTGAGTAGGGACGCAGCCAAACTATATCATCATCCTTATCAGTACTTCATGACACATCAACAAGAAATGTTAATCTTCACCTAATATGACATTATCTTTTGTCAATCATATTTTCGAACAACCTAAGAAGCTATTAATCCTCATTAAATTGATTTGAAATTGATATAATGGGAAATTATATGTCACATCTACGTCTAAATGTTGAATAATTTTTGTTGATTTACTATAGGAATAATTCAGCTTGTATATACTTTGAAGATGTTTATGTTGTCTTGTCAAGTAGATTCTTAAGAGGTGGATGTTTCCATTTTGACTATTTGTCCATGGAAATATATTTCTCTGCTTGCAATTTTACAACTCTGATAAATGGAATAATATTTTCCACAGACTGGTTTCTGGATCCACATATTTTTAACTTTGCACCTCCTCCATTACTTATATTCTTCAAATGCCAGGAACCAAATTCACATAAGAAAACAACTCTGGGGCTGGGCGTGGTGGCTCATGCCTGTAATCCCAGCACTTTGGGAGGCCGAGGAGGGCGGATCATGAGGTCAGGAGGTGGAGACCATCCTGGCTAACACGGTGAAACCCCGTCTCTACTAAAAATACAAAAAATTAGCCAGGTGTGGTGGCACGTGCCTGTAGTCCCAGCTACTTGAGAGGGTGAAGCAGGAGAATCGCTGGAACCCAGGAGGCGGAGGTTGCAGTGAGCTGAGATGGCGCCACTGTACTCCAGCCTGGGTGACAGAACAAGGCTCCACCTTCGAAAAAAAAAAAAAAGAAAAAAAGAAAGAAAAGAAAACAACTCTGCCCTTGCAACTTTGTGTCATAATGCCAGTGACCTGCAGTGAATAATTGTTCTTGAAAATTAATCCTACACTAAGACAGCTAGAAATCCTACACTAAGAAAGCTGGCTATACAGGGAAATTACTGGTATTACAGAAATATCTTCTGCCAAACTCAAACATCTACTACTTCAATCCGCAGGCAAAAGTAGCTAAAATGAAAGACAGTAAAAGCAATGCTTATGGATGTTTTCAAGCAACAGAAATATTCATTAAAGTTAAAGATATAATTTTTCATACAGTTCCTTACACTATCTGATGTGTGGTGATGTTCTTTTGATAAATGACATTAAGAGTGACCTTTTATTTAAGATTAAATAAGATGAACAATGTACTTAGACAGAATATATTTGCTATGTCAACAAAATAATAATGATCATAATAAAAAGTAATAATAGTCATCATTGGTAGTGTGCTTATCGGGCACTATTTCATCCTTTTATATATTAACTAATTTAAACATCACAATAACCACATCTACTATTATTGTTCTCATGAGAAAAGTGAGGTACATAGAGACTAGAAACCTTGTCTGAGGCAACACAACCAGTGAATGGCAGAGCCACGATTTGGCCCCAGACATCTTTGCACCACAGTCCTTTATGACACTATACCTTAAAGTCCATCCCACAATTATATAGCAAGACAAATGTTGTTTTATCTATGTTGAAGATGTTGACTAACTACCTTCTTGCTTATGGACTTCATCCCTTCCACTAAGAGCAAGCTATGTTGATTGATGAGCTTTTGTGTCATCAATATCTAGATACTTTCCATTTTTGACTCTCAACAGAGCCATGCTTTAATCATAGGAATATATTTTGCTGATTTGCTAATTTCTTATTTTAAAAACAACTTAGAGAATTTATTTAGAAAGTAGAAAATAAAAAGTATGACTCTAACATCTATTTGGAATATGAAAAAAATTAGAAAGAGTTAAACTATGCAAAAAAAGGCAGAGATACTGAAGTTAGCTTAACAGCTATCCAATACAAACAAGAAAAACCCAAGTTCCTCTCATGCAAATAAGCATTAAGGAAAAGAATATGGGAATGGTTACAGAATGCACCATGGCAAATATTTTTCAAATTTACATAAGAAACTGTACATAAATGAAAAAATAAATTAGGTAATTTACAAGAAATGTTTTACAGGTTGCAATAGGCTATAACTTCATTTGGGATTTTAATTCTCTTCAAATAATGTATGTTAGTAGATAGTTGCAGAAGTATCATTTCCAGTTTTATACATGTTCAACTGTACTGTCAGTCTAATCACTTACCCAAATAGATATATGTATTCATGTGTGTATGCATATATACACACAGACATACATGTAAGTATGTGTGTTCATGTAAGTGTGTATATACATATATATGAATATATATGAGTATATATATATGCATACACATGTACATTGTGTGCTAATTTGATTTAGCTTCCTGGCTTCCTATTTGCAGATTGGGATACATGTTTGTTTGATTTTCTTGGCAAGAGAGTTTAAAGCATTTAAATGATTTAAAAAGTAACGCAAATCTGGTGGACACTCAAAAATGATAAATAATAAGGACAATGAAAACTCTTGTGGTATAATCTATGATTTTTAGTTATGACATAATTACAAAATACTGTGCCAAGTAGCAGAACTAGCAGTAATATGCAAAGTTTCTTGTACATTATTTCTAATCTTTTCCAACATCCCTCACTAATGTTGATCTTGACATAAACATTCAATTATAAAATAACCCTGAATTATTAAGTATAAGCTTCTGAATTGACATAAAGCGATTTCCAATAATTATGTTCAATTTACAGTCCATCCCACTTGTACTTGAAAAATTCTAATTATTTCTTTTTCATAGCAGTAAACCTCTAGGCAAATGGCTGAATGTGTTGTTTATAGATATTTACAGACAGCAATTCACAAATTTCACACATATATATAATGTAGATGAATGCAACACAATAAATTATATTTGCACTTAAAAATGTACTAAAAATCTATGAACAACACACAATATCTATCTATATTGGTATCTATATCTATATAGTATTGTGTCACATGAAGTAGCCTCTGATGCTTTAAAAATGTTATCTTAATTGGTTCTTTTACTCTTCCTTTGATTTTTGTACTGTTAATAGTATGACTCTGAGTTTTGATTAAGAAAACTAAGGCCAGAGAGATTAATACTATGACTTGCCCAAAGTTACATAGCTAATAAATAATGGAGTATTTTCAAAGTTTATCACTATATATAGTGCCACTATAAGGAGAATGCCTAATTCAGAAAACTGGTTTTCATTTTTAATTTTATTTTTAATTCATTATATGGACATACTGAATGAGTAAAATTTAGAATTTTAAAAAATATTTTACTTGATAAATCACAGTTTTGAAAGGATGCATTAAAAGACGTATGTATATGTTAAAACATGTTTCTTTTGTTAAAAACATACATACAAACATCTTACTTATATAATTATAACTAAAAATTATAGTGAAGAAATAGTATTGGGTAAGTACTACATATGATACATAATAGTAAACAGACACACATATACAAAATATTTGGTTTCATTATCATCTTTAAAACTCATAAACATGTAAATGAGTTGGAATTTTGAAAAATTCTTCTTACAGTAAAGGTAATCAGGAAGTAGTGAGTAGTCAATAACCATTTTTTTTTCTTTTTGAGACAAGATATGGTTCTGTCCCCCAGCCTGGAGTGCAGCAGCACAATCTCAGCTCACTGCAACCTCTGCCTCCTGGGCTCAAGCGATCCTCCCACCTCAGCCTCCCAAGTAGCTGGGACCGCAGGCATGCACCACCAAGCCCAGCTACTTTTAGTATTTTTTTTAGAGATGGGGTTTTGCCATGTTGCCCAGACTAAATAACCATTTTTTAATTAATAAAATCAATAGAACTTTACATTACTATAAGTGCTTTTAATGGACACAGACAAACATCTAAAAAATCAACCAGTATTTTAGGGATCCAGCAATGGATTGTAGACTGTAAAAAATGAATCTGACTGTGTTACAAATGTATGGCATAAGTGCACCAAAAATGGGTAAAATGGATCTGGCTTTAGTAGCTGTAGATAACAGTATTTTGACTGAAAATTTTAAGGGTAATAACAAAAGTAACCGTGTATAGACACTGTATTCTAGGTGGTAAATGGTTTCTCCCTGGATGATGGCAGCCAAGATTCTCACAGTCAGAGAAGAAAGCCACAGATAATCAAAATGGCAAGAATGAACCCTATGGTACTAGACTAGAGTTGGAGACATCAGTGTGAACTTGTGTTTGTTTATTTATTTATTTATTTGAGATGGAGTCTCACTCTGTCTCCCAGGCTCGAGTGCAGTGGTGCGATCTCAGCTCACTGTAACCTCCGCCTCCCGGGTTCAAGCAATTCCCTGCCTCAGCCTCCCGAGTAGCTGGAATTATAGGTGCCTGCCACAATGCCCGGCTAATTAATTTTTTGTATTTTTAGTGGAGACCGGGTTTCACCATCACGGCCAGGTTGGTCTTGAACTTCTGACCTTGTGATCCACCCGCCTTGGCCTCCCAAAGTGCTGAGATTACAGGCATGAGCCACCGTTCCCAGCTGAACTTATGTATATTTAACATATATAGAGAGATACATGACATAATATCTTTAACAAGATAGTGACAGAAACAATTATAGATATGTTAATATACATAAATTAGAACATACTTTACCTAAAGTTCTGGCAGCTGAAAGAGCCTCGAAGCAATGACACCCCAGTAACAAGAAGCACACCCAGTGCCCAGATTTTGATTTTAAAATATGATGAGCCAGGAGAAGGACTAAGGACTCCTTTGAGAAATAGTCTGTTCTAGAGCTGATACAAAATGAACCTGGAGCAGCTTTTAGTACCATAACAAAAGGAAATGTTCAAGAAAACAACAGGATGAGGGCATGTCAAAGAGACAGAGAAGCTGAATTAGAGGAACTTCCAACGGTCAAAGCAAAGAAAATGTGAGCATCAACAACAAAAAAAACAGAATATTGAATTGTAACCCAAAATATGAAATAAATACAAATGTGTCCATTTTGATATTAGGTAAATATAAATGGGGCAATAGACAAATCTGTGCAAAATATTCTAAACTGTATATGTAGTAATTCCTTTTTCAGGAGATGGACCTTAGTTCCCACCTTCTTTAGAGAATGGACTGTATTTATGACTCATTTTAAAAGAATTGAATATAGCAAGGGAAAAGAGAAATTTTGCAGTGGAGAAACATGGCACACAGTACTTTAACCAAGTAAACAAGGTTAACATCACCAGGAGATACCGCATTTTCCCCTGATATGATGTAATGAAGAAGACACATTGCCTCAGTGTTATTCTTTCTGAAAACCCCATTAACTCCAGTCTAACTATGAGAAAAAAATAAGACACCCCAATTTGAGAGACATTCTGCAAAATACCTGACCAGTACCTCTTAAAACTGGCTAGGTCATGTAAAACACAGAGAGACTAAGAAATGCTCACAGACCAGGTGAGAGTTAGGAGACAGGATAACTAAATGCAATGTGCTACCCTGAACAGGATCCAAGAACAGAAAAGGGACATTGATAGAAAAACTGGTGAGAATGAAGAAAGTCTGAAGTTTAGTTAATAGTAATGTACTAATAATATTGGTTTATTTACCTTGACACTTGTCCTGTGGTAACATAAGTCAACATCAGAAGGGGAAACTAAAACTTAGTAGGGGTATTAGGAAACACTATATACTATCTTTGCAACTTTGCTATAAACATTAAAAAAAAATTCAAAGAAAAAATGTTTCTTTAAAAAATACATAATAACCACAATGCTGTTTAAGTTCTATAAGAATTTAGCTTTATTTATACCTCTCAAATGCCATTTTCCAAACTCAAAGATTGCATTTTGGAAACTTGTTCCTTCTTCCAGGGCTGAATTGGCTTAATAACAGGTTATGTTCCTTCAATATGGGAACGACATGACAGACAGCTGGATCTGTGGGTGGTGAGCCCATATACAGAGTTTGCCTTGTGTGTTGGGAACGCCTGCAGTGCTTGCTGCTGTGAAATCACCAGGGTCAACTGCCGGAATCTGACAGTAACGGGCCCTAGAGAGAATTGAAGTGACATGAAAATATCAGAAATTCAGAGAACAACAACATAAAAAGGAAGTTTCATCTTCACTGAATCACGCTGCCCAGTTAAGAAAGACATTATTATTCCTATACATGAGTAAGTTACTCATTTTTTTCTAGAATCTTTTTATTTATTATACTAGATATATTTTTCAGGTTGATGCTACAGGAATTGTTTTTGAACATCTATATGAGAAAAAAAGGCTGAGAACATTAAAAAATAAAAGTTTGTAAAATATAAAGCTTCCTAAATAAAGCACTGTTGGCTCTGAAGTTCCAGTGTTGCCATACTCTCCCTGCAATGGGGATCTGGTGGCTTCCACTCGCTTCCAGATCAAGTGCTAAATAATAGCATCTTCTCTTCTCCATGTCTCAACCATCAATGAAAGGCTTACTTGACCTAAATGATGCCCCATTTCCTCCTAAAAATGTTGCCTTCCATTTTAACCCACAAAATCCTAAAGTAAAAGGATAATTAGGAAAAATATATGTAAGTTCACAATTTCTTAACTGAAATATATGGGATCAGATTTGTTTCAGAATTTTGAATTTTTCTAATTTTAAAAAGATAATTAATTGGTTAGAATGTATATTACATAATATTTTGCCTGGGCAGAAAACAATATTCATGCGCATTAATGTTTCTGCAGTAAAATTTATGAACATTCATACTAAGTGGACTGACTAAAGACTTCAAGGGTTTTGGCAACAAATGTGCTCAGGTCTTTTTTTGGTTTTGCCATAATACAGACTTAAAGCCTTCTCAGTTTTCAGAACTTCTTTTCTGACTTCAGAATTGCTGGTAAAAGATTTGAACCTATATAAAGTGTTTCTGTTTCTTCTCATTCAAAAATTCATCTGTTTGAAATCTATGCTCAACTACAAGTACACAGAATCTCAACATTTCCTGTGGATCATTGGCATGCAGTTTTACAGAGCAGAATCCCACTTGGTGCCTGGATCTGAGAGTACCATCCAGTTTGTCATCTGGAAATCTCCAAAGCTCCCAGTTTGGGTGATAAATAACAGGATGACCACAGTGAAATGTTTTCTAAGAAAGTATTGTTCTACTGCAGCAACGCTTAGACAAGAAAGCAGAAAACAACAAATTTGGGATGCATGTTGCTTTGATTAAAAGCAATAATAAGTCATCATTATTTCATTAAAAATAAGTTTTAAATAATCATAATAATGTATCTAATTTAATCATCAAGTCATTTGCAAATACTTATACAGTATTCTACCTTCCCACTTCTGTCTCCAGTTCCTGCTCCCCAGGGGCAACCAATTAACATTTGGGGTGTTTTTTGGACAATTGGTTCTCTTCATTTTGCTAACAGATATTTCTTAAGTATCTACTGTGCACCACACAGTTTAACTGAGTAGTAAATAATAATGACGCGCACAGTTAATAGGCAAATTAGATAATAGGTTAGAGGGTAAAGTACCATGGGAAAAACAGAGCAACAGAGCAGGTACAGTTATTAGAAGTGCTGTGGGATAGAGGATGGTATGTAATTTAAAACAACGTATTCAGGGCAGGCCTCACTGGAAAACATGTGGTTGAGAAGAATTTTAGAGATGAAGGAGGTAGGCATGGAGATATTTATGAGACAGAGTTCTACTGAGCCAAAGGCCTGTTAAAATACCTGAAAGCTTAGGGAGCAATTTGTTATTTTATAGATTGTGCTTTTGGTGTTGTGGTGTTGTTTCCAAGATATCTTTGCCTAAGCTAAGCATGTGAAATTTTCTCCTAAGCTTTCTTCTGGAAGTTTTATAACTTAACATTTTAAATTTAGGTGTATTATCTATTTTAATTAATGTTTAAAAAATTAATTTTAAAATTAATTATTTTAAAATATATTTTTTGCGTATGAATATCTGATTGTCCCAGCACAATTTATTGGAAAGCCTATAATGTCTCCATTACCTTTGTGCCTTTGTAAAAATTAGTTTTCTATATACGTGTGGGTTTATTTCTAGATTTTTTATTCTGTTCTTATTTGTCCATCTTTGTGACAATAACATGATGCTTTAATGACCATAGCTCCCGCATGCATTTTAAATTTATGTATGTTGTACGCCATGAAATACCTTGTTATTATAATTACACACGTAATATATGCGTTATCATATCTTTAATTATATATGTATTATTATACATGTAATTATATATGCTATGTACATTATTATTGAATAAGAATATGCTATTATTTTGTGGAAACAGCCAGATAAACAGTCTCTTTTTCTTTCATAGAGACTTACATAATAAGGAAAAACAACCTTTACATGTACCCATATTGTAACATTTCTAGTGCTCTTCATTTCTTTGGATAGATCAGATATTTATCTGTTAACATTTTCATTCTATCATAAAGACTTCCTTTAACATTTCTTCTAGTGTGAGACTGTTGGTGATAAATTTTTTCAATTTTTATATATCTGAAAATGTCTTTATTACACCTTCATTTTTGAAAGATGTGTCTTCCTGTTATAAAATTCTAGGTTCATAGTTTAAAAAAAATTTTCTTTAAAGGTATTGCTCTACCAACTCCTTGCTTGTACTGTTTACAGCAAGAAATCTGGTGTCATTTCCATTTTTGTTCCTCTAAATGTAATATTTTTTCCTATGGCTGCTTTTAATAATTTATTTTTATTAATTATATTAAGAAATGTTATCATGATATATCATCGCTTAGTTTTCTTCATATTTCCTTGAGTTTTACTAAATATTATGATTTGACTGTGTTTCTGAAATTCTATGTGTTGGAAACTTAATCCCCAATGTGTCAGTATTAAAGCTGTGGTCTTTAATAGCCAGGTGTGGTGGTATGCACCTATAGTCCCAGCTACTGATGAGGCTAAGGTAGGAGAATCACTTGAGCGCAGGAGTTTGAGGATTCAGTGCACTCCAGCCCGGGTGACAGAGCAAGATCCTGTTTCAAAAAAAAAAAAAAAAAAGCTGGGGCCTTTAAGAGGTGATTGGATCACCTAATGATTGGATCATAAGGGCTCTGACATTATGAATGGATTAACCCATTCATAGATTAATGGATAGATTGGTCATCATGGGAGTGGAACCTGTGGCTTTTTAAGAAGAGGAAGAGAGAACAAAGTAAGCACGTTAGCACGCTCAGCCCTCTTGTCATGGCATGCTCTGCATCACCTCTAAACTCTGTAGAGACCCCACCAACAAGAAGGCCCTCACCAGATGCCTCCAGAATTGTAAGAAATAAATGCCTTTTTCTTTATAAATTACCCAGTTTTAGGTGTTCTGTAATAAACAATAGAAAACTGGACTAAGACACTGAGTATGTTAGATCTATTTGCTTATAGTTTTTATCAAGCTTGGAAATGTTCAGCCATTATTTCTTCAAATATCTTTTTAGTTCATCTTTTCCCCCTCTTTGTTGGGGATACAATTACTCATAAATCAGGCTGCTTGAAGTTGTTCCAGAGCCTGTAGTCTTTTCCTTGTTGTAGATTCTTCTTTTCCCCCTCTGTGTTTCATTTTTGGTAGTTTCTGTTGCTAGGCCTTAAATTTCATTTATATTTTCTTTTACAAAATCTAATCTGTGGTCAGTCTCATCCAGTTATATTTTATCTTGACATTGTAGTCTCTACAATTTCAATTTAATTCTCTTTTATATCTTCTTTGTCTCTAACTTTTTCAACCTATGGAGTATAGCTAAAATAAATGCTTTAATATCCTTCTCTGCTAATTCTAGTATCTGTGTTAGTTCTGCATCAGTTTTGATTGATTTATTATTCTCGTTATTATGTGTTGCTTTTACTTTTCTAATAAGATGCCTGGTAATCTCTGATTAAATGCCAGACCTTGTGAATTTAACTTGGTAGTGCTAGATATTTTGTATGCCCATACATTTTCTTGAGCTTTGTTTTGAGATGCTATTTGTAAACAGTTTAATCTTTTCGGGGATTGTTTGTATTCCTTATTAAAGCGTTCTGAAGCAATGCTCAGTGTGGGGTTAATTATTCCTCAGTACTGAAGAAGGACTTTTCCTAAATACTCTATGCAAAATCCTATAAATTGATGATTTTTTTCAATCCAATGTGGCCAAGATAGAACAGGTACTGTCGTTGGCCCTGCGTGAGTCCCCAACACTGTTTTCTGTAATCATTTTGGATGATCTCTCTTATCCTAAGGTAGTTTGCTCACACATGTAAGCTGATCAGTACTCTGTTAAATACTCAAGGAGGACTATCTGCAGATCTCTGGGATTCTCTCTATGTGCAGTTCTCTTTTCTCTGGTACACTGTCTTATGAGATTAAGTGCCTTGATTGCCCTGAACTCTCAACTCCATCTTCTCAACATAAGATGAGAGATTTCTAGTTTCCCCTTAAGTTTTCCTTCTCTGCACCGTGGGCGAACATTCTCTCAATGCAACACACTGCAGCAATTGTCGGGCTCACCATTTGTGTGTGTGTGTGTCATCTCTCAGGAATTACTATTCTTCATTGATTGATGTCTAGTGTTTTGAAATTTGTTGTTTTATGTGTTTTGTTTGGGACTGTTTGCGGTTTCAAACGCAAGAGTAATTCTGTCCTCTCTACTCCATGTTGGCTTTTACTGCTATATCATATCGCAAAAGATTGCTGAAGGAGTGTCGAGGGAACATTCCTCAGCATTCCTCAGGAGTGGGCCTGATTGCTTCGGCCAGTCCTTTTTTTTTTTTTTTTTTTTTTTTTTTTGCTAATTAGACCAGGATCCTTGCTTGGAACCATAGTCATAGGCTACAACATAACATCATGTTTTTTTTAAAAACTCACAGATCTCAAGAAGTTACCTCCAAAATGCTAAAAAGCAATCTGTATCCTTGACACTAAACATAGTTTTGAAACAAATCTATGACTCTGTGTGGTTCTTTTGTTTTTCCTTTGTATAGGTATTTTATGGTGCTTGTCTGTATAATTTAGATGTTATGCTCATACTCTAATATAGTATTGTCATTTTTATTACAAAGGAAAATTTGATATTTTGTCCTATGGAATTCTAAGACAGTTTAGCTAGTTTGTTAAAATTTCTCTCTCTCTTTCTCTCTCTCTCCCCTCGTGGTGCTATTAGATATAGATATAGATATAAAAATATTTATTTATTTATAGATTTTCATCCTTCCTGGCTTCTAACTCCCACAGTTTTTGTTATAATGTTGAGGCACTTTAGGCCACAGGAAATAGAATCTCTGTTTCTGACCTCCTGTTCTCTTTCACCTCAGGACTGTAATCTGATTGTGGGTCAAAAACCCCCCATTCTAGGGAGATTCCTGCCCCATACCCTAGAGAAGGAATGCTACACAGAGAGGCCAAGAAAAGTCAGAACAGACAGGCCTCGCTAGGTCTAGATCCTGCGTTTTTTTTGTCTAATCACATTTGTATATGGTTATTAGTCATGCCTACGTAGTGAAGCTCTCATAAAAGCCCTAGAGGACAGGGTTTGGGGAGCTTCGACTAAATGTTTAAGCTCCTGGAGGGTGGTGCCCCAGGGGGGCCAATGCAAGCTGTGCACCCCTTTCCCCATACCACTTCCTATGTCTCTTCATCTGTATCTTCTGTAATATCCTTTATAATAAACCAGTAAACATAAGTGTTTCCCTTAGTAATGTGAGCTGCTCCATCAAATTAATCAAACCCAAAGAGGGTATTGTAGGAACCCCAACTTGAAGCCAGTCAGTCAGAAGTTTCAGAGGCCCAGACTTGTGATGATGTCTGTGGGGAGGTAGTCTTGGGGACTGAGCCCTCATCCTGTGGGATCTGACAGTATTTCCAGGTAGATAGTGTCAGAGTTGAACTGGAAGACACCCAGTTGGTGTCCACTGCTTGGTGGTGGGGGGAAACCCCAATACATTTGCTCATAAAAATCTTCTGTGTTGACGATTGTTGTGGTGTGAGGAAGGAGGAAACTTCCTCCTTGTTGTGGTGTGAGGAAACTGTGAAAACACAGTTTCACGGAGTTTTTCTGTAAATAACCCTCCATAATCATACTTTTATTCAAAGTGTTTAACGCAGTTTAAAAACGCCTTCATGGATTTATTTGTAAACTAGGCAATTTGACTGAACTCCCTTTGTAAGAGTGGTTAGGGAATCTGTAGTTAACACTAAAGATGAAGGTCATAGTCTAGTTTTCCTCTCTTATATAATCAAAACTGAAAAGCTAAAACCACTGAAAATTACTATGTTCTATTATAAATGGCACACTAAAGTAAATCAGCTTTTGCAAATATATGTATATACATATATATATATTTAATTCTATATAGTAAAAAAAGAATTACTGTTATAAGGTAAATCTAAACTTCTGTAACTATTTTAACCATCTTGAAGTAATCTTACTTCATGGTTGAAAAGGCAACTTACGTAACTTTTCAGGCAAACTGGGAAACATTTACACAGATGAGCAGTAACCTAGCATGAGGTTCACCAGAAATGCAAAAGTTATCACAGGGAAGCCTGACAGGAAGTGTTCCCCACCCAGAATTACCACAGGCACACTTCTTTATTCCCGCTATTGCAAATACGTTTAAGTCAATGTGGATCCTCAGAGGGAAGGAGAATAAATGGAAAATAAAGAGAATATTTCTTTCATAATACCCCTTGAGGGATTTGCACACAGTCATTTAAAAATTACCATCCTAGACCTACATTATAGATTCATAGTAAATGTACCACTTTGTCTTGAAGAGAAGTATTTGACTAATTGTTTTACCCTGAGTTCTCCAGAAAGACAGAACCAATAGGATATAATAGATAGATAGATAGATAGATAGATGATAGATAGATAGATAGATAGATAGATAGATAGATAATAGATAAGAGGGGCCTTATTAGGTGAGTTAGCTTACACAATTATAGAGACTGAGAAGTCTCACAATAGGCCATCTGCAAACTGGAGTCCTAAGAAAGTGAGTAATGTGGCTCAGTCCAGGTCTGAAAGCTGTGGTGTAACTCTCGGTCACAGCCTAAAGGCTTGAGAACCCAGAGGACCACTGGTGCAAATCCAGAGTTCAATGGTCAGAGACCTTCAGTACTGGTGTCCAAGGGCAGAGGAAGGAGAGTGTCCTGGCTTCTGGACACAGAACAGAAATTTGTCCTTCCTCTGCCTTTCTGTTCCATCTGGTCCCCAGGCAAGTGGATGGAGCCCGCTCACATTAAGGGCTGATCTCCCCCATTCAGTCCTTTAACTCACACACCAGTCTCCTCTGGAAACACCCTCACCCTCAGAGAGACACTCAAGAATCGTGCTTTATCAGCTATCTAGGTAGTCCTTAATTCAGTCAGCTTGACACCAAAAATTAGCCATCAAACTCATGTAAACAGCTGAGTAAAAAGAAACTTGCCCAGAATTCATTGGTTTGCAAAGAACACTTATCCACTCCAGCGGTTAATCTCTAAAAGAACTACATGCCCATTACACTCAACAAGCAAAGAAATATTGAAGGTAAGTAGAGAGATAAAGAAACATAGAAGGCCAGGCATGGTGGCTCACACCTGTAACCCCAGCATTTTTGGAGGCCGAGGCGGGTGGATTGCTTTGAGCTCAGGAGTTCAAGACCAGTCTGGGCAACATGACAAAACCCCCTCTCTACAAAAAAAATAAAATATTAGCCATGTGTGGTGCTGCACGCCTGTAGTCCCAGCTACTTGGGAGGCTGAGGCTGGATGCTTGCTTAAGCCTAGGAAGCTGAGGTTGCAGTGAGCCTAGATCATACCACTGCACTCCAGCCTGGGCAACAGTATGAGACCTTGTTCCAAAAAAAAAAAAAAAAAAAAAAAAAAGAATGTAGAATGTAGTGTGTTTCCCACAGCAGGCTAATAAAGACTTACTTTCAAAAAACAAACAAAAAATATGAGTTTTCTGGTTCATATGCTCACTATGCATGACACAAAATAACAAACACAGATTATTTGAAATAGAAAGAAAATTATAGGTAAGAAAATCCTCACAAAACTCTCCTCTGGGAAGATTTCTTGTATACAAAGTTTGTGACATAGGTATTTTTTCTTAGCAACATAAAATATGCATTTTTAATGTTTTTGTTATTATCTTGTGGTTGGGCCAAATTCCTGAAGTTGGGAAATTTGTATTTTACCTTAATCTGAGGGAAAATTAACAAGAATTAACGACTTGCCGTGCTTGACTTACAGCGGATTATAGCTAATTTGTTGAAACATATTGAAAGAGAAACCAGTATTTTGAGAACAATGCTAACTTATTGCTCTTTTTTTTCCTTGTGAATCATAAGGCATAGAAGGTAGAATTAGGGAAGAATATATATAGTCATGTGCTACATAATAAAATTTCAGTCTATGATGGACCTCATATGTAATACTGGTTCCATGCCACCAGGACCACTGGTATATTAAAAATGTATTATTTTTTACTATACCTTTTTATTTATTTATTTATTTTAAGAAATGTGGTCTCACTCTGTCACCCAGGCTAGAATGCAGTGGCGTGATCACAGCTAACTGCAGCTTGAAACTTCTTGGCTAAAGAGATTTTCCTGCCTCAGCCTACCCAAAAGCTGAGACTACAGGCACACACCACCACACTCTACCAATTAGTTTTTTCTTTCTTCTCTCTCTTTTTTTTTTTTTTTTTTTTGTAGAGATGAAGGAGTCTCACAATGTTGCCAAGACTTGTCTCACACTCCTTGCCTCAAGAGATCCTCCCACTTTGGCTTTCCAAACACTGGGAATACAAACTAGAGTCACCACATCTGGCTTGTACCATTTTAATGTTTATATATTTAGATACACAAATACCATAGTGTTACAATTGTCTACAGTATTCAGTGCAGTAACATGCTGTACAGGTCTGTAGTCTAGGAGCAATAGGCTATAACATAGAGCCTCGGTGTATGGCAGGCTATGCCATCTAGGTTTATGTAGGTATACTCTATGATGTTCATACAATAAAATCACCTAAGAAAGCATTTTTCAGATCATATCCCTACCCTATCATTAAATGACATATGACTTCATATATATTCATTCTGTGAAAGAAACTTAACTCACGTCTAAGTCAATGGGTGAAATTACTGACAACTCTTATTTCTATGAACTCAGGATGAGTTTAATGAATGCATTTCCCTCACTCTATTCTGGTCTGCAAGACTGGACACAATACAAAGACAATAAATATGGATGGTTTATGGGGAAATAAATCATACTCTTTTCAGGAAGATAATATTAAAAAGTAATAGGATTTTATAACTTACATTTACAATTTTTATTAGAGATATGTACACTACTGTTTCTGTATTTTGTCTAAGAAAACATGAATCTAAAATTGGTAAATATTTTATTAATAAAAAAAGCTTGTAGAGAGAGTGAATCTAGTACTTCCTTTCAGAGTAAAACACAGCTTCAGCCTGGACTTCACAGCATATCCGCAATATATTTAAAATACTTAAACAATTAGAGTTCACTGCTCAAAGTAGGACCTAAATAATTTTTGGAACAGGAGAAGATATTCTATATTTTATATGATTAAACAAAAGCTGTGGACTTGACAGGACTGAGCAAAAAAGTATCCTGGAATTTGAAAACTAAATATATTGTTAGAAAATTCAAGAGCTGAGTGAAATTATTTGTATAGTTATCCAACTTAGACTTTTCAGAAACTGCTTTTAATACCTAAATTATGAACTTGTTTTTTTCCCTCAATTTGTACTACAAATACTTACATTTTGATTTATCATATGCAGTTTAAAGTTTCAATATGCAATATTTGATTAAGAATAATGTATATTTATATATTACAAAACATAACACAAATAAATAACCATGACCACATTACCATACCTAAATGGAATCTTACCAATAAATTTGGCTATATATGTATACAGCTGCAAATGTTATCTCTCTGCACTGTTGCCAAACAACTATATTGAATTTTGGAACTACGGCATGAATTTAATAATTTATCACATATTTTTATTTTTAAAATTTGCTAGCTTTGGACTTTATAGAAGCATACTATTCTATAAAATTTATTTTTCTAAAGATTCACTCATGTTATTGAATGTTGCTGTAGTTTGTTCAATATCATAGCTGTAAAATATTTATTTAGTGCAGTATCCATACTCCCTTCTGTCAATGAATATTGAGTTATATTCAGTGTACTCCCTTATGAAAGGCATTGCATTAATAATCTATCTTATGTCCCCTACTGCATGCTTCCAAGACTGTAAAACAATATTGCAGGATTAGAGTGTATTGAATGTTATTGTATTCCAAAGCAGTATTTATCAACATACATTCACAACAACAAATTATACAAGATCTTATTTCATATTCTCCCCCAAACTGGGTATTAACAGGGCTAAGGGCCCAGTACCTATTGACCAAAGAGTGAACATTGTAGACAGCAGTAAACTCGTCTGCAATGTTCACTCTTTGGTGAATAGGTAATGGATCCTTAACCTGGGTACTTCAGCTGTGAATCATACCCACTCTGCAAATGGTATGTACCTTGACCCATCTCTTCACTCTCTTAGAATTTGAGGGCAAGGGGAGCCGATGCAAATATACTGATATTCATGCCATTTGCTGTGCTGTGAGTGATAACGTCTCATTACTCTTAGGAATCTTTTGTCTTCTTCAACATCTAGGACACTGTGGCAAGCTAACATGTGACCTTGCAACTTGAGTAAAATCTCTGACCTGTCACAGTTGTAAGATATAAACTAAAAGAAGATACTTGTTATATCTAAAACCAACAAATACTTAGGATCCAATATATAGAAAGAATTCCTGTGGATCAAATAAAAGAAAAATAACAAAGTACAAACAAGCAAAAGAAAGGACTTATAATTTAAAATAAGAGTAAAAGGATGAATAAACACATGAAAATATGTTCTTAACTTCATTTGTAATCAATGAAATGATAAAGGAGATCACCATAAGATAGAATTTTATGCCCACTAGTTTGGCTACAATTAAGATATGTGTTAATACCCAGTTTGGGAGAGAATATGAAATAAGATCTTGTATAATTAGTTATTGTGAATGTATACTGATAAATACTGCTTTGGAATAAAATAACATTCGATATATATGTAGAAAGTTACAGAGTTGCCTACGTGGTCAGCTATAGAAACTGCTATATATTAAGATAGCTTTCAGTTTCTGGAAAGAAAGCTAGTAATATTTTCTTTTCTTGATATTCTGTGACAAACTTATTTATTTGAAGGAAGAATTACCTGTTTCTTGACATTTTGACAAAATTCATGTGAAATATCATATCAGTTGGTGTTTCAAGAAATATGTTTTAAAATGATTTAATTAATTTAATGATTAAAATAAAACATTTAAAGAATTTTTCCTAGAAAGTTGTCCATTTCTTCTAAGTTATAAATTTATTACCATACCAATTTTCTTAGTATTATATTTTTAAACCTTTGTTAGACCTATACCAATGTTTTGTCTTTTAAATCATTACCTTCATTTTTACCTTCTCATTTTTCTCAATTATCTTCAAGAAAAGATATTATAACTTAATTAGTCATCTCAAATAATCAGCTTTGGCTTTGCCAACATCTTCTATTATGTTTTTGTTTTCTGTATTATTTCTTTTGCAATATAATCATTTTTCTTGTTATTTTGCTTATATATTAAGTTTAAATAATTATTAACATTCACATTATTTTATGGTAAGCATTTATTAAAATAATCATCTTTTGAGTACCCTTGTCACTATTACATTTATCGATATGCATATATAAAAATTCTAATCGCTTTATAAATTACATCTCTTTGAACTATGAGATTTTTCTCATAGAACTAATATTTCTTTGAACTATGAGATTTTTATCAGTGTGCTTTGAAACATTCAATTTATATAATTTTTGTTTTCTATTTTGATTGACTTAAATTTACTTGTATTATCATTACAGGATGAGTTTTATATCATTGTCAGCATGTAATAGTTACTGAAAATAGATTTTTATTTTAGAATGTGGCCAGTTGTTTGCAAATGTTCTATATGTGCTCAAGCAATTCACACATTATTGTGTTTATAGTTCTACATGATCTCAATAAATGAAAGTCGTTATTGTGTCATTCAAAACTTTACGTTTTTATTGAATTTTTGTCTGTAAAACATCTTTCTTAGTCCATTTTGTGTTGTAATAACATAATGCTATAGACTAGGTAATCTACAAAGAAAAGACATTTATTTCTTTTTGTTTGTTTGGTTTTGGTTTTAAGGAGCAAAAAGTTTAATAGGCAAGAAAGAAGGAAGGAAGAAGAAAACAGCTCCCCCATACAGAGGCAGAGGGAAGAGGGATTCGAATGAAGAGAAAACCCTGAGTGCAGCGGAAATTAGCCAGTTATATGAGGAGGCTGGAGGAGGTGGTGTCTGATTTGCATAGGGCTCAGGGGATTGGTTTGATCCAGAAGAAAGACATTTATTTCTTACCATTCTGCAGGCTGGGAAGTCCAAGTTCAAGAGGCCCACGTATCTGGCGAGGATCTTCTTGCTGCTTCATTTCATTGTGAAAGGAGGAAGGGCAAAAGAAGGTAAGAATTAGAGAACTTGTGGGAAGGGGGCCAAACTCATTATTTTATCCCACTCCCACAAAAACAACATTAATCAGTTCATCCGGCTGAAGCCCTCATGAGTTAAGCGCCTCTTAAAGTTGTGTTGGGGATTAGGTTTTAACACATGAACTTTGAGGGAAAAATTCAAACCATAGCAACATCAAAATTGGAAGAACTGTGATGCAATAGCATACCATAATTAAGGGAGGAGACCACCTCTCATATTGTCTTATGCTCAATTTCTGCCTCCAAAGAAAGAAGAAGTAAAAGCTAGAAGGCAGAAATGAAATCCACAGGCAGACAGCCCAGCGCCACGCCCTGGGCCTAGTAGTTAAAAATCAACCCCTGGCCGGGCGCGGTGGCTCACACCTGTAATCCCAGCACTTTGGGAGGCCGAGGCGGGTGGATCATGAGGTCAGGAGATCGAGACCATCCTGGCTAACAAGGTGAAACCCCGTCTCTACTAAAAATACAAAAAAAAAAAAAAAAATTAGCCGGGCGCGGTGGCGGGCGCCTGTAGTCCCAGCTACTCGGGAGGCTGAGGCAGGAGAATGGCGTGAACCCGGGAAGCGGAGCTTGCAGTGAGCCGAGATTGCGCCACTGCAGTCCGCAGTCCCGCCTGGGCGACAGAGCGAGACTCCGTCTCAAAAAAAAAAAAAAAAAAAAAAATCAACCCCTGACCTAACTGCTTATGTTATCTATGGATTCCACACATTGTATGGAAAAGCATCGTGAAAATCCCTGTCCTGTTCTGTTCAGTTCTGATTACTGGTGCATGCAGCTCCCAGTCACGTACCCCCTGCTTGCTCAATAGATCACGACCCTCTTAGAGTTGTAAGCCCTTAAAAGGGACAGGAATTGCTCACTCAGCTGGGAGCTCGGTTTTTTTGAGACGTAAGTCTGCCTATGCTCCTAGCCAAATAAAGCCCTTTCCTTCCTCAACTCGGTGTCTAAGGGGTTTTGTCTGCAGCTCATCCTGCTACATAATGACAAATTTGTTATTTTTCTCTACTGTTGTATTTATTGTCGATTCATATTGTTTAGACTATTTTATCATTTTCTTAATTTGTTAATTGAATGCTTTATCTTAGAGTAACAGCCCCCAATTTTTTGTTTTGCTTTGTTTTGTGTTCTCATATTTTTTCATGCCTTTATTTTCAAACTTTCTATAGTCTCATGATTTTAGTGTATATCTTATAAATAGCATATAATTAGATTTTAATATGCAATCTGATAATTATTTTGTTCATGTGACACAATTAGTCTATTTAAATTCACTCTGATAATGAAACTATGTAGATTCTCTTAAAATATCATTTTCTGTGTTTGGTTTTTCTATATTTTTCTACTCATGTGCCCATTTTAGGTGGTAGTAATTATGTAATTATTTTTTATTATTTAGTATTTGTCTTAGAAATTTTATCATGAGTATTTAACTTATCAAAGCCAATAAGCAACATATTAATCCATCTCCTAAATGATAAATGAAAAATAAAATTATACCATTTTATTACCCTGTGAGCTATTTTGTCATGTAATTTAGTTCTTTTTATTTCACAAGTTAGACATGATAAATAAAATACACAACTAAATTGTACCCAAATGAATAATTTGATTCTTCTATGTTTGTATTCCTGCTTACCAACTCTGTTTTATATATTGTTAAAGTATTTTTAGATCTGAGCTTTAATTACATAAAAGGAAATACGCTTTTCTAAGCTTATAATTCAAATGCTATTGACAAATATATTTTCAGGTAACTGTTACTGTGTAGCCAAGATCACTAAATGTATGCACCCCGTCTACCTAGAAACTACTAATCCACTTTTTTTTTTTACTGTAGTAATGATTTTTCTTGAATTCCATGTAAAGAAACTATAGCAATTATAAAGTATATACTCTTTGTCATCTTTTTTCTTCAAAAAGCAAAGTGATTTTGAGTTTCACCTATGTCACTTGTGTATCAGTTTTTTTTTTATTTTTTGATGAATTGTATTCCATTGATGGATATATCACATTTTTTATCCATTCATGAATTGACGATGGACATTAAACTTTTTATTTTGCAGTGATTGTGAATGGAATTATATAAAAATTTGATTATAAGTATTTGTGTGGACATGTTTTAATTAATCTTGGGTATGTATATCAAAAATAGGAATCAATGAATCACATGGTGATTGTATGTTTAACTGTGTAATACACTGTTCAACTGTTATCTAAGTAGGCTGTATCTTTTTTCTAAATCTCAATGATATATAAGAATTTGCATTGCTTACTATAGCTATACTTTTAAATTTAGGATACTTTAATAGGTACATAGTGATATTTAATTGTGGTTTTAATTTGCATGTGATTTGTATTTTAATTTAATTTGTATTTCATGGCTAGTGATGGTGAGCATGTTTCCAAGGGCTTATTAGCCATCCATTTATCTACTTTAGTGAAGTATTTTTTTCAGATCTTTTATTCATTTAATATTGAATCATTTGTCTTCTTATTGAGTTGGAAGAGTACATAATATATTCTGGATGTAAGTTGTTTAACTGATATGTGTTTTGAAAATACTTTCTCTCAGCCTGTGGCTTCCTTTTCATTTGTTTATCTTTCAAGGAATAATAATTACTAATTTTGAATTAATTTATTTATCACTGATTTTCTTCTATAGTTGGTGATTTTGTGTCCCTCGAAAACATTTGCCTAATCCAATAGTTAAAAAATTTTCTCCTAGATTTTCTTCTAGAAGTTCTATAGTTTTATGACTTATAAATAGGTCCAGAATCAGCTAAGACATCTGGCACTCTAAGGCTAAATCCTCCTGCTAGTGTATGTATTTGAGTTGGGGACACATTTAATGTTTGAACATTGTTCAAGTAAAAACTAGGACAAATTTGAAAAGTTAGTAAATGAAGTTGCCTTAAGCATAAAGACATACATTTCCTAAATTCTATGTATCTTGCATTTTGAGAGTTTAGTTATATGGCTCCCCATATACTGGATTAATCATTTACCAGGGTTGATATATCTAGCTAATAAGATTCTGAAAATCCTATGTAGGATGAATTTCCCATAGTAAAAAAGTTCATTGGTTTTTTAGTACTACATTTCCATAAGAATTTATATACCACACAATTTTTTTTTATAACACTGGTGAAAGCAGTAGTAGTTGAGAGAGACATGAAACTTATCACAGTTACAAAATACACAGGAAACTGATTTGAGGGAAGAAATCATAATGAAAGGCCCATTGCTTACTCTAGAATTTCAGCAGGAATCTACAGTTGAACGAAGTTTTGTGATTTTTTTTTGAATGGTAAGAATTTTATACATCATAGTAAAAACACACAAAAATACAAAACAAACTTCTATTTTCTCTTCTGCTTACCTCCTAATCAAGTTATTACTATATTTATGTCTTTTGTGTTCAATCCAAACTGCTAACAGCAGTCACTCACAGCTTACACATCCCCAGTGAAATAATTTACTTCTAAATCCACTTGGATCTAGTAAGTCTTTCTACAGCTAAAATAAATAAAGTCAGACTCAAAAACCAAAATATTTTTTAAATGAACTTTATGTTGGAAATTAACACAGTTTCCCACTTTATTAATATGGAAGTTATTTTTCTTTTGTATCTATTCTAACCTAAATTGTTATTTTAACATATTTTGACAACCATTTCTGTGAAAGACAAATGTTCATAGACACTAGAATAGTTTTATAAACAAAATGTGGTTTGTACAATTCAAGAAAGCATAATTTAGTGAGGGAGAATTGTAAACTCTTTTCAAACAACATAATAAAAATCTACATTTGAGGTATATAGAAGGATTCTTTGAGAATGTTGAAGAAGGCTAGCAAATACTTTCACAGATGAGGCTATAGTCTATTAGTTTCTGACCAGGAATACTATCAGTGGTGAAAGTAAAAAGTGAAAAAATTAGAGGTAAAAAATCAGAGGTAATAAACGTGAAAAGTGACCAAATATGGAGAATAAAGTACATTTTCAAAAGAAGGCTTGTCAGGTTTTTTATTTGGGGGAGTCAGTAATTGATTATTACATTAATGATAACAAGTGTTAAAGTAGGTCATAATGTATGTGTTAGTTTTGTGATAAAAATATTACAGTGAAAGAAATCAGAGCATTTTGTAAAATGTTTCAGTGGTTCATCACATTTTCAGAGTCCCTTAAAATCCTTTAATTTTACATTAATTTACATAATTATTTACCTAATAAAATCCAATATGTTTTTAGGATTTCTAATTTAATATTAATTTGCTTTGAATTTTTATATGTCCACTATATCTTTTAAAGAATAATCATGAGTAAAATGTAGGAGGATGTTTTAGTGGGAATAATTTTGTAAGTGTTATTGCATTGTTGAATTTTCATTTTGGGGGGAAGATTTATTTTCTTAGGCCATCTTTTTATGTCAGAGACTCAAATGAAGTATACTCAGATAATTATTGCCTATGGTTGAAGGAAAGGCCAAGTTAGCTACATAACAATGATATTCTATGTTTGGGGTAATACCAATTAAGTCTTCTTCATGTAGAAAATAATCCTTCATTGCTATTTTCTACTGCAGAGGGTACAGAGTTGGGGGCAGATGAAAAACTCATCCATGAATAGAATAGACCTCTAAAATACACATTAAAAAAGAAAAAGCCTCACATAAAAAACTCATAATAATGCCACTTAAAATTACTGTTAACAGGTTCAGTAAAATCCAAGTTGTATCAAGGTATCAGTAACAGGGTGAAGTGGAGGATATATTGAACATAAGCAACTCAAACACAGCAGTTGCAAAATAGAGACTTTTAAAAACTTTATAATAGACAGAAACACTGATAAATTATTCTACCGGAGTTTCTCCACTAGGTGCCACAGAGTTTAACAGTGATCAATAGTGAATTAACAATGTTTAAAAGTAATCTGCTCCTCATGTAGAGCATTGATCTAGGAAACCAAACTTTGCAATTAATCAGAAAAGACATTTGCATGTTTTGAACTGTAGGCCTAATATAATAATAGAATATAGATATAAAGTTAACTTTTCTTTTCTTGACTTAAACAACAGAAATATACTGTCTCAAATTTCTGGAGTGTAGGAGTCCAAAATCAAGAGGCTATCAGGGCTGCTTCTTTCTGAGAGCTGTGAGGGAAGGATCTGTACCAGGCCTCTCTCTTCCCGGTTTGTAGATGTCCCTCATCTCCTTGTGTCTTCACATCATTTTCCCTCTACATGTCTCTGTCCAAATTTGTCCTTCTTATGAGGACACCGGTCTTATTGACTCAAGGTCTACTCTAATGACCTCATTTTAACTTGATTACATTTATAAAAACCCTATCTCCCAATAAGGTCACATTCTGAAGTTCTGGAATTTAGGACTTCAATATATGAATGGGTTGCCTCAGGGCCAGTGGAGGCAGGCAATTCAACCGGTAACACCGAGGAACAGATTGGAGGAAATTTAAGGAAACAGGGCCACTAAATACAATGTGAGTTCCAAGACTGAGTTTTGGAGCAGAAAACAGATATTAGTGGTGAAACTGATGAAATCTGAGGAAGGTCTGTAATTTAACTAGCGGTGTTGTACTAAGGTTAATTTCTTAACTTTGATAATTGTATTATGGCTATATGAGATGTTAGCAGTGGGGAAAGCTGGGTGAGGAGTGTGTGGGAGTTAACTGTATTATTTTTGCAATTGCTCTATATACGACTAACTTTAAAAAGTAAAGACTTATTCAAGTTGATATTCTATGAAGTAGCTAAAAAGTTTTAAAAAGGGCCATCCTTTATAAACAGCAACAAAATGTGAAAAAATGAGTTAATTGTCTTACTCCCTAAAACCAAATTATCTAGATGTGTTGAAATTCATTCATTTTGCTGACAATTGTAAAGGAGGGCAAGAGGTAAAATACCTTTTTATTCAAATCAGGCAGTAAACATAAAGGCTTCCTAGAAAAATCTTACATATCCTATGTCAAATCCTACATTTCCCTCTTCAACTAATAAAAGCCTATCCATAAAATTAATGTGTTTGCTTCTTAGAGAAAAAGTTCAGATTGTGGTTAATAAAAGTAGTCACTTTCTATACTAGAGTGGTAACTTCATCAAGAGAACGAAGATAGCATGCCATTTACCTTTGGATTATATACAGGAGGCACTTAAGGTATGTGTGGTTTTTTTGGACAGGAGATCCTTATACAATAAATCTGACTTTTGAGGTACTTATTGAAAACCTGATCACAGTATTTCCTCTTATGTTTCATATGTCTCCCATTGTCTTTTCTGTCTTCTTTTTCACCTACTTTTCATTTTTAGTTGACAATAATTGACACAGATTTATGGGATATAGAGTGATACTTCAACACATGTATACTTGAGTGGTAATCAAATCAGGCTACTTCGCATCTCTATTACCTCAAATATTTATTTTTTATAGGTTGAGAACATTTAAAATCCTCTCTTCTAGCTTTTTTAAAAAATATATTAAATTATTGTTAAATTTATTAACCTTATAGTGCTTTCAAATACTAGAGCTTATTCTTCCTGTCTAACTATAATTTTGTATCCAGTAACTGGTCTCTCCATAATCTCCTCTCCTCCAGCCCTCTCATCTTCTAAAGAAAACAACACTGTTCTCTACTTTTATGACATCAACTTTTGTTTAGAACCCACACATTAATGAATACATGCAGTATTTGTATTTCTATGTCTGGATTATTTCACTTAACATGATGTCCTCTGAGCTTATATATTTTACCACAAAGGACACAATTTTATTCCTGTTGATGAGTATATCATTCTGTATATGTACCATATTTTCTGTATCCATTCATCCACTGATAAACATTTGGATTGATTCCATATTTAGGCTATAGTGAATAGTAGTGCAATAAACATGGGAAGGCATGTATCTCCTTGATATACTAATTTCTTTTCTTTGGCTAACTATGCAGCAGTGAGATTGCTGAATCATTTGATAGTTGTATTTTCAGTTTTGTTTTTTGTTTTGTTTTGTTTTATTTTTTGAGACGGAATTTTGCTCTGTTGCCCAGGCTGGAGTGCAGTGGTGCAATCTCGGGTCACTGCAACCTCCGACTCCCTGGTTCAAGTGATTCTCCTGCCTCAGCCTCCCGAGTAGCTGGGATTACAGGCAAGTGCCACCATGCCCAGCTAATTTTTGTATTTATAGTAGATATGGGGTTTCACCATGTTGGCCAGGATGGTCTTGATCTCCTGACCTCGTGATGCACCCTCCGTGGCCTCCCAAAGTGCTGGTATTTTGAGTTTTTGGAGAAACCTCCATTATGTTTTACATAATGGCTGTATTAATTTACATTTTCACCTACAGTGTATAAAAGATTCTTCTTACTCTGCATCTTTGCCAATATTAGTTATCTGTCTTTTTGATAATAGCCATTCTAACTGGGGTGAGATGATATTTTTCATGGTTTTGATCTGCATTTCCCTGATGATTAATGAGGTCAAGCATTTCTTCTCATATTTGTTGATCATTTGTATCTCTTCTTTTGAGAAACGTTTACTCAGATTCTTAGCCAATTTTTAATTGGATTTTTTTCTGTAGTTGAATTGTTTGAGTTCCTTGTATATTCTAGATATTTATCATTTGTTAGATGAATAGTTTGCATATATTTTCTCCCATACAATTGGTCATATCTTCACTCCATTCATGGTTTCCTTTGTTGTGCAAAAGTTTTTTAGTTTGGCACAGTCTCATTTGTCTAGTTTCATTTTTGTTATCTGTGCTTTTGAAGTCTTACTTATAAAATTTTTGCTTACCAATGTTCTCAAGCATCTCCCCTATGTTTTCTTTTGATAATTTCATAATTTTTAGGCTTATATTTAAATATTGAATATATTTTGAGTTGCTGTTTGTGTATGGTGAGAGGTAGAGGTCTAGTTTCATTCTTCTGCTTGTGATATCCAGTTTTCTCGACTTATTTAGGAGAGTGTTTTTCCCTTTTTGTATGTTCTTTACGTCTTTGTTAAAAATCAGTTGGCCGTAAATATATGAGTTTATTCCTGGATTATGTATTTGGATCCATTGGTTAATGTATCTTTTTTAACAATGCCATAATGTTTTGCTTACTGTAGGTTTACAGTATAATTTGAATTCAGGTATTAAGTTGCCTCCCGGTTTGTTCTTTTAAATCAGGATTGCTTTGGCTATTTGGGCCCCTTTTTGGTTCCACGTGAATTTTAGAATTGTTTTTCTATTTTTGTGAAACATGGCATTAGTACTTTGATAGGGATAGCATTGAGTGTGTAGATCACTTTGGACAGTATGATTATCTTTATAGTAGTCATTTTTTTAATCCATGGCCATAGGATGCCTTTTCATTTGCTTGTGTCCTTCAATTCTTTTCATCAGTTTTGTAGTTTTCATTGTAGAGATATTTTATTTCCTTAATTAAATTTATTCCTAGGTACTTTATTTCTTTCTTGTAGCTACGCGAAATAAGGTTATTTTAGTGATTTCATTTTCAACTAGTTTCTCATTGGTGTATAAAAATGGTGCTAATTTGTGTATGATAATTTTGTGTCCTGCAAGTTTGAATTTGTTCATTAGCTTTCAGAAGTTTTTTGTTTGTTTGTGTTTGGTAGAGTCATAAGATTTGTCTATATATAAGGTAATTTCATTTGCCAGCAGAAACAATCTCTTTTCTAATTTGGATATTCTTTTTTTTTTTTCTCTTGACTAAGGCTAGGTCTTCCCAAATTCTAGTTTGAATAATAGAGGGTAAAGTGGACACCATTGTCTTGTTCCAGTTCATACTCATTATGGTTTAGATCTATGTCACCACCAAAATCTCATGTTGAAATGTAATCTCTAATGCTGGAGGAGGGGCTTGACGGGAAGTGATTGAATCATGGGGACAGTTTCTAATGATTTAACATGATCCTCCTTATATCTTGTGAGATATTGTAGTACCTCCCCTCCTCTCTACCTCACACTCCAGCCATGTAAGACATGCCTGCTGCCCTTTCATCTTCCACAATGGTAGTAAGTTTCCTAAAGCATCCCCAGTAGCAGAAGCTGCTATGCTTCCTATGCAGCCTGCAGAACTGTAAGCCAATTAAACCTCTTTTTTTTGTAAATTACCCAGTATTGGATATTTATTTGTAGCAACATGAGAATGGACTAATACACTTATAATTATTTAGTATATTTTAGGTGTGAGTTTGTCATATATGATCTTTATTGTGTTGAGGTATTTTTTTCCTATACCTAACTTCTTAAACATTTTTATCATGAAAGAATGTTGAATTTTATCAAATTTTCTGCATCTATTAAGATGATCATTTCATTTTTGTCTTTAATTCAGTTAATGTGATGTATTACATTTATTCATTGACATGTGTTGATTCCTCCTTATATCCCTAAAACAAATCCCACTTGATTATGACATATTATCTTTTTGAGATGCTACTGGATTCAGTTCTATAATATTTTGTTGAGAAATTTTCCATATATGTTCATCAGGCATATTGGCTTTTGGTTTTCTTTTTTTATTGTCGTCTTGTATGATTTGGCATTAGGGTAATGCTGGACTTGTAGAATGAGTTAGGAGTGAGTTCCTTCTCTTCAAGTTTTTTGGGATAGAATTGGTTTTAGTTCTTTTTTTAAAATTTGGTAGAATTCAAAAATAAATTCTTGTGTTCCTGAGCTTTTCTTTGTTGGAAGTCTTTTTAATTACTCGTTCAATCTCATTACTATTTATTGGTTTGTTTAGGCTTCTTATTTCTTCCTATTTTAATTTTGGTTTATTTTATGTGTCCAGGAATTTATCCATTTCCTCTAGGTTTTTCAGTTTGTTGGTTTATGGTTGTTTTTATTGGTCTCTAATGGTCTTGTATTTCCGTGGTGTCAGTTGTAATGTCTCTTTTTTTCACTTCTGATTTTAATTACTTGAGTCTTTTTATTAGTTTAATAATGTGTCTATTTTATCTTTTCAAAAAATAACTTTGTTTTGATGATCTTTTGTATTTTTTTAGTCTCCATTTATTTCTGCTCTCATGTTTATTTCTTATTTCCTCCTACTAATTTAGGGTTTGGTTTGTTCTTTCTTTTTTAGTTTCATGAAGTATACTGTTAGGTTGTTTATTGAAAATCTTTCTACCTTTTTGTTGTAGGCATTTATTATAAACTTGCATGGTAATGCTGCTTAATCCTACAAAAGCAGTATTATGATACAAAACTTGTAACCCAGAGGTTTTAGTATGCTTTGTTTCTATTTTCATTTGATTCAAAAAATTTTTTAATATCCTTCTTAATTTCTTTTTTGACCCATTGGTCGTCATTCAGGAGCATGTTGTTGAATTTTCATGTAGTTGTATAGTTTCAACATTCCTTTAATTATTGATTTCTAATTTTATTCAATTGTAGTCTAGGAATAAACTTGATAAGATTTTGGTTTTTGAAAATTTGTTGAGAATTATTTTGTGACTTCACATATGGTTTCTTGATTCCTGGAAAATATTCCATATGCTGATGACAAGAATGAGTATACTGTAGCTGATGGATGAAATGTCCTGTAAATGTATGTTGGGTCCCTATCCTCTAAAATGCAGTTAAGTCCTATATTTCTTTATTTTTTTGCTAAATGGTCTATCTAGTGTTGACAGTAGGGTGTTGAACTCTCCAACTATGATTGTGTTGGAGTCTCTCTTCTTAGCTCTAGTAATATTTGCTCTATATATCTGAGTGCTCCAGTGTTAGGTGCATATATATTTATAATCTCTACATCCTCTTGCTGAGTTGATTTCTTTATTGTTATAAAATGAACTTAATTGTTTATTTTACCATTTTGATTTAAATACTATTTGATATAATTATAACTCCTTTTTTTTTACTTTTAGTTTTTGTTTGCATAGACTAACATTTTCCATCTCTTCACTTTTAGTCTATGTGTGTCTTTACAGATGAGGTGAGTTTATGGCAGGCCACATATAGTTGGGATTTGTTTTTTTAATCCATTCAGCTAGTCTATATTTTTAAATTAGAAGAACTATCTATTTGCATTCAATATTATTATTTATATGTGAGCGTTTGCTTTTGTCATTTTGTTAATTGTTTTCTGAGCTTTTTTGTATACCTTTTTTTTTTATTCTTTCTTTCTTATCCCTTATCTTTGCAGGTTGGTGGGCAGGTTTTTTTTTTGTAGTTATAGGGTTTGATTTCTTTCTCATTTGTGCACCTGCTCTACCAATGAATTTTATACTTTACTGTGTTTTCATGATGGTAATTATTGTACTTTATTTCTAGATGTATGGTTTCCTTAAGAAATTTCTTGTGAGGCTTGCCTAGTGGTAATGAATTTCCTCCAATTTAGCTTTTCTATGAAAGATTTTATTTCCCCTACATATCTGAAGAAGAACTTCGAAGAGTATAGTATTCTTGGTTACCATGTTTTTCCTTTTAGCTCTTTGAATATATCACCCCATTCTCTTCTGGCCTATATGGTTTCCTCTGGAAAATCTGCTCTCCTTCTAATGGAGTTTCTCTTTTATGGGGCTTGCTAAATTTTTGTTTGTTTTAGAATTCTTTTCTTGTTTTTGACTTTTGACAGTTTGACTATAATTTTCTTTGGAGAGGACTTTTTTGGGTTGATTCAATTTTGGATTCTTTGAGCTTCACAAATCTGCATGTCTATATCTCCCCCCAAATTTGGGAAATTTTCAGGTATTATTTTATTAAATAAATTTTCTATTTTATTTTTCCATCTTTCTCTCCTACTGGAATTCTCTTAATGTGAATACTTGTTTACTTAATGGTGTCCCAGAAATTTTGTAAGCTTTCTTCATTTAAAAACATTTCTTCCTCCTCTTCTTTTTTTCCTCTTCTTCCTTTTTGTCATCCTCCTTCTTCTCCTCTTACTCTTTCACTTCTTCTTTTGTCTGACTGAGTGATTTCAAAAGATATGTATTGAAGTTCAGAATGTCTTTGATCTGCTTGATCTGGTCTGTTGCTGAAGCTCTCAACTGAATTTTTTCATCATTTATTGAATTCTTCAGCTCTGATATATTTGTTTGGTTCTTTTTATGATATTTATCTGTTGAATATCTTATTCAGATCATTATTCTTTTCCTGATTTTATTGATTCATCTATATGTATTTCCTTTTATCTCACTGAGTTTCTTTAAAAATTAAAAATTCAAAAGTATTTCAAAATTATTTTAAAACACTTTTAGGCATTTTATAGATTTCCTTTACCTTGGGGACTGTTACTAAAGAACTGTTGTCTTTCCTTGAAAATGTCATGTATCCTAGCTTTTTCATGTTTCTTGTCACCCTAACATTGTTATCTGCACATCTGGTAAAAACAGTTGCCTCGTTCAATTTTATGAGCTAGCATTCCTAAGGGAGACTTTTTCCTCTAGATATATTCCATAGTGTTGGGTAGGGTGGTTTGGGTATGGTTCTAGATGCATGCAGTTATGCAGTCTCCTGTGATACTTTGGCTATAGTCTATGCCAGCAATATCTGCAAATGCCCCAGCTGCATAGACTGCCATTTTCTTTTCTTTTCTGTTCTTGTTCCTTTTTTTTTTTTTTGAAGGCAGTGGCATAGCTTTGCTGGGGGCATAGGATGCCAGATGGGCTGGTTCTCAGGCTCTGGAGAGGCTTGTGCCAGACATGTTGGCTCTGCTGGTCACAGAAACAGTGTCTTGGTCTGCTTGGCATTACCACAGAGGAAGACCTGAGGATGGATAATTTATAAAGAAAAGAGGCTTATATGGCTCACATTTCTGCAGGCTATACTAAAAGCATGGTGCTTGTATCTGTTTCTGGTGAGGGCTTCAAAGTGCTTCTACTCATTATGGAAGGCAAAGGGAAGCAGGCATCACATGATGAGGGAGAAAGAGGAAAGGAAGGGAGGTGCCAGGCACTTTCTAACAAACAGATCTCATGGGAACTAATAAAGTGAAAACTCACTTATACTATGACAGTGGCCCCAAGCTGGTTTTGAAATATTTTCCTCTATAATACAAACACCTCCTACTAGGCCCCACTTCCAACATTGGGGATAAAATTTCAACATGAGATTTGGAGGGAACAATTACCCAAACTCTATCAAGCAACTTCTATGGTAATGGCTAGCAGCAGGCAGGCTGGTTTCCAGTCTGTGAGGGGCAAGCATGGTGTACAGCAGTCCTTCATTTGAGGTGATGGGGTTACCAGTGATGGGGGGCACTGAATAGGCTGGTCATCAGGCTCTGGGCAGTATGTGAAGTGTGTTCATGGCCAATATCTTATTTTTCCTTTTCCACTGGAATCACTAGTTCTCTTTGTACCTGAGATACTCTGAGCAAATAGGAAAGGCTTCTAGTGACTCATATTATCTTTCTTTTAGTATCCTTTCATATCCCTACGTGCTGTTATCTATGGCCAAGTAGCTCGACCTCTAATGCTGCCCTTGATTTTGATAAAAATCAAATTCCTTTTGGTGAAAAGAGGAAAATGCTGTAATAAGAACAGTTATTATTATTTTGAATCTCAAAGTAGAAACATCATACTAAAAAAAGACTAAGTGCAATGCAGAATTGGGGGTGTTGGTTTGGGATAATGTATTGGCAGTCACCTAGTCACACAAGCTTTCAATAATTTACTTCTCCTAAAATGTGTGCCTGGAGTCTAGTGAGAACAGCAGTTGTAGTCAGAGCTGAATTGGCTGGCTGTTTATAGCAGCATCTACCATCACCCAAAGAGCAAATAACACTCAAAACTTTCATATCTACTAACAAAACATTGAAGTGGATCAACCACAGAGCCATGAAAAGTCTTTACAAAGTAATATCAGCCAATTTTTAAAATTGTGCCCTTGTTTTTTATTAATAAAACCCCTTTGCTTCTGTAAAAGGGATTCAGAATTATTATTCTCATTTTCAGGAATTGTTATAGAAAAATTATCTACAAACTTCTGGGGTAAAAGAGAAGTAAATTATCAAAACTTGTTTTACATGAAAGCTTATGCAGCAGCTCAACATATAAAATAGGTAAATGCAAATCTATTCTGTTTGAATCCAAGGTTAAAAGCTAATAATCATGCTACCCAACCCCCTACACTCTTACTTCCCACCCCCACCATGTCTCATCCAGGAATTCCACCAAGAACAGATCAAAAACCTTTTTTAAGGTCAGGTGCAGTGGCTTACACCTGTAATCTTAGCACTTTGGGAGGCCGAGGTGAGAGGATCCTGACTTGAGATCAGGAGTTTGAAACCAGCCTGGCCAACCTGGTGAAACCCCATCTCTATTAAAAATACAAAAAAAAAATATTAGCTAGGTGTGGTGTTGGACACCTGTAATCCCAGCTACTCAGGTGGCTGATGTAGGAGAATCACTTGAACCTGGGAGGGGGAGGTTGCAGTGAGCCAAGATTGTGCCACTGCACTCCAGCCTTGGTGATAGAGTGAGACTCCATCTCAAAAAACAAACAAAAAACCAAACAACCTTATTTAAAGCAACTTCATTTGTCATATAGCCATCCACATGTACCTCTTAATAGGTAAAATAGTTGTCAGACTTCCTAATAATCCTGAAATTGAAGCCCAGTGCTCTTGAGTTCTAGTTCAACATATTCCTGCTAAACGGTGCAACTCTTTACATTTTAAGTTGCTGAGTCAAGGAAAGAAAGTTGATTTTAAATACAAATTATTTAAAATGAAAAAGACACTTGGGTAGAGAAATCATTGTTTCTGCTTTTTCATTTCTGTATTCTGTTCATCACTACTTCAAAGTCAAACATTGCAAAGTTAAAGGTTATTAATCGTTGAGTTCACAGAATGTCTCTTTGTCTGAAGATAATTTCCCATTGAGAAGAGTTTGTCTTTGTTGTCTTGCTTTTTCAATAGCATCTTCTGACAGGAAGTTGATCCTGGGAATATCGTTAAAATTGACTATAGCTGGGAAATGTGATTCTCAGCATTTTCCTAATGACAGCTAAGGACTGATGTTTGCAATGGGATTTTACTCAATAATTTCTATCCCATTGGCATGAAAATTGTTACTGATAAATGCCACATTTATTTCTCCGAACTTTGCAACTGTGTATCTATGAGCTTTAGAATTGCTTATAAATAATTCTTGATGCATTCCCTGGTTTCTTTAGTATCTCTTTGGTGATTCAGTGATTGCATTAGAATGCAGAGACTCACCTCCAAATTTATTCAAAAACCAAAGTAAAATGCTATTCCTTCAAAGGTCAAATATGCTGATGGAAGGAAGTTAGTATAAGACTTTCAAAAATGTCTTGTAAGGCATAAGAACAAATCAGACTTTGCCATGTTAAATTTAATATCAAAAATATAAATAATAGTTTAACTTTTTTACAGAATGCAAAATCCTATGGGAAAAAACAAATTAAAAAATGAGAAAATATTAACATTAACATTAAAAAACTCAATAAACCTATTAAAAAATCTAATGTTCCCTTCTGTCATAACTTAACTATTTTGCAGGCTGTTAACACACTTTGTCCTGTATGGCAAAATTGCATAGAGAAATACACACTTTACATACATGTTTTGATAGACTTGACTCTCTCTTGGTCTCATTTCTATGACTTTAGACAAAAGCAATCTTGGAAAAATTCTGAAGTAAAAAAATCTCTGAAGCTATTTGAGATTAATTGCCTTGGAAATTTTAAATATAGATCCTTTGATCATCAGCCTAAATAAATGGAAAATAAAGCATATTAAGTTGCCTTATCATTCCCTAAGGCTTGTGTCTAAAACTTTCTTACTTGAAAGAGTAGAAATGTGAGAACAAAGAGATTAAGAATAATTCTATAAACTAGACCCACATTTCTTAATGATGGGCTAGAGATGCTGCTAAGTGGAAAACCAAATAACAAAAACAATATCTAGTTCTCAAAATACCACCTGTTTTCTAAGCTTTAGATGCCCCAAATGTAGACAATTCAAAATGTAAAAAGGCTACCATATCAACATGGAATGCTGGCCTGTGGGTTTGTGTGACTTATTCAAGGTCCCACTTATCTCCTTCTTTTCCTGGTCTGTGCTACAAGTAGATTCTTAATTCCAACATCATGTAAGTGGGAAATTTGCAAAATGAAAGCACACATTTTCATTTTCACATCAAACATAAAGCAACAGTGTCAGAGAGACTACCCCCACCTTTGGGCATTTTGTAAATTCTTGATGGTATTTTTATTTCACAGGACAGTAGATACAGGATGGTGTATCTTAGGTGAGTGAGGCTCAATGGGCAGTCGACTGGCCCTTTCCTCCAACATGTGAAGTAGTCATCATCCTATTGTATGTTGTGTGAGTGTTGAGTGTCCTGGCAGAAAGATATGGAGGAAAAACTGCTTTATGATTGATTATCTAAGACTGGCATCTAACTTTGTTTTGCATGTAAATCAAAAATATCTAAGAATTTTAGAGTGTTAAGAGCAAAGATTTCAGAACTAGATTATTAGGATTTAAAATCTGAATTTGTCACTAGCTGTGTAACCATGAACAAGATTCCTATCTTCTCTCTGCATTGGTTTTCCTATTTGTAAGACTGTGATGATAAATGACACCATCAGGTTGATGTGAAGAGAAAATGTAAGGAACCTAAAATAGTGCTTTTCAGACAATAAGCGTTCTGTAAGCCTTGGCTATGTTTTAACATTTTGTAACAGGGAAATAACATGTAAATCAGGGGAAAATTGTACTTTTTTCCAAACTTTATTAATCTTTATATATACTATATAAAATAGACATACCTACAATGATACAACAGTCGCTTTTAGTGTTTAAATCACCAACAGTAAACAAAGGTACCTTTTTGTTATTTGGCAATCTCCGCTGAATGAAGAGAATGCCTCCTCTGCCACCCCAGAGATTTATGAATGTTGAGTGTAATGACATATGAGTGCCAGGATCTAATGTTTATTGCACACATAGTAAAAAGGAAATGAGTCCAACGAGATAGACTCAGTCTGAAGAGAAACAATAGCAAAAGGAGACAAATGGCTTGGAGTTTTTATTCCAGTTAGAGAATGGAGCCCAGATGGAGGTTCTCTGCTGTTATTTGAATTTTGACTTATGACATGGGGCAGAGGGTTTGTTCCAGGGGTGAGGGGTGTGAATGGGGGTGAGGGATCTTATTAGATTACCCAAATATGGGGAAAGGAGAGGGGTAGCAATTTGAAAGCTGTCAAATTTCTCACATCGGATATGGAATCTTCATTTTATTATAGTATCTTTCAGTATTTGCACCACTTACAGTAATTCTATTTCAAATTGTAGGCATCTCACCACTTCAATATAACCTTTAATGTAATTATGTCTCATGTTTACACTGATCACGATTATATATTTTTGGGCATATATGCCCTTATATTTATGCCATTATTTTGGTTTATGTTACTTATGTAGGTAAGCTATGGAATATGTGAATTTCATTTTAAGACAGGAAACAATGTTATAAAATGATTGTTAGTAAAAAATGTTGCTAAGTCTTCTTTGGGTTTGAGAATTTCTTAATTAAAATTTGGATTTTTCTGAGACTTAGAAAAATGAGTAGGCAGTTATAGGAAAAGCTAAAGGAAAATTAATGAATAATAATTGTAATAAAATGATTCACCAAATGATATTTATTATCTCCATTTTTAATACATATCTATACTTACCTATATTCAGATGGATTTGGAGGAAGATGCTACATTCTGAATCATTCAAGGAAGGACCTTGACTGAACAATATATCTGCAAACTAAGAAAAAAGGAAAAAAGAAAAATAAGTATATACCAGATGGCTTCCGTAAACCCAGCTGGTGATCCATGAGTCTGGAGGCCTTCAGCTGCATTAACTGCTTTAAATTTTTTAATTAATTTCTTTAAGGAATTGATTTACAACCACTGAGAACTGCTGTGTAGCAACCAAGATGTCATATCACAAATAACTACAGAAAATACACTTTAGAATCAACAAACTGCAAAATGCAGGGGAAGGAAAAGCACTGATAAAGAAATTCTATTTACTCAGGAATGTAGAGGGATAGAACTAATTGGTCTCCATTGAAAGCCAAAATATCTGTATAATGGCATTCTAAACAGAAAAGTTCAGATGTTTTACATTCATCAGAAATCTGATTGTAAACACCATTTTGGTTGGGTAGTGGGTAAAGATAATGACATTTTTACAGCTAAAAGTTTTCCACTTATTGGAAGTTGGTTTTAATGAAGGGTATCAGACACAATGCACTACTTAGTCAGATTTTTAAAAAGTTACTGTAAATAGCAAGCATATTTTCAATATGAATGCTAAAGACAGGTAGGGTTATTTTTTATTGTGCATATTTCTGTTCAATTGCATCTCTCCAGGAAAGGAAAATTATTTACCAGTGAATCTGAGTGAATTTCAGAGGATCCTTCATCTACTGGTGCAGCAAAGAGTAGACGTTCTGTAGGTTGGCATTTAGTTACTTGTAATTAAAAAACAATATGTCTGTTAAAAGATCTCTGCATTTTATGACATCTCTTTATCATAAATAAATGTAATACTTGTTTCTTGAAAACATTCTATCCTTACTGCTAGTTTCAAGTCTTCCTAAGGACCCAGGTGATTCAACAAGGAGGCAAAGGATCCATTTAACTATATAAATAAAGTTGTAAAGGAAATGTTTGCATAAGTGCAACTCAAAAGATTTTAAACCTCTGTCCCTGCTTTGTTCTTCTTCCTTTCTTTCTTTCTTTCTTTAGATTCCATTTCTACAATCAGCGTTTTTGCGTTTTTTGTTTTGTTTGTTTGTTTGTTTGTTTTTGAGGCAGAATCTTGCTCTGTTTCGCCATGTTGGCCAGGCTGGTCTTGAACTCCTGACTTCAGGTGATCCACCGTCCTCGGCATTCCAAAGTGCTGGGATTATAGGCATGAACCACTGTGCCCAGCCTATAATCAGCTTTTAAATTATTCTCTAGTTCATTTTTCTACCTTGAAATAGCTTTTTAGCCACGAATATCTTTAGAATATTTTACGAAGTATATGGGAAAAGGAGGGCATAATCTTTAGGTTTAAAATAGCACCTTATATCACTCCTTGATGAAACTTCCCTAAAATTAGAGTTAAATTACTCTGGAGGAGGGATACACAGCAGAAGAAAAAAAATAGAAAGAAAATAATTCACAAACAGCAAAAAATTCTAGATTAAATTTTCTAACTTTAGAAATAATTTACTTCAAATTTCTAAAAAAATTAATGCAAACATATTGTGAAATAGAAAAGTAGGTTCATGATTTGATTATTATAATTAATATTATGGGTTAATCACCTCAGGTCAGGAGTTCAAGACCAGCCTGGAGAACATGGTGAAAGCCCATCTCTACTAAAAATACAAGAAATTAGCTGGGCTTGGTGGCCTGTAATCCCACCTACTCGGGAAGCTCAGGCAAGAGATACGCTTGAACCCAGGAGGTGGAGGTTGCAGTGAGCCAAGATCACACCATTGCACTCCAGCCTGGGCAACAAGAGGAAAATTCCATCTCAAAAAAAAATAATTAATTAATTTAAAGAAAAGAAGAAGATGATGATGGAGAGAGGGCGGGTAGAAAGATATGTGGTCTGCCTTACACTATGTATTTCTTATATTAGAGATAAATACTGTGCCACAGAAAACTGGGTAGCCATCTTTATATCGCATAGCAAGTACTCCTAGGGGCGGACTTCGTCTCTAAATCATTTAGTCTAGAGAAAGTAAAAAGTAGCTCTAGTAACCAGAACCTTGCCTGTCATCATTAGCCAGACCTTGGTGTTTCAGGGACCCAGCCTGCCTACCACCCTTAGGCCATAATATTCTATGACTGAATATCAGTTATTCACTGAACACCAACAGCAGACAAGGCCACTCTGTGACTGTGATGGATCAAGACGGCAATAGGACAACTCCATATTCATACTAAAGACCAGATATATTGCAAACAACAAAAGTGGCCAAATACCTCTTTCTCTGGTTAATATGATTGTTGCTTCTTTACTAATTACAGATTAAGTTTCGTTTCATTCTTTCTTTCCAGATTTAATTAATACACCTACTTACAGAATTACTCCTATTATACTTTATACAAGCTATGCATCCCACCTCCTTTAACCCTCTCCCAGTGTGGCACAGTGGCTCACTCCTATAATTTTAACTCTCTGGGAGGCTGACGCAGGAGGATTACTTGATGCTAGGAGTTTGAGAACTTTCTCCCAATCACCTACCCTAAGCTCAATTTTGATAATACTTTTTGCTTATGCTTCCTGTGAAGATAGACAAAGGCCAACCGAAAAAGAAAAGAAAAGAAAAGAACAAGCATTAGCTATTTATTCAGAGCATACTACAGCAAGGGAGTCAGTCACTATCCCTTGCCTTTTGATAAAGATTCAAAGGCAGACAGAAGAGTGGGAAAGATTTATTGTGGAAAAAAGGCAAGGCTCCACGTGAGCCCTGATTGAAGGCTGTTGCTACAGGGAGTCCGTCGGAAGATAACTAAAAGGAAGGCATGTGATTGGTAAGGGATGCATATTTAGCATTCTCTAGGTGGTCCTAAGTTGGGAGTGGAGACAAATGTGGGGAGCTTACTTATTAACAAATCCTGGATATTTGGGGGCTGATTGTTACAGGGGTTATTGCTTAGTTCCCTGGGTTTTTGCTCCGGTTTGTGTTCTGACTTCCTATTAGTCTGACATTATATATATCTATCAATATATCTAATCTATATCTATATATCTGTATCTATATATCTATATCTATATATCTGTATCTATATATCTATATCGATATATCTATAACTAGTAGTCTGGCTTCCAGGGGTGCTTATTTTAGAGAATGTTTTTATTTCCTGACCTAGTTGCTACAGATTGTGAGTGAGAGTTCCAATTTGTAATATGGACTGGCCATCATCCATTTATATATTCAGTCCCTCATTTATTTCTAATATTATTTTAATGAGTTACCCCCATTCTCTATAGTATATAAACTATTTAGACACACATGTATGAACAAAATGCTAGCAGTGTTGTTTAGTGAAAAACAACAAAACAAAATATCTAGTATGCTGTCTGCGAAAACTTCAAATGCCCTGGAGTGTCGACATTTTAAAAAGATTGAGACTACTACCTGACACGGAAATGCTACTTGTTTTCATAGCTTTGGGTTTTTGTTACTTTCTTAAGTTCATACTTGCCTGCTATTCATTATCTGTTCTACAAATAGGTCTTTGATATCTGTATAATAGAAATGGGCAATTTGCAGGATTTTTATTCCACACTTTTATTTTCACATAAAATGCAAGGCAACAATCTCAAATAAAGAACTGCTTCTACTTTGGGGAATTTTGTACATTCTTGGTGGCACTTTTGGCTTCACAAATTCTTGGTAGTATTTTTGGGTAGTTCCACATGCATATCCTACCGGCTATAATAAACCAATCAATCCACATTTGTTTGACTACAGGTATATTTCAGGTTACTTTTGGCTGGAGATCTTTGACAGAGTGGAGGTTCACTGTGATTCCATTAAGATCCTTGTGGCCTTAGACTAGGACTCTCAAGCCAATAAGAGTGAACACATCTGATCTCTCTTGAGTCTCTACCTGATCAAGGTGCCAACCTGCCCATGGTTGGGCGGTACTTTCATGATGAATTCTGTTCTAATATTCAATTGGGGCCTTTTAGTTTTAGGTTGATTTTGTTAGATTTCCTATGCGACAATCGACCTTTGGCAAAGTTCTGGAGATAAGAAGTTGTATATTTTTACAGACTGCCGTGGTTCTTATAGATCCTCTCAGGACAAAACTATACCTTTTGCAAGGTAAACACTTGTTCACTTTAGAATTCCTCACTAACAAATTAACTTACGTACATATTTCTCTAACTGTCAAAATTTCCACACTGTATTAGTCCATTCTCACACTGCTAAAAAGAACTGCCTGAGACTGGGTAATTTATAAAGGAAAGAGCTTTAACTGACTCACAGTTCTGCATGGCTGGTGGGGGCATCAGGAAACTTACTATCATGGCAAAAGGCAAAAGAGAAGCAAGCTTGGATCTTCTCACCTGGTAGCAGGGGAGAGAATATGAAGAACGAAGGAGGAAGAGCCCCTTATAAAACCATCAGACCTTGTGAGAACTCATTCACTATCATGAAAACAGCATGGGGGAAACTGACAACATGATCCAATCACTTCCCACCAGGTCTCTCCTTAGACATGTGGAGATTGTAGGAATTACAATTCAAGATGAGATTTGGGTGGTGACACAGCCAAACCATATCATTCTGCCCCAGCCCCTCCCAAATCTCATGTCCTCACAGTTAAAAACACAATTATACCTTTCCAATAGTCCCCCAAAGTTTTAATTAATTCCAGCATTAACTCAAAAGTCCAACTGGAAAGGCTCACCTGAAGAAGCAAGTCCTTTCTGCCTGTGCTCCTGCAAAATCAAAAGAAAGTTAGTTCCTTCCAAGATACAATGGGGATATGGGTATTGGATAAATGCTCCCATTCCAAGTGGGAGAATTTGGACAAAACAAAGGGGTTAATAGACCCCATGCAAGACCAAAATCCAGTGGGGCAGTCATTAAATATTAAAGCTCCTAAATAATTTCCTTTGACTCCATGTCTGACATCCAGATCACACTGATGTAAGAGGTGGGTTCTCACAGTCCTGTGCAGCTCCACCCTGTGACTTTACAGGATACAGCCCCCACCCAGCTGTTTTCACACGCTAGCATTGAGTGTCTGTGGCTTTTCCAGGAGCATGGTGAAAGCTATTGGTGGATCTAGCATTCTGTGGTCTGGAGGATGGTGGCCTTCTTTTCACAGCTCCATTGGGAAGTGCCCCAGTGGGGACTCTGTGTTGGATCTCCAACCCCACATTTCCCAAATCCACTGTCCTAGCAGAGGTTCTCCATGAGTGCTCCACCCCTGTGACAAACTTCTGCCTGGGCATCCAGGCATTTCCATACATCCTCTGAAATCTAGGCAAAGGTTCCCAAACCTCAATTCTTGACTTCTGTGCCCCTGCAAGCCCAACACCACCTGGAAGCCAACAAAGCTTGGGGCTTGCACCCTCTCAAGCAATGGCCTGAGTGGTATGTTGGCCCCTTTTAATCATAGCTAGGATTCAGGGCACCAAGTCTCAAGACTGCACAAAGCAGCAAGGCCCTGGGCTCAGCACCTGAAACCTTGTTTTCCTCTTGGGCCTGTGATGGGAGGGGCTGCTGTGAAGACCTCTGAAATGTCCTGGAGACATTTTCTCCATTGTCTTGATGACGAGCATTTGGCTCCTCATTACTTATGCAAATTTCTGCAACAGGCTTCACTATCTCCCCAGAAAATGTGTTTTTCTTTTCTATCCCATCATCAGGCTGTAAATTTTCCAAACTTTTATGCTCTGCTTCCCTTTTAAACATAAGTTCCAATTTCAGATAATGTCTCTCAAGTTTGAAGTTCCACAGATCTCTAGAGCAGGGGCAAAATGCCACCAGTCTCTTTGGTAAAGCATAGCAAGAGTGACCTTTGCTCTAGTTTCCAATAAGTTTGTCATGTCCATCTGAGACCACCTCAGCCTGGATTTCATTGCCCATATCACTATCAGCATTTTGGTCAAAACCATTCACCAAGTCTCTAGAAAGTTCCAAACTTTCCCACATCTTTCTGTCTTCTGAGTGCTCCAAACTGTTCCAAACTCTGCCCATTACCCAGTTCCAAAGTCACTTCCACATTTTCTGGTATCTTCATAGCAGTGCCCTACTCCCAATATCAATTTACTCCATTAGTCCATTCTTACACTGCGATAAAGAACTGTCCAAGACTGGGTAGTTTATAAAGGAAAGAGGTTTGATTGACTCACAGTTCTGCATGGCTGGGAGGCCTCAGAAGACTTACTATCAAAAGGAGAAGGGGAAGAAGGCTTGGACCTTCTTACCTGGCAGCAAAGGACAGAGTATGAGGAGCAAAGTGGGAAGAACCTCTTATAAAACCATCAGGTCTGGGCCAGGCACAGCAGCTCACACCTGCAATCCCAGCACTTTGGGAGGCTGAGGCGGGTGGATCAACTGAGGTTAGGAGTTTGAGACCAGCCTGGACAACGTAGCAAAACCCTGTCTCTACTAAAAATACAAAAATTAACCAGGCGTGGTGGTGCACCCCCATAGTCCCAGCTACTGGGGAGGCTGAGGTGAGAGAATCACTTGAACCCAGGAGGCACAGGTTGCAGTGAACCGAGATAGTGCAACTGCACTCCAGCCTGGGCAACAGAGCAAGACTCCCTCTCAAAAAAAAAAAAAAAAAAAAAGCACACACATACACACACACATCAGATCTTGTGAGTATTCACTACTGTCATGAGAACAGCATGGAGGAAATTGCCCCATAATCTAATCATGTCCCTCCCTCAATACGTGGGGATTACAACTTGAGATGAAATTTGGGGACAGAGCCAAGCCATATTAAACACTGAGAGTTTAGATATGTAGTGGCATTTTGAGAACATTTTGATATAAAAAACAACTTTGAGAGATGTCCTCTGACTAAAAGATAAGACATCCTCCAGAGAAGAATGTCTTTTCTGTTCAAATGAAAGAGTTCATTGGTTTAACATAAGAGACACTCCTGCTCTTTGATTCCATACTTCAGGAATTAAGTGATGGTTTGATGAAATTGTCAAAAAATTGAATTACTATTTAAAACAACTGTAATGCCTCTCATCCATTAATGTATATATCCAGATTATTTTTTAATCTAAAGTTTCTACCTTCAACTTGCAGAGGAAATATAATTTGTCTCTTACAGTAATATTCGTATTTGTTTGAAGCTTACCATATCTCACTTATGTTTCTTTTTTCGCATCTCTATTTTGTATTCTCCTTCTATTAGTAAACCTTGAAGATGAATTAACTAGAAAAAAAATGACTTCTGTCATTACGTGAGCACTCTAGGTATCAAGATTATCAAGATAATGAAGATTATCAAGATATCAAGATAATCATTCATAATGTCAAAATAAAAGAAATAAAATATATTCAAAGGTTTGTGTTTCTTTTGTGGGTAGTGAAAATAGTATTTACATAATAGCCTTTGTTTCTATAGTTACAAGGTAAAGAGGAAAAGCCTTGGTAACAAGATTTTTTTTTTTAAAAAGGAGCATGATGTTCTTTTTAATTTATGACATAAATTAGGTTCTTTAAAATGTAGCTTACCATATAAAAATAATGTCATCATAATATTTTGATTTGCACAAGAACAGGGCTTAATTCTTACAATGCTACAAATAATAGAAGTATAACATGTTTGCTAAAACTATCATTTCCACATTTTTAAGGAACTTTAAGAACTTAGACAAAAGATTTACTTAATTATGAAATAATTTTTACATACATGGATGATTTCTAAGTAAGAAGCTCATACAAAACGCTGGCCACTAAACACAGTTTTAATATATTCTTATTTCTTATAATATAATATGCAAAATAATATTTTAATATGTAAATTATATTGCATATTCAATAATGCATCTATACACGTAAAATTTGTTTATTTTCCTACCTCAAACTTTAAAAAATAATTTGAAATAAATATTTATAGTAAAAAAAGCTAAATTGTACTCCAGTTTTCTCTCATATCTCGAGAGAAAATAAGGTTGTTACTTGGCTTAAAGGTAATAATTAATATAAATGATTGACTATAATAAGAAAAATAATTACGAGGAATATAGGCCGAGTGCAGTGGCTCATGCCTGTAATTCCAGCACTTTGGGAGGCCAAGAGTGCCAGATCACTTGAGGCCAGGAATTGGAGAGCAGCCTGGCCAACATGGCAAAAACCCATCTCTAGTAAAAATACAAAAATTGGCCGGGTGTGGTGGTGGGCACCTGTAATCTCTACTACTCGGCAGGCTGAGGCAGGAGGTTCACATAAACCTGGGAGGCAGAGGTTGCTGTGAGCCAAGATCACGTCACTGCACTCCAGCCTGGGCAACAGAGTGAGACCCCATCTCAAAAAAAAAAAAAGATAAATGCAAACATATACACACAGCCAATAGGTACAAATATTTCTTTCCTTCTTATGAAGTTATTGCAGGTTTTCAAGATAGTAAATTTGATAACTTTTCTGGAAACACAGTGATAATAGGAGAACAACAAGCAATATTTCTAGCAATTAACCTGTGAATTTTACAAGTCCATCCTCCATCAGCAGAGGCAAGAACTACAACGTCTAAAATGAAATCAGCTAGTAAATGAGATCAAATCCATATCCTTTTGAATTGGGGAATTGATTGATCTTATTGATTCCAATACAATAAAAAAGAAATAGCTGTTTGCTCTATCAGAAAAAAAATGACAGTAAATGGCTCCTAATTCTGAAGATTCCGATGCAAGACGTATGGAGAAAAATTTCACATCATAGGAACCATAAGAACATTCTAGGGAATAATTCTGTGACACCTTCAACAGTATGTGAGAAGACATAGATTCTATACATAAGTAAAGTGTAAATAAATAACAAAAATAAACATTTTTTCATAAAAATGTTCATATGATAAAGTGAAATATGACTAAAGAAGAACTAGAAGAACATTGAAAATAATTAAAACTAATATCAACTTGAAACCAAAATCTGTTTCTGTTTTATTTTGCTTGTTTTTGTAAACAGTCCCCAAGCTGGTAAGTTTGTGTTGAGCCTAATACTCATTTGTACTTATAGTAGAGGACTATATTGATATTGCCTTCCTGGAAAGGAGTTTGGCAATATTACCAAGCAAAGAAAATATATACATCCCCACCAGGTGAAGTAATTGGAGAAGTGAGCATAATGCAAATAGACCTGTTATTTCCCAGTACCCTAGAAGTATATAATAGTTTTCTGAATGTTTATATTTATTAAATGCTAAGCTAAAACTTTGTAATATAAAAAAATGGTGAAAAAGCATCACATATTTAACCATAAATTGTTAACATATTTTAGATCTGAACTTTGGGAAAGTATGAATATACTTAAGGTGCAGTCTTTAAATGTATTGATGCCATGACAAAATGCCTACGCTGTTATTCTGTGTATACATTTCAAAATATAACACTCTATGTATATAATATAGTAATTTTGCAGTAAAAATCATATAATTGCATGTATGAGTATCAGTAACCATGTCAGTGTTAAATTTCTAAAGATGGAAAATACTTCAATGGATGCTGCTATTATAGTGTTTCCATTTTGGAGATTTACTATTCAGTAATTTGTAAATACATTCATGTATTTACTCTTCAGTATATTCTTCAATAGGACAATGTTTATTAAATATACCATATTTTTAGTGCTAATAACCATTTTCTTATTTGCAAAATAATTGGAATGTATGGATTGTCTTTTTGCTTTAGATCATTCAAATAAGTACAATAGAAACCAGAGGACCCTATTTGGTCTAAGTACCATTAGAATTTGCCAAATGGCTGTTACTCTGAAGAGGTTTGTTAAAAAGGAAGACAAGCATGTGGAAAAAAGGAATATATTATATTATCAACAAAATGCCAAAATATGAGTCAGCAGACTTAGGTTGCAGGTCCACTTGTTTTGCATTTTGGCTTGAGGCAAATACTGTTTCTCTTATCAGTCTCTTAATCTAGAAAATATGATAGTCATATGAGATGCTATCTAATGTCCTTTTAAACTTTAAGATTCTTTTAAAAGTTTATAAAGCTCAATGCTAAAATTTTAAGACCATAAAAATTCAATACTGGCTTTTTTTAGAAGAACTGCCTATGTGGCCTGCATGCTTTTGTCATGATTTTATTTTCTCTTCCAATGTGGAAACAAAGCATACTGTTAAATTTTGTTACTTTTTATATTTATATTTTTATATGTTCAATATTTTAACCATATAATTTGTAATTATGGCTGAGGCATAGACAGTTATAACTTGATGTGATTTTAAAATGTTAAAAACAGTACGGGCTATTTTCTACATTAAATACATTTTCCAAGAAAATAAGACTCAAGGATATGTTCCTATGTGATTTAAGATCTCCTTTATTCACAATTTTGAAATTCTTAATAACAAACCCTTCTTAATAAATGAGTATTTAAATAATATGAACTTCTATCATATGATCTTTGGTGAATGTATGCAAAATTGTGTTATTCAGTAATTGTAAATAACAGTTATATTATCCAAGGAAGATAATATATTCATTTAAGCTGATTAAAACTTTTCTAATAGACAATCTTGGCGATCTGTTGAACGCGTGTTACATTACATTCTATCCTTAGCTATTGATATCACTGCTTCAAAATTATGTCTAATGAAAATATTCTGAATGTTTATTCAATGAAAGAGGATATTTGCTCAAATAACATTAAAACACTTTTTCACTAAAGCAATATAATGCAAATGAGTGTTACAGGTAGTCTACTTAGTGAATATTTCCTACTGGTCTAAACAAAATGGAAGGAAAAATGCAACAAGTGCAGTTAAATGAACAAAGGAGATTGTTTACCCAGAATACCTGATTTTAAGATTGGACTACATATTAAAACATAATTTTGCCTAGTGTATTAGTTGGCCTGGCCTATACTGGGGCTCAAGAATTAATACCCCAAAATGAAGGCCTTAGGGGCAGGAATTTTTCTCTGACCTTCTCCTGCCTTCTTGTCTCTCAGTCCCATAATTTTAATGTTGTTTCGATCACTTCCTGTATTTGTTAGAAATAACATAAAATTCCTAGACAAGGTCCTTGCATAGTCCATTTGCTGTGAATTGTGGTATTTTCTTAAACATCTCACCCAATAATTGGGCACTCGCTTTAATAACCCATATCGCTACAATTTTTTTTCTTCTGTATGGAATCATTATGGGTCTATTAGAATCACCTACATTCTTCAAAGACTTTTCTACTACCTTAGAAGAAATTGTCAGTTAATAAGGTGTTGAAAATAGTAGTAATGATGCCCAAAGCATATAAACAAATTGATCCAGAAATAAGTGTTTTTGAGATAATAGCTATGACAAGACTCTACAATCTCTCACCTAATTGCGTGCAATGTGAATGTTTTGCTAGTGCCCACAGGCAAATTAATTATAATAGGTTGTCAGTTGAGTATTAAATTTGGAGTAAAAATATTTGCAAGTCGTTATTGGGAATATGCAAATAGGGATTGTTCACATAACAAATAATAGCAGAAGCAGTATTTTAGCTAGCTGAAGGCAGTAAATCAGAATAAAAGAGCAGAATAAGTGGATTTTTCCTTAGGAGAATATATACGCTTTTAAAATGTTTAGGCAATCACTTAGAGCAAATTAACATAAAATTATAAAAACAGTCTAAGACAACTGCAATCATATTTACAATAAAATAAAATGTATCAATTTAAGAAGAAAGAACTATTATTAACCAAAAATTAGGAAAAAAAAAACTAAAGCACTTAAAAGTAAATAGAAGTTAAAAATGTTTATATAATAACCCATATTTATAATTCATTAATTATTAATTAAAATATTGAACACATAAAATGAAAGTAGGGAGTAAAGGTAAAGTACATCGGACCCTACCTCTCCAGCAAATTACAACCCAAAACCCTAGTCATAATAGAAAAACAGCTATCACAAGATTCTGAAAGGTATAGAAGGGAAGGCATAATATTTAGAAACCTCGACACCATAGAGAAGACACAATTCTGAGAAGCCTGAGATATTTGCATTCTATTTATCCCATCTTGGGTGCAAGTGCAGTAAGCAACTCAGAAATACCAACCAATATAGATATAAAAAGAAAGAAAATCATCTAGAAAAGCCCATTGTTTGTAATCATAGGACCAGGAGAGAGGACTTGAGGGACAGAATATATATCCTTCTATTTAACAGCTTTTTTGAGCTAAAATTTATACATTATGACCTACTCTCATTTCAAGTCTACATATTAACTATTTCTATCAAATTTATCAATTTCTACCATCATAAATATAAATCAGTTTCAGAGAATCTTCATCACCACAGTAAGATCCTGATGCTCATTTATATTTCCTGTTCCTAACTCCTATCCCAAAGCTCCACTGCTATATTTTCTGTCTCCATAAATTTACCTTTTCTGGCCATTCCATATAAGTGGAATCATATATAATGTGGTCTGTTATGTCAGACCACTTTCTCTTAGCACAACGTTATGAGGTTATCCGTATAATAGTGCATCAGTAGTTTACTTCATCTTATTGTTAAATAGTATTCCGTTATTTAAAGGTAAAGCATGTTATGTATATATTCACCAGCAGATGGAAAGATATGTATATTGATTCCAGTTTTTGGCCATTATGTATAACGTTACTATGACTATCTGCATACAAGACTTTGTGTAGGCATGTTTCCTGGGAATCTGCCAGGATTCCCAGGAGTGGAATTGCTGGGGCATAGAGTAACTTTATGTTTAACTTTTAAAGAAATTGCCAGTTTGTTAATGATTTTGCACCATTTTACATTCCTTCCAGCAATGTACGAGGGCTTCAAATGTTTATCCAGATTCTTGTCAACATTTATTTATCTGTCTTATTAATTACAGGCATTTTAGTGGGGGCGAAACGGTATCTCATTGTCATTCAATTTTTATTTCCCTAATGACTAATGATATTGAGCATTTTCTCATGTGTGTGGTAGCCATTCATTTGTCTTCTCTGCTTATTAAATATCTCATCGTATTTTTTTCTCATTTTTTAAATTGTGTTGTATCACTTCTTAGTATTGAGTTGTAAGTGTTCTTATAAATTTTATACACAAGCCCTTTATCAAATATTTGTTGTGTAAATATTTTTTTCACTGTTTGTTGCCTGTATTATAATATTTGGTGTCTTTTGAAGTAAAAATGTTTTGAATTTGGTTGAGGTGTGTATTTACCTATTTTTAATGAACTGTGATTTGGTATTATATCTACAAAAGGTCTTTGCCTAATACAAGGTCTCAATAATTTTCTTCTATTTTCTTTTCTAAATTTTTTTTTTAACTTTTGCATTTAATTATGTTAGGTTTTGAGTTAATTTCTCTGTATAAGGTATTAAGGGTCTCAGTTCACTTTATGTGGTTAGGCAATTGTTACAGCAACATTTACTGCACAAATCGCAGACCATACTTTGACAATTAATTGCTTTAGTGCCTTCATGATAATGAATTGACAAGAAATGTAAGAATTTATGTCAATATTCTTATTTATTTTTACATATCTTTATGTTTTTCCTTAGTTAACACCATACTCTCAAAGCTATAGTTTTTGTAATAATTATTTAAATTTAGAAGTGACTATTCTCCAAAGCTGTTTGTATTTTTTCCAAATTATTCTTTTTATTATAGTATTGTGCATTTTCCCATAAATTTTAGAAATAGGATATCAAACTCCACAAAATAGCCTGTTGGGATTTTGAGAGGAATTGTGTTGATGCTCTAGATTAATTTGGAAAGACTTATTTGGAAAGAATTTGTTAATTCATGTACATGAGATATCTCTTAAATATTTAAATATTCTTTAATTTTCTTCAGCAAAATGTTGTTACTTTTAGTCTACACAACTTGAAATTCTTTTGTTAAATTATCCTATTTTATTCTTTTTTGATGCTGTTGTGAATGTAACTGTATTCTTATTTTTATTTTTGGATTTATTGTATTATATATAGAGATGCGATTGATTTTTGTATACTGATCTTTTATCCTGCAATCTTGCTTCCTGGACACTTTTGATTATATTCCACCTGCTATGGCCACTAACAGAGGACTATCCCTCCCTCCTTACTTTGGTAGTTGCTGCAAACAGGCAACAATTACCTTCTCCTTTTAACAATTCCTTGTCCTCTTCACTGAGATTTGTCACCAATGAGATTGTGGGGGCAGGGTACGGGTGATTGCCTACAATCAGCATATAGGCAGTGGCCTTCTTTACCACTGTCTTTTGTTGGCAGGCTATTACGGTCCAGTTTTCCAATGACTAACCCTATTTGCTACCAGAAGTACATAACAAAAAGGTGGTGTCTTTCCACCTCTCCAGGAGCTACTGATGCTAAGGGGACAGTGAGACAGAGCCCTGTAGACTAGCCTCAGTTAACACTTAGTAGCAAACAGTAGCAAAAAATAGTGTTCTTATCCATTCTCACTGGGAGCTGCTAACAAAGAAACTTATAAATTGTGCCCTGTGGATGGACTTTCCTTGTATTAGGTAAAAACAAGCAAAGATGTGGTTATCCTCTTTCTTCAAGCCAGAATGGCTGCCGCTGACAGAGCAGAGTGGAGCCCTATCCACTGTCTATAATGTACAGTATGAAAACTCAAGCAGAAGTGACACCATTCTTATTCCAACTAGAGTGCAAAGGTACAATCACAAAGGGAAAAGAGTTAGATAAAACAATCATTTAAAATTGTGTATAAATTCCTCAGCCCATCTCAAGTTGCCTATTTGTGAAACCAATCAGAATCAAATGGTAAATGCCTTGAGAATATAACTTCGGTGTAAAATACCTCCAAAGTTTCAGAATGATCTTTTGGTAGTGCACAAACCCAATCGGTTAGAATAGCCCAACAAAGATTTTCAAAATTAAATGAGTATTTAAGCCACAGCCCACAAAACTGGGCCAATGTGTGCTCTCTACATAAAAGTGTGTTTCAATGATGGAAGATCATCCATTAAATAGGAAACAGTCTTATAATACTCAAAATGTTTAGGATATAATCCAAAATTTTTTGACATACCAGGAATCAGGAAAATTTCAACTTGAATGAGAAAATAATCAATTGATGGCAAATGCCTAAATGACATAATTGTTACAATTATCTGAAAATATTTTTAAATCACTATTTGCAACAATGCTGCAATAATCAATCATGGACACTCTTAAATAACTTTAAAATTATAAAGCCTTAGCAAATAAAGAAAACATATTAGAAGAACCAATTTTTCTTTTAAAAAATACACACTGGGTTGAATAGTAGATGACAGGGACAAAAGAAGTGCTAAAATTAAAGAACTCTCAATACAGAATTCTGTGTCCGGTAAAAATAAAATTGAAATAATAGTAATCTCAGGTGAAGGAAAGCGAAGTAAATTTGTTGCCACCAGAACTGCTCTGATAGTATTACTAAAGAAAATACTTTAGTATGATAAAGGAAATAACAAAAGGGAACAGAGAAAAAAAGAAAGAAAAAAGAGGAAAAGAGCAAACACCTTTGTGAATGGAATAAACTATTTTTATCTTGAGTTTTAAAATTATCTTTGCTTTTAAAAGCAAATTATATCATTGTTTGATGGGGTTATAAATGTATGTAGTGGTAATATTTAAAATGACCCTTCTGTGATGCAGTTTACGTGGTTGTTCACTATATGTTATTTTCTCACTTTAAATCTCATTAAATTTGACATTTACCATATTATATTTTATGATAAAAATTATAAAACATAGAGATATGGAAAATTTATACGGTGGAATAAAGTCCCAGAAATAGCTAGGTTATCTTCAAAAAGAAGAGTAATATAGGAGTACCATAGAAGAAATTACCCTAAGAGATACACAACATCCTACAGAACCATAATCCTACAGAACCACAGTTCTCATGCAGAGTGGCATTTTTGAAAATCAGACAAACAGCCATACAAAAAAAAAATTGAGATTCAGAGACAAATCCAAGTGTATTCAGAAACTCAATGTGTCAGGTTGCAACCTGAATTGTTTAATGTTAAGATTAGGATGCCAGGTAACTATATGGAAGGAAATAATATGCTATTTCTACCAAAGAATGCACTTACAAAGTGATTGCAGGTAGATAAAGAGATAAAGGTTATAGGTTAACTTATAAAACCAATGCTATCAATACATGTTGATGAACAATGTTGCCAAAAATTGGTAATCAAAATTTCACAATAACAATCCATAAGCTAAAATACTGATGAATTTTATTTCATCAAAGATAAGGCTTTCTTTTTAATGGATGACATCTTGACAGACTTCACAGATAGTTGACAGAATCTGTGGAGGTATTTACAATGTCCATAACTTCTAAGTATTTGGCATCTGGAATACACAGGAAACTCCAGCAAAGCACTTCAACGGCAGGTTTAGAAAGCTGAGGAATGCAGGTGTTGGTGTAGATGTGGTGATAAAGGAAGCTTTATACATTGTGCTGAGAGAGCAAGTACTTGCAAGTACTTACTGCCTTTTAAGATGGTCATATATCATTGGAGAGTTAAATTATGTAGCCATAGCCTTTCTTCCATTATAAGGGAGACCACTGATCACTGATGTGTATGGTATTGCTCAGAGTGGAAATAGTTGACTGATGGCATCAGCATCTCCCTCCCCAATTATTGCTCCCAAACTCCTCTTGTACATCGCTGACCTGCTTAAGGGATTGAACAAAGTCTACTCTTTTTTTTTTTTTTTTTGAGACGGAGTCTCGCTCTCTTGCCCAGGCCGGACTGCAGTGGTGCTATCTCGGCTCACTGCAAGCTCTGCTTCCCAGGTTCAAGCCATTCTCCTGCCTCAGCCTCCTGAGTAGCTGGGACTACAAGCGCCCACCACCGCGCCTGGCTAATTTTTTGTATTTTTAGTAGAGACGGGGTTTCACCGTGTTAGCCAGGATGGTCTCAATTTCCTGACCTCGTGATCCGCCCGCCTCGGCCTCACAAAGTGCTGGGATTACAGGTGTGAGCCACCGCACCCAGCCTAAAATCTACTCTTATAATAGAAAATTGGAGAGACAATGTTCATTTTAAGAAACATTTTTATGCAAATGTTTGCACTCTGTTGTGCAACTTGCTCTGCTGCTGTGATAAACATTAGAAAACAGGTTATGAAAGAAAGAAAGAAGAAAAACACGGATTGTGTAAGTTAGAAGTATCTTGCATTGTGATAATTTTGTTTTTGCATTTTTTCATTTAGTTTTTACTTCTATTTCTTATCTTATTAGACTTTATTATTTACAGTATATCTGTCAATGTACTATGGGTATTTTTAAGAAGTGGTGTCAAAATAATAAGATTCCACGTATAGGAGTATGAATAATTCTGATGATGCATTATAATTTTCTGAGTCATTTATTGTCTTAATTCGACAAGGATCTCCAACAAGTTGGTTACTATAACAAGAGCTATTATCAATAGGTTTCATGTGGACTGGTAATATGAGTCATCCCGTTCCATTGTGTATCATTTGTAACCAAATAGAAATATACATTTGTATTTACATAAGTAAATATAAATTTATTAAATATAACATTTATATAAATGTAAAGCTTATTTAAATTTTTATTTATATTGCTATAAATATGGCAATAGCAACAACAATTTGGAAAAGAACCAAATTGTTCTTTTCCAAATGTTGTTTAAAATCACATTCAAATGTGATTTTAAAAAAATGAAGTGAAAAATGTCTAGAAGCTACTTATGCATTTATTAGTTGTAACTTCAAAAACGACTACTTTCATGTAACAAAGACTTGTTTAATCCAGAATATTTTATAAACTTGTGAAAATCTAGATAAAGCACAAGTAAATCTCCTGCTATGTATAGTAATAAGGCAGTCTAGCAGATGAGGAGTTTTTAATAAAATGTTTGATCTGAAAGGTCAATTGCAAGAATATTTCAAAAAAATCATTGGCCAGATTTTACTTATTGAGTGCTACAGAAATGAAGATTATCTGCAGAATGACTCTTCTTAAACATTTTAAAATTAGATGAACACATCTCTGCAATGAAATTGAGAAAATGTTTTGACTTCAAGTGACAAAATCCTTGGATTTAAGAACACTGAAAATGTTGTAAAATAAAACACTGAAAAGTTTTCACTACAGCTTTGGTTTGAAAGCTGTGAAGAATATCAGAACATCTCACATTTTATTAAAACCCATCTGAGAGAAATGTAGCAAACAATTGAGCTGCGTTTCCCCTCTTTGAACACTCACACTTGAACAAGTGAGGGCCCTTTTTTTTTCTGAAATTCTGCTCAATCTGAGAACTTGACACAAAGCAAAGAAAAATAACTTTACAAAATGCAGGCTGATCGTATGATCAAGTTAAGATTAGCTGATTTTCCCTAAGCAGGTTCTGGGTTCTGTAAAAGAAGACTGTACTGCTATTCATAGAAAATTAATAAAATTTTTTATGTAGTTTTCATCCTCATCAATGTGTGACCACACTGCTATTTTTTAAAAAAAAAGTTCAAAGACTTAAATAATCTCATTTTAGTTCATATAAAATCACTGTGTTCCTATTCTCAAGGTTAACCAAAGTTATTTGTTAAACCTAAAAAGATCAATAAACTAGTACATATGTAAAATAAATTTGTAACTTCTAGCCCTGTATTTAGACTTGATCACGCCACTCAGTGAGAAATGTTGTCTTATCAAAGTTTTTTATAAAGTTGTTTTAAAGCTATATTTTATTCATATTTTATTTAAATAATTATATTATTACTACATTTATTTTCAACATGTCAATAAATTTTCGTGTTATAAATAATCTGACTTAAAAGCAATTTTATATCCACTAAATTGATTCTACCAAGCTCACCTTTAGAAAATTAAATATCATTTGGTTACAACAGTTATTTGTCTGAAAATACTTGCCTGATGTTTTAAACATTTGTGAAAAAGAAATTACTTTCAAGAAAGATTAGTTAAGCTTAACCTGGCTTTTGTTGCTGATGTTTTATTTTGTTTACTTTTGCCAATAAATTGTGGTTAAAAGACAGTTTTTTATTTTAAATCAAAAAGAAAAACCTCACATGACATTTCACCTATCGCAGCTCATTAATCATTAGCACACAGTATAGAAGAAATTTGTGATTAGGATTTTAGGATTTTTTCAGTAAAGTTAAAAAATCAAGTAGGAATTTAAAAAATAAAAATGTTCTGTACCTACAATATTTATCTGATTAGAATTAATATCCACTGTTGGAAGGGAAAACCACATAAAGAGGTGAATAAGAAGCTAAAAATAAGCATATCTACAGAAATATCTTTTGCTACTCAAAAGATCATTGACAACTTATTGTTAGATTGTTGTATTAGTCCATTTTCACACTGCTGATAAAGACATACCCGAGACTGGGAAGAAAAAGAGGTTTAATTGGACTTACAGTTCTGCATGGCTCGGGAGGGCTCAGAATCATGGCGGGAGGTCAAAGGTGAAAGGAGCTTCTTACACTGTGGCAGCAAGAGAAAATGAGGAAGAAGCAAAAGTGGAAACCCCTGATAAACCCATCAGATCTCATGAGACTTTTTCAATATCACCAGAATAGCATGGGAAAGACCAGCCCCCATGATTCAATTACCTTCCCCACTGGGTCCCTCCCACAACACTTGGGAATTCTTGGAGATGCAATTCAAGTTAAGATTTGGATGGGGGCACAGTCAAATCCTATCAACTGTAGTAGATAAACCACTGAATATGTTAACTTTGAAAGGTAGATATTATAAATTTTACTTAGAGTTTCTCTGACACCTGAAACTTGATCAAAAATCCATCCAGAGTAAAATGTTTGAGGAAGTCTGTTATAGAATTATGAGAGCAGATTAAGATGACCTTCACAAAACAACATAGATAAATCTGATAGAAAATAACATGGACTATAAGAACTCAGAAACAAAAAGAGTGCATAGTGTTTGATTCTATTTACATAAAACTCTGAAACAAGAGACTTCAGTTTTTCAGTGTAAGCATTGCTCTTGATGAAGGAAGTAACTGGAAAGGGAGATGGGGCATCTGTGCAGGCCTAGTAATATTCCATGTCTTTATCTTGTGTAGATTAATCACCTATGTTAACATGAGAAAAACTTAGGTAAACTCTTATAATTTGTGCCTTTCAATGCATATTAAACATCAACAAAATTTATTACAAAATGAGCATTCCAAAACCAAACATACATTTAACAATAACATACAAGTCAAGTGGTATTTATTGAAAACATAGCTTTCTGGAGAAAGTCATGAAAGTTATATGAAGAGAAAAAAGAATAAACAAAGAGAAGTATTGACAGACCAGTGATTTTACTGTATTAAGAACAATATCAGAAAATGAGCCTCTGATTTAAAAAAAAGTGCAAAGGTAGGCAAAACAAAATAAACCCTTTAAAATTTAGCAATAAAACAAAAAAGTGACCAATATTTAATTAATTTAATATTTTATTTAAAGGTGATTCATAGTAGTCAAAAGAGTAAATTATCCTTGTTCATGTTCTTTAGTTCATGTGTAGAAAAAGCAAAAACCCTATTACTACTCTATAGATGATATGTAGATATTTCTAAAAAAGTAAGGTCTTAAAAATCATTTTACACAATGCACTCATTTTTACAGCCGAAGAGCTTATATGTAAATTTCATTAAAATATTTTATATTCTAATAATAGCCTAATCATTTCATATTCAATACTAATTTATTTTTGTCACCCTGAAGCAGTGTATTTTTGTGTGTGATTTGCACGTGTGTGTTATATGTGGTTATATTTAGCTACTCGAATTCCGAATGAAATCTGTATCTCAGACCACCCTATTTTTCAATTGTCTTCTGCCTCCCAGATCTGAAGTCACTCATGAAACTAGACTGATCATCTTATTCTGCAGTGCGGAGAATGATTATTGATTTATTTGTCATTAACTCTTAAATAGCTACATTCTATGTGTATATGGCTGTATGTAAAATTGGGAGAAGATGTATGGAATCATGAATTCTATTACATGCAAGAAGGAGTTATTATCTGCAAAAATATTCTCCTGCAAGCCCTAGGCTGTCAACCTCAGCTTTGGCAGTGAAACAATGCATTTCATATTATGCAGAGGCAGTTCCGAAACTAAGAGTGCAAAAAAATCCCTGGGAATAATTTATAAGCAAACATTCTTTTATGACTGCTTCAGAAATAAGATCCCCAGATGGTAGGAAGTAGACATAAACAATAATTTATTTTGTCCCATGCTAGTGCACAGAAATATCATAAAGTTACAGACCCTGGTGCTGGAAGAAATTTGTAAAGTTCATCTTATCATTTGATACAGTTTTTAGGAGGTGGACATAGAGATAATCTAGCAAACATCTCGTGTTACTGAAAAAATAGTGAGGCTTAAAAAGTTTCACTTCTCACGGGTAGTTTCAAGGGTAAATTCAGCACCCAGGTAGCTTTATCCTGCCTATAGAAATATAAAGTATATACTCTATACTTTATACTATACTCTATAAAGCTGCCTTTATTACCATGATTTCAGGAAAATCTACCCTCATTCTAGGAAGGCCAATCCTTTATATCCACTTTTAGGCAAACATGGAAAAACTTGTTTGGGAGTTTACACTCAAAAGATTTTAATGTTTACAGAAAAGCTGCCTTGTATCTAAAGGAATTTCCCAAGGCTGATTTTAAAAACCACATATAATTGTTTAGTCATTAATTGCCATGAAGACAGCTTCTAGAGATTCCTTTCTAGAACTTTAAATATTTCTTTAATCAATTTCATCCTCTCTCCTTTCCATCTTTTCTCCGAAGCTTAAGCACTTAAATGTTTTCTCTAAATTTAAACTGTGTCCTGAATTTCATCTATTTTTACTTTTCAAATATTTTGGTTTCTTCTTTAAAGCCTCAAACTGTAACTTCCCACTCTACTTACTTTCCTATCTACTGGTAATAATTGTCTAAATATGTCTGCCTGTATCTATATCTGTATCTCAATCTAAATCTTTATCTACATCTATGCATTTACATCTTTATTTATATCTACATTATTTCTATCAATATCTATTTTCTGTAACCTACCCCCACCCTAATTGAATTTCTGACCTCTCTACTGTTATTCTCTATTAATAAAATGCCAAAGCAAACTTTGTCTCACTTGTATAGTACTTCAGTAAACTGTATGTCTCTAAATGTAGTGAAATGCAGTCCTTTTTCTGATTCACCGAGATTAATATCTTCCAAGGAAAAATAAAATAGTGAAAAAACCTAACAAACACAATGGAATGTGTTAAATGGAATTCAAATGTCTACACCAAATACCATTCAGCATGGATTTAAATAAATGCAACCACACCTAAACCCCAAAGCTACCCCATATAAATGGCTCCTATATCATACCCTGCACCTTCTACAGTCCCTGAAATTCTTTACACAATCTGCAGCTAGCGTTCCTTGTTATTTCTCTCAATTTCTTTGACCACGGGTTTTTTTGCTTGATTTCTAAATAGCATTTGAGTCTCGTCTTCCAATATGAAAGACATCCCCAAAACAGAAGCAATATTATGTTCTATTAGGGTGGTACAAAAGTAACTGGGGTCTGCCATTAGTTTTGCACCAAACTAATATAAGTTTGCATTCATTTTTGAATATGTAAATGCAATAATTTAATACAAAGAGTGGAAAGATAATATATCGCCATCCCATGCTAGTCCCTCAGAAATGTATTACCCATTTGTGTATATGTGTACATATAATTATATGATAATTATAATATACAATTAATAATTATATATAACTTATTCTTTCTGAGACATGTATATATGTACACACATATATGTACACATCCACTTTTAGATCACGCATGAATGACGGTATCTTCTTTATAGTTTGTTTTAATTCAATAATATACCATTCTTCTATACCAGTGTCTATAAAGTTGTCTCATTCTTTTTACTAGCTGTATTGTAGCATATTAATTAAGTAAACATCTGGTCTTTTCTCTCTTTCTGTTCCTGTCCTGCTTTCTTTCTCTTGGATGTTGCTATTAAAAATAATTTTTTTAAATTAAAAAACTCATGTACATATTACTCACATATGGCCAAACACGCACGCCCATTAGATAAATTACTAAAGTGTCACTGCTGAATCAAACATTATATATGTTAATTTGTATAGATATTATGAAATTTCCCTCAACAGGGAATTTTTTTTCTTATCCACTCATTAAAATATTGTTATCAAACCTTTTTGGTGTTTATCAAGGTGGTGTAAAGGCTGGTATCTCCAAGTAGTTTTGAGTTGCTTTTCTCTTACCAGCAGTGCAATTAAGCATTTAAAATATGTAATCAAGAGTAATTTGCATTTCTTTTTCTCAATTGAAACTGCCCTCTTTTTACTAAACTTTAGAAATATTGATTTTCAGGAACTTTTTAAAAATTAAGGAAACTAATCCTGAGATGTGTTTTATTTTCTTAAACTCATTGGTCACTTGCCTTTGATATTATTTTATTTTTAGATATTAAAATATGTGACCTCTGTGTCGTTGTAGAAGTTCTTCCAGTGCATACTTTTGATACACTGATTTCTCAGTTATATATGAGAACTAAAAAAAAATGATCTCATGGAATTAGAGAGTAGAATGATAGATGTCAGATAGATGCCAGAGACTGGAAAGGGTATGTGGATTGGAGTTGGGAGGGATGAAGAGAGGTTGGCTAATGAGTAGAAACACACAGTTAGATAGAAGGAATAAGTTCTAATGTTTAACAGTAGAGTGACTATAGTCAACAACAACAACAATGCATTGTATATTTGAAAATAGCTAGAAGAGAGGATTTGAAATGTTCCCAACAGATAGAAATGATAAATACTAGAGATGATGGATATCCTAAATACCTTGACTTATCTTACACATTCTATGCATGTAATGAAATATTACATGTACCCCATAAATAATGTACAAATATTTATGAATCAATAACAAACATATCATACAAAGGCTTCCACTGTATTTTCTTTGAACATTGTAGCTTTATTCTTACTTTTAAATATTTGATATGCCTATAATAACTTTAATGTTAGATGATACATAAAGATCCAAGTGCATTTTTTCATCAGCTACTTAATAATTACAACCACATTTATTAAATATAATACATTTCTGACATTGTTTTGAGAAGTCAGCTTTACTATGCATAACAGTCTCATAAGTGATTGGGGTTATTGTTATTCTTTCTATTTTGTTCCATTGAAATTACACTGTTTTAATTGTTACATTTTAATAATTTTTAATTTTTATTTGGCTTGTTCTGTACAAGCCAAATAAATTCTAATGACTGTTATAAATTACCTATTTTTCTTTATAAATATAAAATGCATATATTATAATTACAAAATGATTTATCTTAATATTTTATTAGTACATTTGTTGGCATTCTTTTCCATGGCACAAAATGAACATTTTTACTTTCTCATATATACAGTTTTATATGTACTAGGTTTTTGCACTTTCATTACTTCATATAACGTACTTTCGTACCTTTAGAAATTTCTATATTAATATTTAGACTAATTGATGAAGTATTCCCCACACTTTAATAGTTTTAACATAATAACTTTCTTACATATTGTTTTGGTTGAAGTATTTTCTCTTAAGCATACTTTTGCATTAGCTTGCTTTTGTGGTATTAGTCATTTCTCCCCTTTGAACTTAGAAAGGCATATTTATTACTCTATTCCTAATGGATCAATTATTTCATCTCTTAAACATTTTTCTGCTTGTCAATATTTTTCTTCCTTGAGATTGAGTTATTGTTATACTAGGGTAACTGTAAATTTTGATAGTTTAAAATTTAATCATCTACATATGTTGTACATACGTGAATGTAATTTAATGTTAAAAACAAATTCCTCTGTTATCACACTGGACAATGCATGACCTATTCACGTATGTGCTATGTCATGACTTACACAATGCTCTCACACGGGTGACAAATGTCTAGCATCAGTTATCAACAAAGAATCTAAAAATCATGTCTAAAACACCAAAAGCAATGGCAACAAAAGCCAAAATTGACAAATAGGATTTAATTAAACTAAAGAGCTTCTGCACAGCAAAAGAAACTACCATCAGAGTGAACAGGCAACCTACAAAATGGGAGAAAATTTTCACACCTACTCATCTGACAAAGGGCTAATATCCAGAATCTATAATGAACTCAAACAAATTTACAAGAAAAAAACAAACAACCCCATCAAAAAGTGGGCGAAGGATATAACAGACACTTCTCAAAAGAAGACATTTATGCAGCCAAAAAACACATGAAAAAATGCTCATCATCATTGGCCATCAGAGAAATGCAAATCAAAACCACAATGAGATACCATCTCACACCAGTTAGAATGGCAATCATTAAAAAGTCAGGAAACAACAGGCACTGGAGAGGATGTGGAGAAACAGGAACACTTTTACACTGTTGGTGGGACTGTAAACTAGTTCAACCATTGTGGAAGTCAGTGTGGCGATTCCTCAGGGATCTAGAACTAGAAATACCATTTGACCCAGCCATCCTATTACTGGGTATATACCCAAAAGATTATAAATCATGCTGCTATAAAGACACATGCACACGTATGTTTATTGTGGCACTATTCACAATAGCAAAGACTCGGAACCAACCCAAATGTCCAACAACGATAGACTGGATTAAGAAAATGTGGCACATATACACCATGGAATACTATGCAGCCATAAAAAATGAAGAGTTCATGTCCTTTGTAGGGACATGGATGAAACTGGAGACCATCATTCTGAGCAAACTATTGCCAGGACAAAAAACCAAACACTGCATGTTCTCACTCATAGGTGGGAATTGAACAATGAGAACACATGGACACAGGAAGGGGAACATCACACTTCGGGGACTGTTGTGGGGTGGGGTGAGGGGGGAGGGAAAGCATTAGGAGATATATCTAACGCTAAATGAGGAGTTAATGGGTGCAGCACACCAACATGGCACATGTATATATATGTAACAAACCCGCACATTGTGCACATGTAACCTAAAACTTTAAGTATAATAATAATAAAATAAAATAAAATAAAAGAATCTAAAAATCTTTTCCCCAAACCTGATTTTATTAGCTTCCATATTTTATAGTTTCTGTAAAATATAATCTCCTAAATTTAACTTTCTTCTGTTGAGAGAAATGAGAAGAGGTAGACAAATTGTATCCCTTGATTATCTATTTTGTGAAAGTAATTTTCAAGGCATCCCTATTATTTTCTCCAATATTTAATTATCATTGACATAATACTTTATATTCCAGTTTTAAATATAACTGCAGATATGTACCTTTGCTTTGGGATTAACAGAATATGTCTACTTTCTGGTTGCCAAGCTCTCTTTTCTGAGGAATTCATGTTCAATTTAACTGAGGCAGGTTAACCATTTCAACTCATCTTCTTTAGGGTACAGGGCTTGAATAGAAACAATAAAACTGCTCATTATACTGTCTCAGCCTCTGGCCAAAATAAATGTTGACATTAACCACATGATTTTTCCGGCCTTTTCAGTTACAACTTTTCGGGAGAATTATTATTATTTTTTTGAGACAAGGTCTTGTTATGTCGCCCAGGCTGGTCTTAAACTCCTGAGGCTCAAGTATCATAAACTATAAGAATTATGTTGCCAGAGGCATTTTTGCTTAATTTGTGAACAAGAGCCTTCCAATCTTGAAGAGAGAGAATTGCATTCTTTATTTCATGTTTGAATTCCTAAATTGAGCTATGCTAGAAGTCTATCTTCTCCTGAGTAGTTGTTATGTAGGTCAATGCATTCCATCTCATTACAACTTAACATAGTTTAATTTGGGTTTTTGTGCCTTATATCCAAATGTGCTGTGACTAGTACAGAAAACAATATCTGCATGTAAGGTATTGCAAATGATAAATGATTAAATTGGAAGTTGATGGTTACGTTCATATGGTAGTAAAGCATTTGATAAATATGTACATTTTATTATACTTTATATATTCTATGTTCCATTCTTGAAATGTAAATGGTAAAATGTCAGGATATTAGATTTTGTCGTTACTTCTTGTGACTTTCTGTAAGATTCCACAAATTACTAAAACCAATCACAAAAATTATAATAAGCAGCATCACCACCAAGCATATCAAATTTAGTCTAAACTGCTCAATGGAAATCACATGGGCAAGAGGTGACAACCTGCAAAAAGACACTCTTACTTTTTTATCTGTAAAACCATATGCAAAAATTTATATAATTGTCTTTTTTTTGTGAGATTACACAACTCAAGTTTCTTGCACAAAGGTAATATTAAAGAGAGCAAAGCTTCATGACATTTAGAATCAGCAGTTGGTGGGAACCAATAACTGTAAGAGTCTAATTCCTTTGAAATTTGGGGTAATCTCTCCTATGAAAACTATGCCTGAAATTAGTAATGATTACACTTGTGCACTCTGAAGCAAGTGAGAAATTAACCTTGTCTCATTCGTTACCGTTTGTTAAAAACAGAGAACAAAATGGGGCCACATGGCTGAGATATGTGTTGTTAAGAATCTGGCTAAGAATCAGAAATACCAAGGCATAGTACATATCCAAAGGGCATGAATATGTTGATACTAACCCAGAGAGCTTTAAGACATCAAGTATATTGGCAGTTTACTGAACTTTTCAGGTAATTGCATTGCTAAAGCTATCACAAGTTTGAAAAACTTTCACATGTATCTTTTTTTTTAATATTGTGGTAAAACATATGTAAGATAAAATTTGGTATTTTAAACATTTAGTGTTCAAATCAGTGGCATTCATTACATTTACCAACTATCATCACTGTTTCCAAAACTTTTTCCATTACCCTATAGAAACTCTGTAACCATTAGCAATAACTCCTCATTTACTCTCTCCCTTTCACATATTAGCAAATACTATCAATAATATTTTAAAAGTATTACATATCATGACTAAATTGGAGTCATCTCAGGAATAGCAGGTTTCTTTAACATTTGAAAAATCAACCAATATAATTCACCATGTCAAAAGAAAAAGAAAAAATATTTGATTGTATCAATAGATGAATAAAACACATTTGGCAAAATTCAACATTCATTCTGTATTAAAAATAAATAATAAATCAAAGCACAACAAAATCCTTACCAAACTAGGAACAGCAGAAAACTTTCACAATTGGATAAAGGATGTCTACTGAAAACCTAGAGTAATTTGCACACTTGCTGTTGAAATATTGAACACTTTTGTCTTAAGATTGAAAATGAGGTGAGAATGCCCACACTAACATCTCTGTTCAAAACTGTACTGAAGATCCTGCACAAGGTAATAAATAAATGAACTATAGGCATGTAGATTTACAGATTAGAAGAAAGAAATAGACGTCTAAATTTATAGGTAGCATAATTTTGGTTATAAAAGTTTAAGGAATCTACAAGAAAGCTACTTGACACAATACATTCTTTTAGCAAGGTCCCAGGATACAAAGACCATAAAAAGTAGTGCTCTTCTTATATAAAAGCAATGAACAATTAAAAAATTAAACCTTAATTAGAATAGAGTCCAAACATAAAATATATGGTTAAGAATATATTCACACAATATCCTCAATATCTATACAATTCTCATGAGCTACAAAAATCTGCTGAAACAAATTTAAATATATCTAAATATAGAAAGTTAAGCTGTGTTCATGTAAAAAGCCATAATTCTTCAGAAATATGATCTCTTTAAATGAATTTAGAGTTGCAATATAATCCCTAACAATATCCCAGCTGGGTTTTTTTTTTGTTTATAGAAATTGGAAAGCTTATTGCAAAATATATACAGATGTGCAAACAACTTACCATATCCAAACTAATTGTGAAAAAAGCCAAATTTTAAGTACTTATACTGCCTGATTGCAGTACTTACCATAAGATATGGCAACTGAAACAATATAATAATGATGTATAAACAACAGATTAGTACAAAGAAGAGAGGGTCCAGAAATTTGTCATACCTGTTGATTTCCAGTAAAGATGCCAAGTAAATTCCATGAGGAAAATAAAAGACTTTGCAATAATTGGTCCTGAAACAAGTGGACATCCATATAAAAATAATTAACCTGGATAATTATCTGACACTATACGTAAGTATTAACTCTAGTTGCATCATAGTATTCAATGTAAATTTTAATACTATGAATTAAAGAAGACAACTTAGGAGAAAATATTTGCTTTCTTGGGGTAGGCAAAATCTTTTAAATAAAAGACAAAATTATGAACCATAAAGGAAAAAATGTGATAAGTTGAATTTCAGTGTATTAAAAACAATTACTCTGAAAGGCAACATTAAGAAAATACATAGGCAAACTACACACTGCAAGAAAATGTTTGCAGTGTATATACCTAACAAAGCATTTTTTGCTGGGAGCGGTGGCTCAGGCCTGTAATCCCAGCACTTTGGGAGGACGAGACCGGTGGATTAACTGAGGTCTGGAGTTCCAGACCAGCCTGGCCAACACGGTGAAACCCCATCTTTACTAAAAATACAAAAATTAGCCAGGGCTTGGTGGCGCGCACAGAGTCCTAGCTACTTGGAGGTTGAGGCGGGCGAATTGCTTGAACCCGAGAAGCAGAGGTTGCAGTGAGCAGAGATTGCACCACTGCACTCCAGCCTGGGCCACAGAGCAAGACAGACGCCGTCTCGGGGTGGGGGGAAAAAGTATTTGTGTCTAGAATATATAAGAAATCAATAAAATGCATAATCCAATAAAAAATTGGTAAAAACTTTGAACAGACACTTTCAAAAGAAATACAACTGTTCATATGTGTACGTGAAAAGTTTCTCACATCATTGGTCATCAGTAAAATTCAAATTGAAACCACAGTGAGATTCCATAACATCCATTAGAATAGCTAAAATTTAAAAGACTGACAATTCTTGAAGATGTTAAACAACTGGAACTTCAATACACCATTACTGGGAAAGTAAAATAGAAAAGCCATGGAGGAAAACAGCTGGGCTGTTTCTATTGAATTTAAATGGACACATTCATCTGACTCAGCAATTTTACTCCTAGGTTTTTACCCTCCCCTCAAATAAAAACGTATGTCTATATCAATACATGTACATGAATGTCCACAGCAGTTTCATTTATAATAACCTCAAGTTGAAAATAACACAAACGTCCATCAACAGTTGAATGAATAAACATATTTGGTGGATATCTACACGATGGGATGCTCATCAGATAAAAAGGCATGCTGTAACATAGATAAATCTTGGAAGCATAGGCTGGGTGACAAAAAAACAGATACCAAAGAGTACATACTGAATGCTTCCATTTGTATTGAATTTTAGAAATGAAAATGAATCTTTAGTGAGTGAAAGCACATTACAGTTTGCTTGGCTGCAAGACTGAAGAGAATTGGCCTGGACAGAAGTTTTTGGAGTCCTGAAAACATTCAAATCTTTATTGGATTGTCCATTATACTAAAGTATATCCTTATTAAATTTCATCAAACTGCACACTAATAATGTGTGCATTTAATTTTATGTAAATTGATATTAGTTTGTTTATTTATTTATTTATTTATTTATTTATTTATTTTTGAGATGGAGTCTCGCTCTGTCACCAGGCTGGAGTGCTGTGACACGATCTCAGCTCACTGCAACCCCTGCCTCCCGGGTTCAAACGATTCTCCTGCCTCAGCCTTCCAAGTAGCTGGGACTACAGGCACGTGCCACAAGGCCTGGCTAATTTTTTGTGTTTTTAGTAGAGACGAGGTTTCACCGTGTTAGCCAGGATAGTCTCCATCTTCTGACCTCATGATCCGCCCACCTCGGCATCCCAAAGTGCTGGGATTACAGGCGTGAGCCACCACACCAGGCCATTTTATTTTAACTTTTATTTTAAGTTCAGGGTAAAAGTGCAGGTTTATTACATAGGCAAACTTGTGTAATGGGGTTGTGTCGTACAGATTATTCACTATCCAGGTATTAAGCCTAGTACCCATTAATTATTTTTCCTGATCCCCTCCCTCCCCCTACCCTCCACCCTGCGAAAGGCCCCAGTGTGTGTTGTTCCCCATGTATCCGTGTGTTCTCGTCATTTAGTTTCCACTTACAAGTGAGAATATGCAGTTTTCTGATTTTAAATTAGCCTTTATAACGTCTGAATTTTTGTCTAATATCTATGTAATATTTTTACTATTTTGTTCGTTGGGGACAGAGATTACAGATGCTTTTATTTGGCTTATGATTATACTAAAATGCATAGTGAGCAGTGCTCAAATGTCTACAGATGCATTTAAGCTCATTATGCCTGACTTTGGTAGCTTCTAAATCCCAGCTGTGTTTCATTAGAAGGATCCATGAAGTAGTTGGGTAAAGCAGTGAATGATCTAAAAATCATGGCCGGGCGCAGTGGCTCACGCCTGTAATCCCAGCACTTTGGAAGGCTGAGACGGGTGGATCACGAGGTCAGGAGATCCAAACCATCCTGGCTAACACGGTGAAACCCCGTCTCTACTAAAAATACAAAAAAATTAGCCAGGCGTGGTGGCGGGCGCCTGTAGTCCCAGCTACTCCGGAGGCTGAGGCAGGAAAATGGCGTGAACCCGGGAGGCGGAGCTTGCGGTGAGCGGAGATCGCACCACTGCACTCCAGCCTGGGCAACAGAGTGAGACTCCGTCTCAAAAAAAAAAAAAAAATCTATTAAGAAAACTTCATATTAGTCTATATTTTGCTATTGTTGATTTATTTGAATGGTTTGAGACATTGGTCTTATTCTATTTTGTATTTAATAACAATAGACTTAAAGTATACTGAGTGCCCTTTCAAATGAATTGAGTTTATATTAATTCAATAAACATACCAGAAAGAGAGAAGATCAAGGATTCTTTTACTCTTAAATGATATTTTCAAAAAATAATCAGGCTAAAATGCATTTGAAGTTTGTTTTTCAGTCAATATGAAAAAATCTGTGGTGATAAGACAGGGACATATTTAGCTGTTTGACTCAAGGCAGCAGAAGTTGAAGGTTGAAGTGTAGTCAAGGTTAACTTCCACTTTTTTTCTTAACTTTTTTTTTTTACTTGAATGCAGCTTCAATCAATAGTCTTGAAGCTCCAGATTATCTATCAAATGAAGAAAACCTGTCTTAGGTAGCTAGATTCTCTAATCAAATACTGACCAGATAAGATCTTCTGGGTGATAAGAACAGATTTAAAACCCAGAGTGACATTCTTTGATGAGAATCATAGAATATCTATACATGTCAAGATGAAACATGTTTTATATAGTATACATTTAACTCTCAAGTTATTAATGTCTTAATAAAAAAATATAAGTTATTACTACTGCTATAATTATTATATGTTTAAGAGCTAAAGTCAAAACTTTTCCTTTTTGCGTAACTAAGATATGTATTTAATCTATATCTATAACCCAATACAATGTTCAGTTTGTGGAACTCATATTGAATCACAGTTTTAACAGATGAAGATAATTATTAGTCATGTATTTATAAATCTTATTATCTTATTTCAGGTCATGTGATGTCACTCGTTGGAGCCCCAAATTATTTTAAAAATTAAGTAACTAAATACATACTTCCTATAAGAGAGATTTCAGAGAAATAACTTCATTCATTTTTTTGAAAATATTTAGTTTGTAATTACACTCATGGCATTTTGGTACATTTTTGGTGTGTCCTTATGTTTTCTGAATTGATGAACAGATATTAGAGGATGGAGCATAACCACTGTGCATTAGGATTAAATAGAAAAATGATGTTATACCTGAGAGTTTAAGTCTATGTAGGATTTGAAGCAGTCATCTTTCTCTAAAACATTGCCTGTGGTCTGCTGTAGGAAAAGCAGAATCACGTTGTATTCATTGTTTAACTGTGAAAAATTAATGAATTTTGTAAATGTATGATACACTGCCTGAAAGGAGGCAATAAAGTATCAGTCAGTGAATCATGCTTGGTGATATGTCTGAATCCTTGGAAGATGAAAACTTGGAGTCAGGCCTAGATGTAAATCAAAGTTTTGTAATATGTAAGAGACCCAAATCACATCTTGACCTTCCATTTTAATGTCAGAATTGTCAGCCAATATCAGTGCCATTTACTGCCATCAAGCTCTTAGCACTTCAATAATTCTGACATTTCCTTCTCATTTTTCCATCTCTTAGTTTTCCAAAAATGAGAGGTTGGAGAAAAGATTTTTTTTTTTCTGGAGTTGCAACAAATCAGTTACATAAAAACTTTTGATGACAGTTCTTCAATGCAAAGAAGACTCCTCTATTACTGTTACCCTAAAGCACTACACTTTATGGCTTCAGACATTCAAATGCAATGAATATACCAAGAGTGAATCACAGGATTTTATTTGCATAACTATCAAACTCTCCAGTGTTCTTAATTATGGAGAAAGGGCAAACTGTTAAATATAAGAGGGAATAGAAATATAAGATGGTATTTTGAAGCTGTTGTTGAATCCAGAAAAAAAAAGAGAATTCCCCTCACTTTGTGATGCTATTTTTCTAAATGTTTCTAATTAAAAAAAAATTCTGACAAGCATGGAAATAAGCTTAAATTTGGCATGCTATCACACTTTGTGCATGCCCCTAGGTCCCTGTATTTTATGAGATGCAAACCTTAAATTTCAAAGAAACAGCCTTTTTTGAAAATGTTTTAATGATAGAAAAAATGTTTATGAGCTAATGTTAAAAATAAAGAGTAGTATAAAATGGATGCTCTCAACTGTGTAAAAGTATTCATACATAAACAAATTCCAGAAGACAATTTGCTAACATGTTGATTATAGTTAACTGTGGTAACTGATTTTGTTTGTTTTTTTTCTTATTTGCTTCTATTTTTTTTCTTTTCTTTTTTGAAGGAGCCCTTTTTTCTAGTAGCATTAGTCTGGAAGGTTATGAATTAACTCTGAAATGAACTCTGGAAATAAAAATTAACAAAAACTAGGTTCAGTCAGAGGAACATTTTGACATATATTGGTTTGTTGGATAAATCATAACCTAAATGAGGATGAAAATGCTCTATGCATGTTCATAGTAAAAGTACTCTTATAATAACTCCTATTCTTGAATACAGTGATATATTAAATGGAAAATAACTTGACGATTTTTTTTCTAGCAATTGATTTAGAGGTTGCCTTTCTATTCTATTCCCACTTTTTCATCTTAGGATCTGCTGGATGGTGATAAAACAACGTCCTGAAAGTTTACATAATAACACTGAATAAAATGACTAATAGTAACTGAGCATGTGATATGGTGCAGGCATTCTGCTAAAATATTTGTGTAATCATCACAGAAAATCTTCGCAACTGTATTATCATCAGACCTACTCTCATTTTGCAGATGCTAATATGCTCATGGATGGCTGAAGGTCACACAATTGGTAAGAGGCAAAAATAGGTTGACCCCAGGCAACTGGGCTTGAAACTTAGAGATGTCAACCCTGTGGTTGATGCAGGGTTCTGTCAGGTACAGGCTTACCTCATTTTATTGTGCTTCCCTTTATTGCACTTCATAGGTACTGTGTTTTTATAAAACGAAGATTTGTGGGAACATTGTGTTGAGCAAGTCTATTGGCACCATTTTTCAAACAGCATGTGCTCACTTCATGTCTCTGTGTTATATTTTGGTAATCCTTGCAATATTTCAATCATTTTCATCATTATTATATTTGTTGTATTGATCTGTGATGACTGATCATCGATGTTACTACTGTAATGGTTTTGGGGCACCATTAACCAGGTCCATATAAGATGGCAAACGATCAGTAAACATTGTATGTCTTCTAACTGCTCCATCAACTGGTCATTCCTTCATCTCTCCCCCTATTCTCTGAGATGCAACAATATTGAAATCAAGACAATTAATAAGCCTGCAATGGCTTCCAAGAGTTCAGTGAATGGAAGTCACATTTCTCTCACTTTAAATCAAAGGCTAGAAATGATTAAGCTTAGTCATGAGGACATGTTGGAAGCTGAAATAGGCTGAAATCTAGGCCCATTGCACCAAACAGTCAACCAATTTGTGAATGCAAAGGAAAAGTTCCTGAAGAAAATTAAAAGTGCTATTCCAGTGAACACACAAATAATAAGAAAGTGAAATAACGTTATTGCTGATATGGAGAAAGCTTTAGTGGCCTGGATTGAAGAGCAAACTGGCCACAACACTCACTTAAATAAAAGCCTAATTCAGAACAAGACCCTAACTCTCTTTAGTTATGTGAAGGATGAAGGAGGTGAGAAAGTTGCAAAAGTAAAGTTGGAAGTTAGCAGAGGTTGACTTATGAGGTTTAAAGAGAGAAGCTGCCTCTATATCATAAAAGTGCAAAGTGAAGCAGCAAGTGCTGATGTAGAAGCTACAGTGGGTTATTCAGAAGATCTAGTTAACATCATTGATGAACGTGGCTGCACTAAACAACAGTTTGCATGTAGATGAAACAGTCTTATATTGAAAGAAAGTGCCATCTAGGACTTTCACAGCAAGAGAGAAGAAGACAATACTGCCTTTAAAGCTTAAAAAGACAGACTGAATCTCTTGTTAGGGGATAATGCAGCTGGTGAGTTGAAGCCAATACCCATTTACCAGTTCAAAAATCCTAAGGTTTTTAATAATTACGGTAAGTCTACTTTGCCTGTACTCTAGAAATGGAAAAACAAAGCCTAGATTACAGCATGTTTGTGTACAGTATTGTTTACTGAATATTTTAAGCCCACTGTTGAGACCTACTGCTCAGAAAATAGAATTATTGTTCATTGAAAATGCACCTTTTCCTCCAAGAAATCTAATGGAGATATATATGAAAATTAATGTTTTCATGCCTGCTAACAGAACATCCCTTCAACAGCTCATGGATCAAGGAGTCATTTTGAATTTCAAGTATTATCTTTTAAGAGAAACATTTTGTAATGTTATAGATAGTGATATTTCTGATGGTTCTGGGCAAAGTAAATTGAAAACTTTCTGGAAAGGATTTACTCTTCTATATGCTATTACCCTTCTAAGATGCCATTAGATTCATGGGAGGTCAAATTAGCAACAATAAGAGGAATCTGAAATATGTTGATTACAAACCTCGTGGATGACTTTAAGGGGTTCAAGGTCTCAGTAAAGGAAGTAACAGCAAGAAACAATCTCATGAAGAGTTAATTGAAGAATGCACTTAAAACACTGTGCCACAGATACGAAATTTGTTTACGTGTTCACCTAAATATTATTACATGGCATATGCTTAGAAAGTTTATGCATATGCCATGCAATACTATTTAAATTGTTTTTTGCAGTGGTATATTTACTGACATTTACTGTTGTCAACACTGTGGTTATATCTTTACTTATTCTTTTAAGACAGGATCTCACTCTGTTGTCCAGGCTAAGTGTAGTGGTGCAAACATGGCTCACTGCAGCCTTCCAGACTCAAGCAATCCTCCTACCTCAGCCTCCTGAGTACTGGGACTACAGGTGCATACCATCTTGCCAGGCTAATTTTTCTAATTTTTGTAGAAATAGGGTTTCACCATATTGCCCAGGCTGGTATCAAACTCCTGAGCTCAACGTATCCTCCTGTCTTTGCCTCCCAAAGTGCTGGGATTACAGGAGTGAGCCACTGCACCTGGCCACTGGCTATATCTTTACTAATGACAGTAATATCTTCTCCAAATTTCTTGCTAATACAATTACCACAAATACATTTGACATAAAAGGATATCAGACCCCCAAACCTTAAAAAAAATCCAATTTATGAATGGTATATAAAAGATGAAATTCTCTATGCCTGGGTTTTCAATGAACCATGGTGACCAAGAGATTTTATCATAACTTCTCATAAAATGACTTAGCCAAGCCTTGAATCCTATTCCTTTATTTGCTTTAACCTATCTCAAATTATTATAGAGGTACAGAAATGAACAACTATTCTGGACATAAAATAAGCCCGGCCTCCTTAAGTGTTGTAGCTTAATTAAAATGATAAGAATGGAATTTGTCCTTTCAGTGGTATTGAATGAAGTTGCAGTTTTTTCTTTTCAGACAAGAAAACTAAATCAGGTATCTATGCAATAATATCGTTTATATGTTTCACATGATTTGAAATGAACCTCATACCTTAAATTGAAAAAAAGTAGCTACTTAAAAGTATTTAAGCCCAATTCTTTAACATTTGCTATGGTTACTGTTTTGGCTTACTGTAAGCTATGCTATGAAGAAACTTTATGCCTGGAATAATGTTAAGTAGGGAAAAAGACTGTTCAATGTTTAAACTACTAATTTTTAAAAAATAAAATAAGAGCACAATATAGCCTTTTAACATCCTACCAAGATACTTCCCATCAAGAATGTGATTTCAACCACTGTTTAATATAAAAGGCTGAAACTAACCATAGAAATGCCAAGAAGATGCAGCTCTTCTTTGTATGCACATGGACTTTTGCTTATATTCTCGATTTATATGAAAATAAAAGGACTAGATAGCTAAAATAAATCAGTTGCACAACATCTATTGCATTGTATGATTTCAGAAGAACATGATTAGGAAAAAAGAGATATTTAGAATTATCTTTGTTATTAAAAACCATTTTTATATAATAATAAAATAATCTGTCTTATATCAAAGTAGATATAATACACACACATTTGTGAGTGGAGTGAGGTATATGAACCATGATTCCAAGGCAATTACATATATTCCATAAGTTCACAAAAATCAAATGTTATTAAATTATGGTTACAAATATATACTCAACACATGTAAATAGACATATTAGAGTTATCTTTATGAATTCCTGAATTTATCTTAATTAAATTTAAAGAAAAGTGTTTTCATCTTTGTTTAATTTTTTTGAATAAATTCTTATAACAAAATATGATTCTAGTTCAAATATGATTATTCTCACTTTCAACATTATGTCATGCTTGTTTTCATGAGATGTTCTATTGATACGTACCAGAAATATTCTATTAATAAATTATATTTTTATGAAATCTAGCTTTGAAGATTTTAATCTTTTTATTTCCCCAAAAATATTGAATTTGTGTAAATTTTCCTAAAAGATCTTGATTTTCAGTACAAAACTAATTTATATACACCTAGAAAATCTACTACTGAAAATAAAGATTTAAAACCTTTAAACATGATGCAATCATGAGCCAGTAGTATATTTTTGGTACATGTACATTTAAATTAAAATAGTAAACCAATAAAAGAGTAACTTTTTAAGCATTAAGCATTTCACAACTATTTCACAACTATTTAGCTAGTATAGCACTATAAAACATATGCATCATACATTATATTGTACTTGATTTTAATGAAAACATAATTTTTATAAATTTTTAGATGCATACATAGATACATACATCTAGCATACTTCAAAATAATGCATTCAGTTATGCTTTTTTAATTTAAGATAGAGACCAGGAGCAAAAGCAGATATTTTCTGAGAGTCATACAATGAATTACAGATCATATATCATATTTACATTAATTTATCTAATTGGTATATCATAGGAAACTTTTAAAATATTTGAGAACATATTATTATTTTATATTTATAGGTAAATAAATGAAGACCAAAAATTTGCAGATTCCTCAGTTTACAGATGCCATAACTGACACTGAATTCGCTGATTATTTTGGCAAATCCTGTATTCTTACTATTTTTATCTTTCAAATGAGGAATAAATTATTACATCATTGAGTAAAATCTGTAAACTGAGATCAATGAAAAGTTGTTTGAAAATGAAGATAATAGCAAAAGATTAAGAAGCAAGTTGTAGTATATAATTAGTATGTTACAAAGAACTTCAGAAAAAATAAATAGAATATTGATAGCAGAAGGGATAGAGAAAGGAATTATTTGTAAGAAAAATAATATAAAAATGCTAAAAGAAACAAAGGATGAGCTGGATTTATGATAGTGAGAAATCCAATTTGGATGGAATAAAAATAGTAGAAAAGGTTCAGAAAGGTACTTGCAGAGTAGGTGGGAAATATTATTACCACATGAAAAGATATCTTACATGCCAGATTAAGAAATAATGAAATTTACTAAAGAGTACAACCATTTAACAACCTTAAAAAAACACAAATAAATATCTACTAGATGAATTAATAAACAGACAGATTAGAGATATAGAGAAACAGAACACATAGGTAATGTGTGTTTGTGTCTGCATGTAATTTTCAAGACAATTTTCAATTTTAAGTAATAATAATAATAAATATAGTCAACTCATTTTTAATAAAGGAGCAAAGGCAATACAATGAAGTAAAGAAAATCATTTCAACAAATGCTGCTGGAACAACTAGACATCTGCATAAAAAAGTATCTATATGCAGACATTACATCCATCACAAAACATAACTCAAAATGGATTACAGATCTAAATGTAAAATGCAAAACTATAAAACTCTTAGAAGATAACATAGGAGAAAACATAGATTAACTTGGGTATGATGGGGACTTTTTAGATGAAACACCAGTGACAAGATACATAAGCTGATGTCAGTAAAATTAAAAACTTCTTCTCTGAGAAAGACAACACCAAGAAAATGAAAAGACAAACTGCAGACTGAAAGAAAATAGTTCAAAAGATACCACTGATGAAGGATTGCCATAAAAAATATACAAAAGAAAATGAAAAGACAAACTGCAGACTGAAAGAAAATAGTTCAAAAGATACCACTGATGAAGGATTGCCATAAAAAATATACAAAGAACTCTTACTATCAACAATCAGATTGGGAGGCCGAGGCGGGCGGATCACGAGGTCAGGAGATCGAGACCATCCCGGCTAAAACGGTGAAACCCCGTCTCTACTAAAAATACAAAAAATTAGCCGGGCGTAGTGGCGGGCGCCTGTAGTCCCAGCTACCTGGGAGGCTGAGGCAGGAGAATGGCGTGAACCCGGGAGGCGGAGCTTGCAGTGAGCCGAGATCCCGCCACTGCACTCCAGCCTGGGCGACAGAGCGAGACTCCGTCTCAAAAAAAAAAAAAAAAAAAAAAACAATCAGAAAACAAACAACCTGATTGAAAAATGGGCAGAAGACCTGAACAGACACTTCATCAAATAATATATACAGATGACAAGTAAGCATATAAAAAGATGTTTAACATCATATGTCATCAGGGAAATGCAAATGGAAACAACAATGAGATATCCCTACTCACTTACTAGGATAACCGAAATCCGAAACACTGCCAACACTAAATGTTGATTAGCACGTAGAGCAACAGGGACTCCCATTCATTGCTGGTAGGAATGCAAAATGGTACAGCCAATTTGAAGACAGGTTGTTGAGGTCTTATAAAACTAAACATATACTTACCATATGATACAGCAATCATGCGCCTTGGTATTTACTCAAATGAGCTGAAAACTTGTCCACACAAAAACTTGTAATAGCAGCTTTATTAATAATTGTCCAAACTTGGAAGCAACCTTTAGCAGCTGAATGGATAAATAAACTATGGTAATCTAGACTATGGAATATTATTCAGTACTTTAAAAAATAAGTTGTCGGCCAGGCATGGTGGCTCATGCCTACAATACCAGCACTTTGGGAGGCCAAGGTGGGTGGATCACCTGAGGTCAGGGGTTCAAGAACAGCCTGATTGATATGGTGAAGCCCTGTCTTTGCTAAAAATACGAAAAATTAGCCATGCCTGGTGGCACATGCCTGTAATCCCAGCTACTTGGGAGGCTGAGGCAGGAGAATTGCTTGAATCTGGGAGGCAGAGGTTGCAGTGAGCCGAGATCACGCCATTGCACTCCAGACTGGGTGAAACTCCATCTCAAAACAAAAACAAAAACAAAAACAAAACAAAACAAAAAACCAAGAGTGAAACTCCATCTCAAACAAATAAATAAAAAGAGTTATTAAGTGTCAAAAAAAGAAAATATAAATGTCTATTACTAACTAAAAGCAGCCAATTTTAAAAGACTATATACTATATGATTTCAACCATATGGTATTACGGAAAAGATAGAAGCATGCAGTGAAAATATGAGTGGTTGCCAGTAGTGTTGAGGAAGGGAGGGATGAAATAAGAGGAGCACAGAGCATTTTTAGGGAAGTAAAAGTATTCTGCAGAATACTACAATGGTGGATATGCATTTTTTACACTTATCAAAACCTATAGGTTAGACAATATCAAAAGTGAGCCCCAATTTATACTATGAATTTGTGTAAGAATGATGTTAAGGGTGGTTCATCAATTGTGACAAATGTATCAACCGGGTGTGATATATTGATACTGGGTGAGGCTGTATGCATTAGTGAGTAACAGACACGTGAGCCCTCTTTGCACTTTCCATTTTATTTTTCCTGGAACCTAAAACTGCTCTTATTAAAATAAATAATTATAACAATAAGGTAATAATAACACTCATTTCATGCTATTATAATGATTACATAAAATAATCCATGTAAAGTGCACAGTGCAATACAAAGCACAAAATAATATTCCAAAAAAGTCAAGTATTTATTTATGATGAATATGCTATTTATTCCCCTCAGTGCTATATTTGGGATGTTTAGAAACTGAGCTTGCTAGCTAACTAAAAATCACAATTTTAGAACAGTAACAAAAATATAATCATTAGCTGATTATTATCGTTCAAAATATTTAATTTATGCAAATATTGAACTGTTAATAGAGTAAGTATATTGGAAAAATACTGGCCAAATAATAGACCAAAATTAATTAACTCATAGTCACAGGACACTATTCCATGGCTTGATACCATTGTTCTTCGTTTCTTTTCTCTTTGCTGTAATCAACTAAACATTTAAATCACACTTTCTACCTTTCTTTCTTTCTTTCTTTCTTTTTTTTTGTTTGAGACGGAGTCTCGCTCTTTCGTCCACGCTGGAGTGCAGTGGCGCGATCTCAGCTTACTGAGAGCTCCGCCTCCAGGGTTCACACCATTCTCCAGCCTCAGCCTCCTGAGTAGCTGGGACTACAGGCGTCCGCCACCACGCCCGGCTAATTTTTTGTATTTTTAGTAGAGACAGGGTTTCACCGTGTTAGCCAGGATGGTCTGGATCTCCTGACTTTGTGATCCGCCTGCCTCGGCCTCCCAAAGTGCTGGGATCACAGGCGCGAGCAACCGTGCCCGGCCCTAACTTTCTTTTAAACCACCCAAAATGTATCTAACGCATTAACTAAAGTTAGTTTTGAAGAGGACATAATACAGGGATGCCAGGCAGTGGCTAGAATTAATACGTTATTCCTTGAAAAGATAATAAGAAACAGCAATTTTTGTTTGATTCCCATTGCCATCTGCTGAAAAGGATTATTAATTTTCTGATAGGAGTATACAACTAGCTAAAGGATTAATATAAATCTCCTGAAATCAAATAATTCAATGTCTAGCATTGTACCTGTTATATACTATGTTCCACTTCAGCAGGAGTTGCATACTGAGAAAAGAAATGCAACCTTTAATTGCTGGGAAAAATTACTGTACAATATATGTTTCAGTATGCCACACATAACAAATAAATAAGTTTATAAAGACATATGTTTGAATGGAGAATTGGACATATTTGAATTAACGTCAGAAATCTGTCTCAAAATAAATGAATGGTTGTCAGACTACTCACACTAGAAATAACAATGAGTGTCACTTTAATCGACAGTTGAGAATAATACAAAAAATTTGCAGTATGCACCAAATTTAAAGATTGAGTGTGGAAGTTAGCAAAATTATACCAGCAATGACTTAGTTTTATTTCTAATTGGATGTTAACATTTTATTATTCAATAAGATTCTTAGTTTAAATGGATATTTATCTTTTTTTTCTAAGGTACATAGTTGTAGGACATATTAATCAATGTTTACTTTTACTTTTTTCCGTTTCTTTTCTTTTCTTTTCTTTTTTTTTTTTTTTTTTTTTTTTGGAGACGGAGTCTGGTTCTGTCGCCCAGGCTGGAGTGCAGTGGTGCTATCTCAGCTCACTGCAAGCTCCGCCTCCCGGGTTCGCGCCATTCTCCTGCCTCAGCCTCCTGAGTAGCTTGTACTACAGGCGCCTGCCACCATGCTCGGCTAATTTTTTGTATTTTTAGTAGAGACGGGGTTTCACCGTGTTAGCCAGGATGGTCTCGATCTCCTGACCTCGTGATCTGCCTGCCTCGGCCTCCCAAAGTGCTGGGATTACAGGCGTGAGCCACCGTGCCCGGCCTAATCAATGTTTTCTAATTGCACTTCCAGTGAACAAAACTTAGTGAGATTAAGTTTGCAATAAAAATGATTTATTTAGAGTTTACTTGTTTCAAGGATGATAGATAAGAACTTTATTTGCATTAATCCTATTTTAATCTTGACAGTAACCTTAAGAGAAATATTGTTGGCATTTTGGAGTGGGAATATGAGACTTAGAAATGTATTTTTAAGATCAGTAAACTGGTAAAGGATGAAGGAAAAAGCTCAAACTTGGATTTTATCACTTTAAAACTTCTACTCTTATCCAGTACACTATACATTTTATGATCACTTGGGATCCTAAACCTCAGAACACAGAGTTTGTACCTGTCCTTTCTACTGCACTTTTACACCTTTGTCCAGCAAAGAATATTATATAGCTATATACAATATGATTAGCTTCCTTATTATAAGAATGCTGAATGAATGAATAGGTAAAGATTTAGGGCTGCTTATCTGAAGGAAATAATCCAGGTAGCAACAGAAAGTTGTGGTTTAGGAAGTAAATACAGTTTTGGAATGAAAGAGGTCTGCACTTTTGTGCTGTGCTGTCTTGTATGAATCATGCTAATTCGTGTCATTTTTATTTTGAAAATTTTTCTGTACAAAGCTGAGGATAGGGGTTAGAAGTGCTACTTTAAAATCCAAATGGAAATCATGCAGGATCACACAGTATCTTCATCCATTTTGTGTTGCTATAAAGAAATACTTAAAGCTGGGTAATTCATCAAAAAAGTATTTACTTGCCCCATAGTTTTATAGGCTGTACAAAAAGCATGGCACCAACATCTATATCTGTGGAGGGGCTCAGGAGTTTCCACTCAGCAGAAGGTGAAACAGAACCATTATGTGCAGAAATCACAAGGAAAGAGAGAAAGCAAGAGAGGGGTTGGGGTGCCAGGCTTTTTAAACAACCAGCTTTCAAGAAAAAAAGTAAGAACTCATTCATATTCCCCAAGGAAAACACTGATCTAATCATGAAGGATCCAGCCCCATGACCCATGCACCTCCTATTAGGCCCAACCTCCGACACTGGGGATCACATTTCAACATGAGGTTTGGAGAAGACAAACATCTAAACTATGACATGTAGTTTTTTAAACTGCGTGGGAATTTTATTAACTTTTTTTTTTCACATGTGCTTGTCTTCCCTATAAAGTGACAATAGGTTTCCTGATATACACAGCACAGTACGAGGCACTATTAGTTACCAAATATTTTTATTTCAGTGGACACTAGACAACATTGTGTTTATTTTGCTCAAAAACTATTTGAGCAGCTAAAAAATATTTTTCTTTGAGATGGAGGAGATCTCATTAAATTCAAATTATATTTTAAAGTCTTAGTAAATATGAAGTGGTAATAAATCTGCTTAAATAAATTCCAAGGCTTTCATAAATTTTGAAAATAAATATTGAAGAAATTAGAATAAATAAAAGTGATTCTGTTCTGCTCACATGATATTAGAAATGCAGCACTTTTAAAGGTTTTTTGAAGGTATAGTGCATATGGTAGTTCAAACCTGACAAAAACTAGAGGTATGGGACAAAACAAACTAGAGATATGGTACAAAATGTTTTGGTTGAAATCAAGTTCATATTTGATGTGGCATTGTTTCACGGCAAAAGTTAATGCAGGTGTGTGTTGTTTCTGGCTTCTATATAATCTGAAAAATATTATATATAAAAATGAATATTCTATATAAAAATCGAATATAAAATATTCTATATAATCTGAAAAATAACCACAAACTACTAGAATAATAAGGAAAGTTAGAACTGAAGGAAACAATAGAGTAATTAAATTTCTTATTGTTTGTGTTATATCATTAACTATTCTTAGAAAATGTAATGGTATAACCACTAAAAACACAGAAAAACTTACCCTTTGACTAAGTTTTGAGTATTTTTTAAATGTTACTTATAAAAACACTAGTATTTCCTGCATTCTACTGATGCCTAAATTAATCTCAAGAGTGTATTGAGTAGTCTCCGTAAGAACTCACTATGCAGCTCAAATATTAATACTTATCTCTATCAAATACAAATGATGCTTTGAATTGTAATTGGGATGAAGAAAGTAAAACCAACCTGGAATTTTTATACTTAAATTGATCATAAAGTAAAATGTTTGCTAACTTGAAGTATCACAGAGTCTAAGAGTATCCCATGTCTTATGAAGAATGCATATTCTATTTACGTACTAAAAATGAAAGTCTTTCACAGTTTATATTAATTTGCATTGTATAATCATTACCTATAAACCACGCTTTTTGCTCTTCCATAAAGTTTTATGGTGCAAATTTGAAGAAATATCTAAAACCATTTAACAGCCTCTATTATATCTTCTGTGAAATATTCCCTAATTGCAAATTAGGTGGTTAGTGGTTTGAAAGAGTTAATGTGCCTCCAAACCTCTCTTATTATCTGAGAGTAATTGTAGGCCTTGGGCTCATTAAGCAATACATTGACCCTCCTCTCCTAATACAGAAACTTCACATTTATGCTTTTTTCTTCTTTTTTAAACATTCATTTTCTTTCCTTTTTATTATTTTTAAATTGTCTGGATTCAGTTCAGCAATATCAGCTTACAATTTTAGTATGAAACTCTCTTTTAACATTAACATTTTATGCATATATATAATTTTGATCAAGGACTTTCTGAAAATCTTTGTTGAGTGACCTAATTTAGATTAATATATGTTGCTTCACATAATTAATGTAAATACAAATTTATTATTTTTACAGCAATACTTCAGAGGTCAAGATTATGACACTGTGCCTGTTTTACTATTAAGATGCTCAGTCATCATATCTTATTCTCTAACTGTAATTATTCGCACCAGGATTTTATAAAAGGATTGATGCAGTTCTCACATGTCATCAGAGGCTGATGTGCTTTAAGTTCATATCCTTGGGTATTTACTGCTCATATGACCTTGCTTAATTAATACCAGTCACTATGCTTCCCACCCGTTGTCACCAACTGACTTGTTCATATGACATTACTAACCTTTGTCATATTTTGTACTGTCAGTAGGAAAGATTCTTTCATTATTTTTATGAGGGACTTCCCTTAGCATAGTTATATAAATCTTCTTTTTCTCTGCCATACTTTACAGGGATTCAATGGAGGTCTGACTTTGAGATGATCAAAGCAGGATGATATTATTTTTTAGGTCAATTTTCTCTTTAATATGTAGGCTTTAATACTCAGCTTGATGCAATTTTCTCAGCGTCTCCTCCCCCCACAATTTTCTCCCCCATTTGCAGATGTTGATATATATGACAAGTCTGTATGTATCTGAATCTCAACTGTGGTCTGGGTTCAAATTCTTTTAAACAGAAATACTGCATCCCATGTCAACTAAGCAATGTATTGTGCAATTATTTTCAGAGATCTTGAATATTTTATGACCTTGAAAATTTTGAGGATCATCCACAGGGTGAATGACCACATAGCTGATTCTACAAGAATCAGCCTCTAACCCACCCTAAATTTATTTCAAAATAAAAAAACTTTTAAGGAGATTATTTTCTTGCTAATTGGAGTCTACCTCTTCTTGGATACTGTCAAATACAATATCCAAAGAAATATTAATTCTTGTATTTATCTTTCTTATAAAATTATATGTTACATAATTCCATTGTGTAAAACCATAATTTCTTTTATTACTTTATCTTAAAAGTCAGATTACTGTATATTTGACTTTATGTTGAAATACATACACATTTAATAGATAGTACATGTATTGAAACATTTAGAAAGGTTGCTGAATGCTAAAATATTTATAAATAGAGATATATCAAAAAGAGTAAATAAAAATACATTTTACACTTCTTGTTTCAAAAATAGCAAGCTAAATATTTCAGACCAAAAATATAAAAACTCAAAAATGTATGTTTGTTATAAAATCATTCAACTAAAGTTATGTCTGGACTAAAACTAAACAGCACACATAACTGAGACAAATAAAAAGTAAAATTGATGGTTTTTCCCTGTGTTTGCAGGTATGAAGAAATTCAAATTCTGCTTGTAAATTATCTCATAACCCAGGATGAAAAAAAGATTCTAAAATGTGAGTCTTCTTTGCAACACAAAAACATGCACAGAGGACTACATCGTTAAATCAAGGGTCAAATAACTGAAAATGTACCAATCCTGGAGTGGAAAAAAGCTGTCACTTTTTTTATTACCTCAGTCATTCAGGAAATCTTAAGCCTCAAAACAGTTTGTCATAGTTCCAGTAAAGAATTATACTCAGTAAATTATCTTCAGGAGACTGTCAGAAACTTAGAACCCCTCTGGACTAATATACCATAATTAATATCCTTAATTTTATATTAATAATAATGTTTTAGGAAATTAGCACATAGGAAAAGAAAAACAGCTATACACAGAATATTTCTCCATAAGCAAGATTAGCAGAAATAATAAACCACAGAAAAAAACTCATAGTTTTGCAACTTTTGATTATTAAGCAAAAATTATAAAATTACTATGTTTATGATATTTTAAGAAAGATGAGCTAGAAAGAAATTATGAAAAGTAATAGAGTTGACTAGCAAAAAGATGGTTGGATATTGTATAAACATTCAATAATTCAAGTACCAATGTTAGAAATTTAATGAATGGGTTTAAAAGCAGGAAAGAAAAAGCTAAAAACAAAATCAATGAATCAGAATGCATGTTAATATAAACTACAATTAATTTTGATTGGAAGCCAATCAAAAATTATCAGATGTGCAAAGAAGCAGACTAATATTATACATAATGATTAATACACTCAGCTAATAGAAATAGCACCAAGAATTATAAAGATGATGGAATTAACAAACACAGCACATTCCCCATTCCCCAGGCAGCGAGCCTTCAGACATTGCACTCTAAGATTCAGAATTGTTGCAGTTCAGTAATTTCAATGAGTCTCTTTTTCTTACCCCTATAAATAGGAATGTTTGTTTTAGTTTTCCTTTTCCTGCCTTGTGATATTTCTAGAACATTTTATGAGAATAAATCATCTTTTTATGACATTAGAGGAGTAACATCCAGATATCATATACAGACCACCATGAATTACACCTTACTTAAAAATTACAGTGAGTTATGTGGAGATATTGTCTTTAAGATCATATTGTGACTGAACTGAGTATTGGATTTATCTGTTTTTCCAGGTAAGTGGTTATATTTCCTTAAGGGAGGGAGAGAGGGCCAAATATTTGGTGACCACAAGGACTAATTGTGGTGGATCATTATTCTATTAGTGCTGCACCTTGATTATATCTGCCTCTCTAAATCCTCAGGACATAGCAGGAGTGTATTTATTAGGCTTTTTTTATGGAGTGAGGCCACCTGATTAGTAATAGGTAGTAAACGGTGAGCAAAAATGGCACATGCTTTTCTTAGACCAAATATTTGATGGATAATGCAAGATGCTCCAGAACTACCTTTGTCTCCGACATGGCAGTCAGTAATATTATAGACTACATCTTGAACCTGGGGGATTAGAGAAGGTGACTCCAATTTAGCAACCTATGGTGTGAATGATAAGTAGACAATTATGTGCCTTTTTATTTTGAATCTCAGCATTATCTAGCTCAAGATTTCTCAACTTAAGCAGTCTATGTTTGGCCTGGAGAATTCCTTGTTCTGGGGTGAGGGCTGTCCAATGTGTTACAGCATTGTTTGGCATTTTTTGGGCCTCTATTCACTGGATGTCAGATATCAGTAGCATCCACACCCATCCACCCGATTGAAGCTAAATATAGCTGCAGACATTTCCACATGCCTCCAGGAGATAAAATCACTCCTGATTATTCTGGCTTATAAAATTAATAAAGCAAGATAAATATGACTATGTAAAACAATAATAATATTATCACTTTAAAACCAAATATAATTAAAATATACAAATAGTCAGGATTTAAACTCCTCTAAAGTTCTCATATTGTCAAAAGGGTACTGAGTTATGTCATTCCTTTGGATAATGATTCATGCTCTAAATTCTATGTTAATCATTAGAAGATTAAAATTAATAATATCTGATATAAGAGATGGGTAAAAACCAGATGGCACAAAACACACACACACACACACACACACACACACACGAATACTGAATTTAGACACTAATATATGACTGGTTATGTTAAATGTTATATTCTTATATTGAAAAGAAGTTAATCAGACTCATGAAACAAAGTCCAATTTACAAGTTACCAAAGTAGTACGTAAAAAATAGTAAAGATATATTTCCCTAAATATATAAGAATCAAAATATTGTCAATAAAAAACTAATTAACAGCATGTTTACTTAGTTATATTAAGAGCAAACAAAATACACATCAAGCCAAAGAGCATTACTGAAGCTAATGTATACACAAGTTTCAATTATAGGGAGAGATATAATCATTCTAAATTTGTATCACTTAATGACATATTATCTCTTTCCCTTTCTCTTTCTCTGATTCTTCACAAATACATGCTGCATGCAACAACATAGGCACAAACAGCAAAACATGGAAAACTGCAGCAATAAAACTAGGAAATTACAAAATCCATAGAGTGGAGAATGTTAACACACTCCTCTTACTAACTGATAGAACAAATGGACAAAGAAAAAAAAAGTAGAGATACACAGAAGCCTTAAACAAGTTAACAAACAAGACCTAAATAGGATACAACACGACACTGTTTCCAACAAGTGCGGGGCACACTTTTTTTTTTAGCTTAAAAAGAATATTTATAAAATTCAACTAGAAAAACTATGAAGTTTTAAGGAAATATTAGCAAATTTCAAATCATTGAAATCACATATCATATAATGTGCATTTTCTGGACAAACACATTTATGTTATAAAATCAATAAACTTACTACTCCAAAATTATATTTTAAATTTCTAGTGCATGCATACTACCAGTTATAGATAAATAACCCATTATTCAAAGATTAAGAAAAACATAAATTAGAATATTAGAATATATTCTAATATATTATATATATTAGCTATATGTATCTTATATATAATATATTAGAATATATATCAGAATATATAATATAATATATTGTATAGAATAATGTATTAGAATATTAATAAAAATGGTACATAGCAAAACTTCTAGAATCCTAATATAGTGAGATGTTCTAAAAAATTTATAGCATTAAATGCTTATGTTATATTGTAGAAGAAGAGCTAAAATCTAATGATTCAAATATTCATCTCAAGAGTTTGAAAAAAAAAGACAAATCCTCAAAGAGAAAGAAGAAATAAATCAAAATGAGATAATTTTTTAAAAGACAAGACATATATTGGAGACAAAAATTAAACAAAAAAGTAAACGATGTAAGATTGGGAAGACTAAAATGATGAAAATAGAAAATGTATACATTAATGAAAATTTTCGACAGACAAAATAAATATAAATAGGAAACGTATAAAAATTGATTATAACTTTGAAAGAGGTTATATCTATGAAGGGGTATAGATGTTTCTTAATAGAGACTCACTAGACCTAAAATGGTCTAGGTTACATAGTCTTTATAACCATTCACTATACTCCACATTCACATTTAATACGGTCTTTTATTTGTCTATTGTATTTTTCAATCAAAATGTTTATAAACTAAATTTACCATAAATATTCAGAGAATATTCAAGTATATAATCATCACCTTTGCTTTAAAACCTTTTTAATTATCATAATCCTGTATCCAGAAAAGATAAAAGTTAATTTTATTCAAAATTAAATTACTCTCAGGCCTGTAATCCCAGCACTTTGGGAGGCCAAGGTGGGCGGATTATGAGGTCAGGAGATCGAGACCATCCTGGCTAACATGGTGAAACCCCGTCTCTACTAAAAATACAAAAAAAATTAGCCGGGCGTGGTGACTGACGCCTGTAGTCCCAGCTACTCGGGAGGCTGAGGCAGGAGAATGGCGTGAACCTGGGAGGCGGAGCTTTCAGTGAGCTGAGATTGCGCTACTGCATTCCAGCCTGGGCGACAGAGTAAGACTCTGTGTCAAAAAAAAAAAAAAAAAAAAAAAAAAAAAAAAATCAAATTACTCACAGGCAATAAGATAGAGAATAATATTCCATGAGCTTAATGTCAAAAATGATTACAGAGATTTAACTGTAGATTATGCACTATGCTAATGTCTAAAACTTATTTTAAGAATTAGGAAAAGTTCAACTCATGTTAGTCAGTTAACCTAGGATATCTCGTTTATTTATGACAATAACCCAAAATGTTTGGATGAGAAGTATATTATTATCTACGCAATGTAGACAAGAGAACTTTGAATCAAAACCAAAATAACCTACTCACTTTTATGTTAAGCAGCAAACCAAAGTTTAAAACATTGTTTTTCTTCCAGAACTAAATTCCTTACACTTCATGAACTATGCAGTTTAAATAATTTTGATAAATTACTTAAAAGGTTATACTTCCAAATTAGTTTGGAAACTAGCATGACCTCGATAACAAAACTTAGCAAAGACAGTACAGAAAAGAAAACTATAGTTTGAATTTTGTCGTTGATAAAGTTAATATTCTAAATCAAATTATTTGTTCGGCTAAAAAGCCAAAAAGAAATCTGCAGTAAATACTGGAATTGAGAGATGTGCAGAAAAGTCTTATTTTTTCACCCATTTTCTGCCTCTAGGAAATATTTTCTTAGTATTTTTGAAAAAACTTAACTTTATATTTATATTTATATAAATATAAAATAATCTAAATATGAGCATAAATACAAAGGGTGATTTTTAAATGGCATAAAATGAAGTCCTTGCTATACTATGCACAGCTCTAAATATGGCTCATGCCAATAATTGTACAATGTTATTTAGATTATATCCTGATTAAAAAGGTACAGTAAAACAAGTCTAATTTCTGGTTTTTTATTTTCCTGCTTTCTGTGTTGTTTTAAATATATTTTTGAAGCAAATATGAAGGGAGACAGAAATATTAATATATGTGAATATACATAGCATACAAATGATTTCAGAAAATATTGTGACTGACAATGCTGAATTTGCCTCAAGCTCCTAGCAATCAACTTTATCATTTACGTCCTCGGTGAGCCCTACTTAGACACTCATGTTTCCTCATTTTTAGGGCTATAGTTGGTTAGATAATGGACAACTGTTTTCATATAGAAATACATTTTTTCTTAAAAAATGAATTATAAGAGGCAAATGCTCTATTTTTGACACTTCAAAATATCTATTCTTTCATTAGAAAAGTAGTATATATATTTTTTCTTTTCTCGAGGTTGACAATATGTTTCTCCCAAGAAATTAATCATAATAATTAATAAACAGTCGAGTGGCTGAGGGTATACTATTCAAACTCCATCCAAGAACCTGAAGAGCCAGTTTTTCCTTGTTCCTAATCTCGGTAAAAGACTTCAGAGATCAAATTATTTTTCCTTTTATATAACATAAAAAAGTTTTTCTACTACCTGTATATGAAAATGAGAGGGAGAAAATGAGAAGCAAAGGAATAATATTAAGTAAGCCCATTTTCTGGAGTTCTGAACAAGTCTAGATAAAATTAGCTAAGATAGGTGAAGACATGTTTTAAAAGAAAGATAGATGAGTAAAATTGATGGGAATCCCTGCTGTATGTTTTCGTTGTCAAAGGCCAAGACAGTCAAATCAATTAGATTCATGAAATGATAAGGTTAATGTTCAAACCTATGTACTTAATGCTGCTAGCTTGTATGAGCAGCATTCCTGATAGCCCTTTCTTAATGAATGCAGGAGAGTGTATATCTAATATGCCAAGGTTTTGCCCTATATTTCAGAGACTAAAATTCTGCTTTAATCCAAGAACCAAGCAATTCCATTAAAATTCTATACTTGCCAAAAGGTTTTGATTAACATTTGACATCAATTTTGAGCTCTGAAGCATTTTAGTAGAGGTTACACAGGATTTAATATCTTGGAACACACACTTAAGTGTATTACCTTAGAAGGCATGGGGACCCCACAGTAGGAAGAGTTGTGTCCTGAAATATTAATTTGATTTAGTGCCTTGAAAGCAGTGTTAGAAAGGCTTTTGAATAGGAGAGGATGGGAGGGGCAAATAAGATGCATTTGCCTTCCTACCATGTTATTTAATTACTATCATTGAGTTGCTCAATTCACCAGATAACAATCAAATTCATCATCTAATTGTAGCTATTTTATGTGATTTGTAGTTTGGCAATAGAATTTATAATTATGCAATATATTCTCATCTGTCTCTATATCCATAAAAAATGTATGATCAATTAAAGATTCTAGATGCATTTTCTACTTGTAGCCATATTTCTAAAAAAACAGAATCATTTTCTATAACAATTCACTGAGCTGATGTTCATTTTTATTTTATTTGCAAGAATTATTGAATGACTTTATAAAATAATTTGAGTCAAAAATAACTGTTTGTTTAATAAAATCCATTGAATTGCTTCAGGTAATGAAAAGCTTGAGTTTCTTCTTATTCAGTGCATATAGAAATTAATATGATTCATCTCTTGCTGTCAAAAGCTTTAAATTCTCTGAGACATCAGGGACATTAAAAACTGAGATGAGGCAAGAAAACTGTTCTAGAAAAAAAAAAGAAAAGAAAAGAACTAATCAGAAAAGAAAACATTGTATTTCATTTATCATTTTTAAAGAGTTGTTTGTTAACACGTTGAAATGGTGCAAAAATTATTTTGCCAATCATAAGTTTTTCTTATGTGTCGGTGTCTGTCAGTCACTTAGCTCCTTCCTCTGAAAAATAATAGAACATATTATATTTATAGAGACATTTTATTCATTTAAAGATAAATATTTATATTGAAACTCAAATATTAGCAATACATTATTTGCATTGCTTTCATTTATTCCAGATCTTTCAATATTTAGAAATAAAAATATACTCAATTATCTTTTCAACAAATGATGTTTGGAAAACTTTGTCAACATGCGAAAGAATGGAGTTACATCCTTATCCTATGCCAGCGGTCCCCACCCTTTTTGGTACAAGGGACCAGTTCAGTGGAGGACAATTTTTGCACTGAGTGTAGGGGCAGAAGGGGGATGGTTTTGGAATGAAACTGTTCTACCTCCAATCATCAGGCATTAGATTCTCATAAGGAGCACATAACTACCTAGATCCCTTGCAGTCACAGTTCACAATAGGGTTCCTGCCCCTGTGAGAATCTAATGCAGGCTGCTGATCTGACAGGAAGCCAAGCTCAGGTGGTAAGGTAATGCTTGCTCATCTGATGCTCACCTCCTGCTGGGCCTCCCAGTAATAGTCCCTGGCAGGAGGTGTTGGAGCAGGGGAACCCTGTCTTCTTAGGCCATCGCAAAAATTAGCTTAAAATGGATTAAAGACCTAAACATAAGACCCCGAGCTATAAAAGTCTTATTAAAATAGATGGGGGGAAATTTTAAGACATTGGATTTGGCAATGATTTCTTCAATATGATACCAACAGCACAGAAGAAAGAACAAAAAACAGACAAATGGTACTACATCAAACAAACACTTTTGTGCCCTTCTAGTTTCTGGTCTGGCATAAGAAGAACCCACATGTCCTACCTCCATCCTAACAACAAATCAAAAGCTAAGCAAAATCAAAAATCAACAGCTCTACTTGATCTGGCAGAAAAGTGGGGTCTACTCCCCATAAAACTGGAGAGACAGACAGATGGACACAGAATCACAACTTACTAAAGCAGAAAGCCCTGAGCCAAAATTCAGAGGAACCAGTGTCAGGGTAGGAAAACCTGAACTGTAACTGATGTGTTGCTAGAGGTTCAGGGTAGACAAGCCTACATGATAAGTACATACAATTTTACACGTCAATTTAAAAATAAATGTGGGGGAAAGGAAAACAACTCCAAGTGAACCTAAGCAAGGTGGTGGTGGAGGTACAAGAGGGCAATTTTGTGAGTTTTACCTATAATGGTCAAATTAATAGAAACAGAAAGTGGAAAGGGGGTTACAAGGATCTTGGCAGAGTGGGAAATGGGGAGCTGTTTAATGAGTACAAGCTTCAGTTTTACACATAAAAATTTCTAGAGATCTGTTGCACAACAAAGTGAATGTACTTAACACTATTGAACTGTACACTTTAAAAATGGTAAAAAAATTAAATTTAAAATGTATCCTCACTTATTACATGTATCATTTAGTGTATTACATCACACACGTATACCCTAATATAGTTAACCAACTTATTATTCACAGACATGTGAATTGTTTTATGTATTGTGTGTTACAAAATATTTTCTGTGAAAAACTAATATGATGTAAATGCTCTGGAGTATTCCAATGGGGTCATAAAAGGAAGGACAAATCTGCCAGAAAGATTGAGTAGTAGGATTGAGTAGCAGGTGCCATGAAGTAAAAGGATAGCAAGAGTTGGTATCTTTTAAGGCAAGGAAATATAATATTTCAGGAAGTGAAGAGTAAATAACTGTGTAAGTTTCTGCTATTTAGTTTGAATCAAATGATGGAGTGGAATTGATCATTCAATTTGGTGAGACAGGGATCACTGGAATCTTTAAGATTGCCATTTCAGGAGAGTGAAAGGAATAAACCCTCCTTAGGGTTCGTTGTTTAAGAGTCATATGGAAACATAAGCAAGATCTATGACTGTAAAAAAGTCTTTTGAAATTGTTATGAAAGAGAAATGAAACCAGTAGCTGGATCAAAATGTAAGGTTCTCAAAGTGTTTTCGTTGCTGTGGTTTTACCTTTTGTTTATTTTTTCATTAAAACTTTTATTATGAAATAATTATAAATTCACATTCAGTGGAAATAATGCAAAGAGAGCCTATGTATTCTTTAGCCACTTTCCCCCACTGGAAACATCTTGCAAAACCCTAGTTTTTGCAAGACATTATTATAACCAAACACTGACATTGACACAATCAAGTAACAGAATATTTTCATCTCCATAAACATTTCCTCATGTTGCCCTTTTATAGCCATTCCCTTCAGTCACCCTCCTTAACGTCTAGTACCAATACTCTGTACTCTGTATTTCTATAATTTTGTGAGTACATGAATATTACATAAATCAATCATAAAGCATGCAATTTTGTGGGGCTGGCTTTTCCACTTATCATAATTCCCTTAAGAATTATTTGCATTGTTGTATTTATCAATAGGCTGTTTCTTCTTGCTGAATAGCTTTCTGTGGTATGAATATATCTTACAGTTTGCTGAACATTCACCTATTAAATAACATATTGGGTGAGTGTTTCCAGTTTTTGGTTATTGCAGTAAAGATGCTATGAATATTTTTTCTCCAAGATTTTAGGAGAAAATAAGTTTTACTTCCTCTGGGTTCAACAGTGTCAAAGAGTGAAATGGCTGGGTCATGTGGTGATCGCATAGTTAGTTTTATGAGAGACTGCCAAACTCTTTTCTAGAGTAATTGTACAATTTTACATCCCCATCGGAAATGTGCAAGTCATCCAGTTTCTCCAAATTTTCACCAGTATTTGATCTTGTCACCACATTGTATTTTAGCCATTCTAATAGGTACGCAGTAATATCTCATTGTGGATTTAATTTGTGTTTTCCTAATAGCTAATGATGTTGAACATCTTTTCACGTACTATTTACCATCTGTATATCTTCTTCACTAAAATGTCTCTACATATCTACATGGCTTTTGTCCATTGCCCATTTTCTAACTGTGTTGGTAGTTTGAATTTTAAAACTTCATGTATTCTAGATACTAGTTCTTTGTCAGGTAAGCACTTTGCGACTACTTTCTACCGGTCTGTGGCTTGTCTTTTCTTCCTCTTAACAGTGTATTTCACAGTGATCTTTTTAATTTTGATGAAATCCAATATGTAGATTTTTCCTTCTATAAATCATGTTTCTGGTGCCAAATCTAGAAACTTTTTGCCTAGCCTTGATCCAGAAGATTTTTCTCATACATTTTTTCTAAAAGTTTTATAATTTCAGATTTTATATTTGTTTATGATTTATTTATGCTTACTTTTGTACAAGGTGTGAGGTTTAGGCCAATGTTTGTTTGTTTTCTTTTTTTGGCCTACAGCTGTCCAATCGCTCCAGTAACGTTTGTTGAAAGTTCTGTATTTCCTCCATTTTATTACTTTTGCACCTTTGGAAAAAGTCAGTGAGGCATAATTGTGTGAGTATATTTGGGAGTTCTTTATTTTGTTCCATTGGTCTGTGTTTTTATCTGTCTGCCAGTACCACAGTGTTGATTACTAAGTCTTGAAATCACATAGATTAATTCCTCTCACTTTCTTCATATTTTACAAAATAATTTTAGCTATCCTAATTTGTTTTCCTTTTCATATACATTTTAGGGTAACCTCATATATCTCTAGAAAAGGTCAAAATTTTAACAAATCTAAAATTTTCATAGGAATTGCATTAAGCCTCTATATCATTTGGGAAAAAAGAAATTGACATTCTTAGGATTTTCAGTCTTCCAATTCATGACCATACTACATCCCCATTTCATTAGTATTTTTTTTAACCATAAATTTCTATACATGTGTTGTACAGATGTGGAAACCTAAGCATTTCAATTTCTTGAACAATTAAAAATGATATTGTATTATTAATTTTTGTTTCCATGTATTCATTGCTAATATTTAGAAATATATTTTATTTTTGTACATTGATCTTATATTCTGTAATATAGCTGAACTCAATAGTTCTAGAAATTTTTGATAGACTCTGTAAGATTTTCTACATTAAAGAGTATGCCATTTGTAAATACATATAGCTTTCTTTCTTCCTCTCTAAGTTATATGATTTCTGTGTCCTTTTCTCAATTTATTGCATAGCTAGAAATTCTAGTACTATGTTGAATAAGAGTGATAAAAATGGACATCTTTGCCTTATTCTTGACCTTAGTAGCAAAGTATGCAGGTATACAGTCTTTCATCATTGAGTATGTGAGTTGAAGATTATTGTATATATTCTTTATCAAGTTTTAAAAATGTTCTACTGAAGTTTTTAATCATGAACAGATGTCAGAGTTTCTCAAATGCTTTCTCCACACTGTAGAAATATGGTAATACATTAAAATATAGAAAATATATTAATGTAATTAAGTGATTTTTCTCTGTTTCTTTGTTAGCCTGAGAATATAGCGTTGCACTGATTATATCTTAAATATTAAACCAGCATGGAAAAACCCTATATGGTGTTTAATTCTTTTTATATGATATTGGATGTTATTTGCTAATATTTTACAAATATTTTTGTGTCTCTACTTATGAGGGTATTGATCTCTAGTTTCATTCTTGTGTTATGTTTTCTGGCTTTCATATATGGTTTCACAAAATTAATTGAAAAGTGTATTCCCTTCTTCTAAAACTCTAAAAGATTGTGCAGAACCGATAATATTTTTTCTTGAATATTTGGTAGAATTCTCCAGTGAAATCAACCAGGCCTGGAGATGTCCTTTTCGGGGATTTTGTAATTTTTTTGAATTCAATTCTCTTTGTAGTTATTGAGCTATTCAAATTATCTATTTTATATTGTATATGTTGTGATGGTTTAAGTTTTTGGAGGAATTGGTCTATTTCACTATCATTGGCAAATATTTGTGTATACAGTTGATTATAATATTCTTTTTACCCTTTATGAATCTACAGTGTCTGTACTTATATTTTGTTTTATTCCTAATATTGCAATTTGTTTCTTGCCAATTTTTCTTTACTACTTTTGTGGTTTTGTCAATTACATTGATCTTTGCAAAGAAGCACTTCTTTGTTTCATTAATTTCCTTTTTTGATATTTTGTTTACAATCTCTTTGATTTTTCTCTGTTATCGTTATAATTTACTTTATGATTTATTTCCTGCCTTCTGACTGCTTTAGGTTTATTTGATTCTTCTTTTTCAAAGTTCTTGAGGTAGAAAGAAACTTACACGGTTGATTTGAAGTTTCTTATCTTTACCAGTACTATAAATTTTCCTCCTAGCACTTCTCTGTCCTACAAACGGTGATATAGTTTATTCATATTTACATGCAGTTCAATGTTACATTATGTTATTTATTTATTTTTAAACATATTTAGAAGTACACATGTGATTTCTTTCACGTGTATATTGCATTGTGGTGAAGTCTGGGCTTTTAGTGTACCTATCACTCAAATAGTGAACATTGTACACAATAGATAATTTTTCAACCCTCACTCCCCTGACCCTCCCACATTTTGTAGTCTCTGATATTTGTTATTCCACTTTGTATGCGCATGTGTACTCATTGTTTAGCACTCACTTCCAAAGAAGAACATGCAGTATTTAACTTTCTGAGTTATCTGAGGATATTGGCCTCCATTTCAATCCATGTTGCTGCCAAAGACATAATTTTATTCCTTTTTTTGGCTGAGTAGTATTTCATCATGTGACGTATATATGTAACATTTCTTTATCCAATCCTCTTTTGACAGATACTTGGTTCATTCCATATCTTTGCTATTTTAATAGTGCTGCAATAGACAAGTAAGTACAGGTATATTTTTGATAAGATTTATTTATATTCAGTAGTGGGATGGCTGGATCAAATAACAGTTCTGTTCTTAGTTCTTTGACTATCTCCATACTATTTTCCATAAAGGTTGTACTAATTTACATTCCCACCAACAGTGTATATTTCTTACTCTCCACATCCTCACCAATATCTATTATTTTTAGATCTCTTAGCCATTATGACTGGTGTAAGATGAGACACCGTCTCAGTGTTTGTCTTGATATTGTTGTTTCCCTCAGCCTTCCTATTTAGAAGACGGGTTAGAAGTGTGTTTAGTTTCCAAGTATTGGGAAATTTTCTTGTTATTGTTTTGTTATTCATTTCCAGTTTACTCTCATTGTGCTTGAGGAACACATTCTGTATGATTTTAAATATATTAAAGCTTTTGTGGCTTATTGTAAGCCCCAAATATGGTCTTTCTTTGTATTCTAAAGGCATGTTAAAAGACTGTGTATTTCGTTGTTGTTGGTTGGAGTGTTTTATAGATATTAATTAGAATCTGTTGGTTAATGTGTTTTTGAATTATCTATCCTTGCTGATTTTCATTCTAGTTTTTCTATCAAGGTCAGAAGCAGGTCTTGAAGTCTTCAGCTATAATTTTTGTCTGTTTTTTCATTTATGTCATTTTTGTTTCACATAATTTACAGCCTATTGTTAGGAGCATACACATTTAGAATAGCTATGTATTCTTGGTGGATTTACCCTTTCATCTTTACATATTCTCTCACTTTCTCTCTGAATTTTCTTTGCTCTGCACTTTACTTAATCTCCTAATAATATTCCCATCCCTAATTTTAGCTGAATAACATTTTCAATATTTTTCATTCTTCTACTTTCACCTCACCTATATACTTACATTTTAAGTGAGTTTCTTATAGACAGCATATAGTTGGTTTGTAATCTGTTAATCTCTGCTTTTTCTGTATTTAAGTTAATTACCTATATATAATTTTTGTTATGTTAGGGCTTATATTTGGCCTTTTGCATTTTGTTTTGTTTGTTCTGCAGTTTTCTTCTCTTTCTCTGTTTTCTTTTTTCTGCTCTCCTGTGGGTTGCTTGAACTTTTTTAAACATTGCATTTTGATTCTTCTGTAGAATTTTTGAATATATCTCTTTGCATAGCTTTTTTAGTGGTTGCTATAGGTACTACATTATATATTCACACTTTACCACAGGTTACTGGTATAATCATTTTATTAGTTTGAAGGAAGTATATAAACCTTACTTTACTTTTTGACCTTTTATAATTTTAGGTTTATAAAATAGTTGTCTTAAAAATTTTTATGTAACTAACCTGCACATTGTGCACATGTACCCTAAAACTTAAAGTATAATAATAATAAAATAAAAGAATTTATGCTACATTTATTTAAAACTATATCAAATAGTGTTTTTTTCAACCATTAAACATAATTTATCAAACTCAAGAGTAAAGGGAAGATCTATTTTTTTAACCCCTATTTTTGCTTATCATGTTTTTTCTTCTTTCTTGATGGTCTAAGAGTCCGTCTTTTATTATTTCCTTTCTGTGTAGAGCACTTTTTTTAGCCTTTCCTTTAAAGTAGTCTCATCGGCAACAAATTCTTTTTGTTTTCCTTTATCTGAAAAATGTCTTAATTTCCCCCTTCATTTCTGAAGTGTATGTTCTTGGGTAGAGAAATCATCATGAAATGTTATTTTCTTTTCAGCAGTTGAAAAATATTATGAGACTTGTTTCTGGCCTTCATAATTTCTGATAAAAAATTCACTGCTATTCTAATTGGTTCTTCTCTATATTATATGAAAAAAATTCTCTGTCAGTGGTTTCAAATTTGTTTTGTTTTTAGAAGCATTATATAATGTATCTTGGTGTGGGGTTTCTATTTTTTCCTTGTTTGGGATTCACTCATCTTTCTAAATCTATAGTTTTATGCCTTTTGCCAAATTACACAAGTTTTTACTTATTAATTTTGAAAAATGTATATCCCATCCCTTTTTCTTCTTTCCTCTCATCAATAACATGAATATTACATCTTGTATTATAATTCCACAGGTCCTTGAGGCTCTCTTAACTTATTTTTCAATGAATTTGCTCTCTGTAGCCCAGGAAGAGAAATTTCTATTGTTCAGCTTTCCATTCACTGATTTTTTTTCTTCTGTTTGCCTATTTCAGTTTTTTTGTTTTTGAGCCAAATGTTTGAGGTATTTATTTTAAATTGTTTATTACATTTTTCATTTATTAAATTTTCATTTAGTTACTCTTTACATCTATTGCTGATGCAATCATTTTTTGCTGATTTTTTTTTGCTAGGACTTATTTTATCATTTGTTTCAAGTGTCTTTTTAATTGCACATTGAAGCATTTTTATGATGGCTAGTTTAAAATTTTTGTCAATTAATTATAAAATTTCTGTCACCTTAGTGTTAACATCTGTTGTGTTTTCTCATTCAGTTACAAATCTTCTTAATTCTTTGTATGATGAGTAATTTTTTTATTGTGCTGTGGATATTTTGAGTATTCTGTAATGAAACTCTGGATCTTATTTAAGCCTTATGTTTTGTCTGTCTTCTTTTGACACTTCTTTGGCCAGGGAAGTGGGACGGGGCACAGCCATATTTGTCACTTATTATCTGTTGATGCCTGAGAAGAAAGAGGGCTTTTCTGTACTGAGGAGTGTGGCTGGGACTCCTGGATTCCATTAGCTCTCCACAGACACCTGCCTGTCTGGGAGAATTAGATGTCCCTTGCAGGTGCTTCTCACATGACTTCCACCGACAATATGGCAGAAGAGTGGTCTCATTACTGCTAGACAGAGTAAAAATTCTTACTCTCCACTAGACCTTCTGTGACACAACCAAGTAGGAAGCAGAGGGGAGCCTGTTTACTGCTGGGTGCACCTGCAAGTCTGTCTTGTCTGCATGATCTCCACTGACTCTAGCAGTGTCTTACTACCACTGAGAAAAAATGAAAATCTTAGCTTTTCAATTAAGTATTCACTGTATCAACCAAATGGCAGGGTAATGGTGCCTTGTTATAGCCCTCAGAGGGTGGAAATCTAAGCTCCCCATTAAGCCTTTATTTGTGTGGAAGAAGGTGAGACCACCATTTTCTCTGTGGTGTTTGGATGGAGTAGGTCATTTACTTTCTTAAAGTTTGTTATCTGTCTAGGTTGCCCTTTTGCCAGTCCTTTGGCTACAGAAAGCAGGCTTAGGTTTTAGCTTTTATTGTCTGTACCTATTGGACTTCCTGTTTTTTTTCTACTTCTTCACATCCAAATAAAACATATGTAAGTAAAAAAAAAAAAAAAGTACCCAGGGAGTACATTATTATGTCATTTCTTGAGTCCTGTGTTCTTATCCAGTCTGTCTTCCTCTTTCCACCTTTCCAAATCTTCTCGTTTGTTTTATATATGAAGACCAAGGTATCTAGTTGTATGTAGCAGAGAAAATATGGAAAAATAGGGTATTTCATCTATCTTCCCCAAAACAGAAGTCTCATTTAGCATTTTTAAACTTTTTTTAGATTGACTATATTGCACGTAGTTTTTATTCTAAAGAGAGTCATCAACAGTGAAAAGCAAAACTCTGAAGGCAAGAAAGAGGGTCTAACTGTCGGAAGAAAATCTTTGGCGAAGTAAGAACTTGCACTGTGGTATAAATGTAAATGTTAGATTTTGATGAGATCTGGGCAAGATAAAGTATTATGAGACAAAGTATCTTATTCCTTTTATCTTTATATGAAATAATCAATATTGTCAACTAAAAATAAAAGCATATTTTGAAAGTTTAGCATGAGATAACATGAAACAATCTTTTCTAAGAGTGGTAAAGCATGTAGAAAAAATACTGTAGATTTGCCACAGCCATATTGAAAATCCGCTGTTTGTAGAGGCAGCTGTGAAATGAAGTCATCAAACATGGTGTGTGCTCCTTCTTTCAGAAGATAAAATAATATAGAAAATTGGATTAACAAGAGTTGTGGCTTTGCCAAGAAAGTTGAAAAGTGAGAGAATAAGGAAACGGTGTTGAACATGTATAGACACCATTGATTGTACTGATGGAACATGGATCATTATTTCAGAAATGAGGGGTGGCATCCAGTAAAAAAGTTTTAAGATTAGGCAGTTAGTGATAATAATAGCATGAAAAAGCTGTTACCATCAAAGAACTTGGGAGTGAAGCGGGAGACAAATGTCTGAAAGGGCGATGAAGAACAGAAAGATCACCCATTCCGCCTCCAGGCCCTGTGGTACCTGTGGCATAAGAGAAGACTAATAATGAAAAAAACAGGTTTCATTTTGAACAAGAAAAGGATGGCATGACTAAAGAGATGTTTAAGTATTTGGGGATATGCTGATGACAGAGCACAAAATCTGCACAATGCAGTGAAGGCTAGAGCTCAAAAGAGGTGTAGGTGATTGGATCATACTGGGGAAGTGGAGAGACATGATGCAGAGGGTCAACTGATGAATAACACCATGTGAAGTTGGATTTCTTATGGAAATGGAGGTAAACAAGACTTAGTCCATGAAGTAATTAGTCCTGATATTCTCTGAAGGGTAGGCAAATACTTTTCTAATTTGAGTTACTTTTGGCTATAATTGGACACCTTTACTGGTGACATAGGCAGTCTTTTAAGGAAGTCAAGGGGGCTGTTTTGATTTAAAGAGTGTGAAGAGACATTGCTGGTAATACTTTATCCATTTAATGTATGTTATGACTCAGTTTCCTAATTTGAAGTTTTCTTTGTTTGAAATGTGAAGTCCATAAAGTTTAGTAAATAGAAGTAAACAAACTTTATGATATATAGTATGTCTCTTTCTGTCATTGTTTTACTGTAGGATTCTTGGCTTCCATATGTACTTCCAACTCTATCTATATATAAACAGTGGCTCAGCTAGGAACCATATTTAGACAGATGAGTGTGCTTTGGAATTATGGCACTTCAGTAACCAGCTATCTATCTGTCCTGGAACACTCACTCTTGATGCTATACCATTAAGTCACCCAGTGAACTTCATTTCCAAGATTAAAGTTTCCAAAATAAAAGAGGCAGAACAGATATTTTTACAATAAATACAGATTGGATTGATTAATTTTATCTTGAAACTAAGAGTTATATTTTATCTCCAAAAGCCTTCTTAAGAATTTAAGGAACATCAGGCACATCAAAATTTTTATACATAAATTGACTCATTTTATAAAAATAACAAACACATAATCTGTGTGCACATGTATATAATTTATTTTTCTTATAAATAATACGTATAAAAATGTACATTATAATATTGTTTTATACTTTTTATTCAAGGTTAAATTTAGGCACCTTTTTAATTATATCATTGGTTCCACCACACAATGACTGTTCAAATGCTGTTGCAACAGTACATTCTACAGAGGTTAATTTTACTACAACCATGTGAAAAAGTATCAGTTCTTAGAAAAACTATAAGAAATAGTCTGATTATTAAGAAATTCAGTAGATTTTATTTAATAACCTCAGTATTTCTCCAACTACAGTTTTTAATTCACTCAGCTCCACTGATTATAAATATTTTATTTTTTCATAATTTTTTGCATAACATGAGATAATATTTATATTTCACCATGTCAAATCTGTGATTCAAATTCCCATAAAGTAAACCTAGACTTATAATAAAACTCTGTATTGTGTCTACATGTGTGTATACAACTAAATATATGTAATATATGTATATATGTGTGCATGTATGTATATACATACATATATGTACAAATATGTGTCTGTATGTATATATACACATATGAATTTATATACTCATGCATACATGTATGCTTAATGTTTAAATGTATATATGTACACACACATATACACACTTACTCAATTAGCACAACTTTCTTCAATATTTTAATGAAAGGCAATCTAGTAGTCACTTAGCTACCATAGACACATCTCTTAGAACATTGCATAGAAGTTTTAAGCTCAAAGGCCGGGCATGGTGGCTCACGCCTGTAATCCCAGTACTTTGGGAGGCTCTCGTGGGCAGTTCACCTAGGTCAGGAGTTTGAGACCAGCCTGGCCAACATGGTGAAACCTCGTCTCTACTAAAAATACAAAAATCAGCAGGGCATGGTGGCGGGCACCTGTAATCCCAGCTACTCGGGAGGCTGAGGCAGGAGAATCACTTGAACCTGGGAGGCAGAGGTTGCAGTGAGCCAAGATGTGCCACTGCACTTCAGCCTGGGCGACAGAATGAGACTCTGTCTGAAAAACAAAACAAAACAAAACAAAAGAAAAATTTTAAGCTCAGAATGTTCAAAAACTACTGTATATCTCCTACAATTCTTATTTTAACGAATGGGAACAGCATATGACCATTTGTCCATGCCTGGAACTCAGACTCATTTTCAATCTTTCCAAGGCTTCACATCAAGATTTAGTTTTATCACTGTTTTCTTAACATCTAACATAGTATATAGAACATAATGTAATTGCAATGACTAAATTTGCAGTGAGTCTGAAATGCCAATTTCAAAACTCTGTGAAATTGTCACATACGATATGTTCATGAGGAAAAAGGGGAGTCAGGTGGTGAAAATGAGTGGACAGATAGCAGGAAAGTCAGAGGATCGTCAAGTTAAGGAAGGTGAAAAAAAAAGAATGCATGTATGGCAGCTTTCTGGGAAAAAAGGTAAAAAACATTAAGTGCACAGGGGATGTTGTTCTAGTGATTAAGCACTAATTTGTGACTTTCGAGAAAGGTAGTTTTAGTAGAATATATGTGTGTTGAGGGGGTGATATATCTGTACAGTTGATAAGGCTCTTGAGAATGAGAAAGACTATTAATTCAAGAAATGAAGAATGAGAATACCTGGTAGTTAGAAAATCTGTGATTCTAATGTTATATCTTTGTAACTAATGAGTTTGTGCTGTTTACACTAACAAACAGTTGCTTTTTGTTGTTATTTGAAGTTATGCCTAATGTTTAAAATACAGAATGGTTTGGAACCACAATGTGTTCCTAACACAATATGCCTTTATTCATTTAATAGATAATTATTGATGACCTACTGAATGTTTTACAGGTCATGAGAAATCAGTAATGAATAAGAAACCCAAGGTCCCTGCTATTTTACCCTGGTGGAGACCAAAAAAAAAAAAGCAAGAAATCAGGCAAATTAACAATATAAATTCCAATGGTATTAAGGTGGACAATAAAATAGGATGGTGCTATAGAAAGTGAAAGAGAAGGATAAATGTTGCAGATGGGTTGATCAGGGAAAGCTCTTCAGCAAAGTTTTTTTTTTTTTTTTTTTTTAGTGACACCTGAATGATTAGCTAGTCATGCAGATGTTGTGGACAAAGCATTTCAGGCAGAGAAGACAAGACATGTAGGTGTTTGGGGCTGGCAAAAGCTTGAATTTTAAAATACAGAGAAAAAAAGCTCACCCTGATTCTAGTGAGCGAGATGATTATCAAAAATGTTATTGTAAATCCAATTCACAGAACATAAACTCTGGAATCCAACAACATTGGAATTGAGTTCCAGCTCTGGCAGTTACTAGTTATGAAACAGCAAATAACAAAAATGCTACAAGTTTTAGATACTTTATAAATTATATAGGGATAATGGTATTTATTACCACTCTTATAGATCTCTGGATATATTCAGTGAGATATTTCATATAAAGTGCTTAACACAATAAACAATCAATATATGTCTTTGCTTATTATGCTAAGTAATTTGTGCTTTTTTTTTTCTAAATCTAAACTTTCAAGATGTAAGCACTTTAGATTGCAGAGGCATGTTACACAGAGCACAAACATGAAGACAGAATATTTTTAATGCCACCTTTCTCATGTTACCAAATCTCTACACACATCATAAACATACGAATTCTGAAGTCTAATTTCTAAAACTTCTAATTTTCCTTCCTGGACTTTTGATGCAAAATGTTAAATTCTTTAGCGATTAGCTATTTCTCCTCACTTCCAAAATGTTTCTATAACAGTGTATAAAAAAGAGGTGTTGTGCCAGAAATTGCACGCCTACTTTATTACTTCCAGAGTTCAGGTGTGAAAGATGAAAATCTTCCCTTTTAAGTTAATGGGATTTCTGTCACATGGTGCAACTAGAGGGCCAGCTTACTGAAGTCATTTCATTATTATTGTTTTTAACATCCTATTTTATGTGTGTCAGAGGACATGCTGTACTTTGAAATAAGCAATGGTTACCTTCTTTTCAGCCAAATAACATTCTCCAGTGCAGCAATTCAGATTTTCTTGGAAAGTAGTATTCGCAGATATTCGCATTACTATGTCTGTACCTGATAGCTTATGATTATGTTGTTTCTGATTGGCTGGGGAAAGTAATCTGCAATTAGCAATGTGTTTGCATTTCTAGCTGTTGCCAGGTAATGGTCTGCTGGAGGCTCATTCTGCATAATCTAAACACTGAAATTAATAGAGCAGCAACATCATACGCTGCTGGGAAGAGTGGGAGTACTTTGCTTATAAGGTTGTTTTTCCACCAATAATGTTCATTACCTTATTTATTTTTTATTTATCAACATATCATAAAAGTGGTGGAGAGAATGTGAAATTGTAAAAATACATCATGATTAAATTTTATCTTTGCCATGTTTCCTAGAAAAAATAATTTGAGACAAAGAAACTTTCATACTATTTTTTTTATTGAGGTAGAAGAAGAGAGATTCCTAGTGAAGAAGTGAGGGAAAATAGGAAGTGAAGAAAAAGTGAAGAAAGGGCAATAAAGGAGATTTCTTACTACACTTGTCACAACTATGAAATAATGTTACTGATTGCTCATTCCCCCGATAATATTTAGACAGACTTTGAAACCATTGCATCTTAGAATATTCAGTTGGAATACATGTGGAAGATGCACAAGCTATTCATCTTTGCCTCCCTCTTACTTCCATCTCCCACAGGACTGTTCATCCAACAGCATACCAACTCTCCTGTGCTTTTGGGTTATCTCATCTAGCTCATCTAGCCTCTCAACTCAGGCCCTGGGGAAGCCAACACCTCTGGGTACAGAGCTTAGCCAGTATGTGTGTACACCAATCTCTCTTTGTAACCATATGTGCACATGGAGACTTTAGTGACAATTTTGATGGGAGATGCAGCAGCATAGACTTTATAATTCCAAGAAAAATGCAAGCTCTCCCTAGGACCAGCAGAGAAAGTTGCTAAGATTCAGAGGGGAATTAGGCAAGACTGACAATCTGAAATGTCACATGAACTAAATCCAGTACAGTCCTTGCATCATTTTTATTCACTCAAGTGTCTCATAATAACCTGATCTCAATAACGTTTTCTCACTTCTTCAAGAAGAGATGAAGAGGCGGAAAGTGGCAATGTCTTAAAAGACTTGATACAACGGCTGGTCCCTTGGTTACAACTTGTTTTCATAATCTATTCCCTTCACCAACTTTTTAATTTTTCTTCATCCTCATCCAGCACTGTCTAATCTAACTGATTGCCTAGAATAGTGATCCAAGCCATAGGGCCTGGGTTTAGGTGAGGAATGTGAAGTACAAATGAAAGTATTCCTAATTGTGATGCCACTGCCTACTGGTGGTTTCATGAGCCTCCTTATCAGTCATTATGGGATGCCTGTCTGCCCTTATATTGTCATATAGAATCCAAATCCCAAATCCCATCCTGAAGTCTCTTTGTAATTCCTGATACCAACACTTTTAGTTCATAATCATCAGAAAATAGATTCTAAAGCAAATGCTTTTGTACTAATGTTTTATTGGATGCAATTTCAAAGAAATATGGGTGAGGGAAAGAAGGAAGTAAAGAAGAGAAAAGAAAGAAAAAAAAAGAAAGAAAGAAAAGGTTTTTAGGCCGGGCACAGTGGCTCACGCCTTTAAGTAATCCTAGCACTTTGGGAGGCCGAGGTGGGCGGATCACGAGGTCAGGAGATCGAGACCATCCTGGCCAATATGGTGAAACCCCGTGTCTACTAAAAATACAAAAAATTAGCCAGGTGTGGTGGTGTGTGCCTGTAGTCCCAGCTACTTGAGAGGCTGAGGCAGGGGAATCTCTTGAACCTGGGAGGCAGAGGTTGCAGTGAGCCATGATTGTGCCACTGCACTCTAGCCTGGGTGACAGAGCAAGACTCCATCTCAAAAAAAAAAAAAAGGTGTTTAATGAAGCTGGGACATATGATTTCCTTTGGCCATTGGAATACTACTAGATGATGCAAGCAGAGACTTTAAATGTGCTTGTGGGTTTAGGCTTCTCTATTGCCCATCAAGCTACCTGTTAGTCCCAGATAAATGAGAAAAACTTGAGCAGATCCGATGTAAACCCATAGCAATGAGCAACTCTGGCTAAAATTATCTACAACAGTCAAACCCAGTCTGTCCTAGAGATGTTTCAGTAAAATTAAATGGTGGTGGTTATGAAATACGATGTCTTAGGGATGGTTTAATATACAGCATAATTTCATTAGTAACAGCAATATACAAAGTCTTGTAGGGCATTTTCAACAAAGCAACATGAAACTATTGAATCTCAGACTATCTATTGGTGGGAGAAAGAATAAAGTATCTGTCGACTGCATTCTGTGTCCCAATTCCCTGCTGCTTCATGGAGCTTCAAATCCCCTATACTACAACATTGTGTTAGCCAGGCCCTCAAAGCAAATTCTGGTAAAGCCAGGACCACTCTCTGTCCAGCACACCAGTGTGCAGGATCTGGGCTTTACAACCAGAAAAGAATTGTGGACTTTTATTTCAGCCTTTCTGTCTAGGAAGTAAGACAACTGGCCAAGAATGAGGAGAGTAAGCTACTCTGGAATTATGTAGCATATAAACCGTTTGTGTGACAGATAAGTTGAGTCAATTGAAAACTGAATTAAGCTGAGTTTTTTAAATTTGCTATCTTTTATAACTTAGTATAACTTCTTTCTTAAAATTAATTTAGACAGCAAAGTCTGAAAAAAATAAAATAATTGAAAATTAAACTTGATATTTACTCTAGACACAACTGATTTATTATTGTAGTATATTTAAAGTTAAATAAACATTAATGAGGAAAAGAACAGAATATATAAAAGTTTGAGTCTAATGCTTTCTTTCCCCAGGAACAGTGCAAGAAATTACAAAGAAATGCTCAACAGACAAAATGGTCAACAGGTACACAGGAAGGTTGCCCCTCCCCTCATACACACATCTACACACACAAAGAAAGTTAGGCCAATAATGTAAAAGGATGTGTATAGATATTTAATTCAGACAGACATAGACAAACTCTGATATTCTGCTTTCTATTTATGGGACAATGGGCAAGCCTCAGATTCATGACTGTATAATGGAAATAATACCATACTTCACATAAGAACATTGTAAATATGTATTTGAACTTGTGAAAATGTATTCTCATTAGTACATTCCATTACTTAATGAAGAAAGAAGATGAGACTACCTTCAAAGTACTCATAAATTAGTGGGGAAAATAAAAATTAGATATACTGTTGTCCCTTGTTATATGCCAGGGGATTGCTTTCAGGACTCTCCCGCACATCATCCCAACTCCCGTGTAAACCCAAATCTGTGCATACTCATGTTCTGAAATTAGCCTTATAAAACCTGCTGAAGAGTCTGGCTTCAGTGTACACAGCTTTTGCATTCCACAAATATTGTATTTTAGACCTGCCTTTGGTTGAAAAATATCCACATATAAGTGGATTCGTTCAGTTCAAACCTGTGGTTTTCAAAGGTCAATTGTATATTTACAATACATAACATAAAAATGTTTTGGCATTGGACTGCTCAGGATTTATGAGACAAATAAAAATAAACATCTAACAACCTTGTAGATAGAAGATGAAGAAAAATGTACCGGTAAATTAATATAAAATAGTACAGCATCAGGTAATAAACTTGCTAGTATAGTGATAGTTAAAGTTTTAATTCTATCAGACTAGAAATACATTGTTTAGGGTGTAACTGTAGTGAGTGATAATTGCAGTGGGCCTTACATATCCCAGAAAATTTTGAACAATATATCAACACATCCAGACCCTGCTGACATAATTGTTAAGTATCATTCTAAGAAATATTGCTAAATAAGTGATTTCTGCAGATTTGCATAACTAATAAATAAAACTGCAAGAAATGAATTAGTTAATGATATTTCAAGCCTAGAAAAGTGATCACATACGCAAGCTCCTATTATTTCCTTCATCTGTAATCCTACAGCTTGACTGCTAAAATATATCTTTAATTCAAACCAGTCATCATATGAGACTGGTGGAGGAGGAATTAAGCTATTTGTTTTAATCCTTATTATAATGTTTATCAATTGAGGTTAACCTATGCTGAATACAGCAAATTTCTATATATCAATCAATTGCATACACTGTAAGTAGATAGTGTTTTCTCTGAAGAGAAATTCTTGTTAACCTATGGTTTGTGTCTCAGTTTTCACTCAGCTTATCACTTAGCAACCTTGGATTTAAATGCTAGATTTTTCAATTAACAAAAAAAGAACTATAATTGGAAAAATACATTAATAGCAACCATCAGAATAAAGTAGGAGTAATAAGTACACTTGCTATATATTGCTCATATATTTAGAAAGCAAAACAAAAAGTTTTCAATTTGAAAAGTTTTTTGCATTTTAGAATTTGAGGTTTGCATTAGTTTAACAGACTTAGAAGATAAAAAATTCAGAGTTCATGGTCAAACTACTAGTTTTCATTATGATATTTAGATAATCTTATTTTGGGAAAGAATGTGTTTGTTTGAGTGTAATTATGTACATTTGTTTTCCTTTGAAACCATAAAAATTAATGTCTCTTATCTACTTTTTGCCAGGTGGTTTACTTAGCACAAGGAAACTTCCATTTTAGAAGCTAGCATTTAAGGTGGGTAACATTGGGTAAATCATTTAGTATCTCTAAGCCTCAATTTCCTTTTAAAAACTGAAGAAATGCTGTTTCTCATAGGACAATTTTGAGGTTAATGGAGAAAATAAAGCAAAAAAAAGTCACAAAGTTAATTTTATATATCCTTCTAATTTCTTTAGGCAAATCCGCCTGAAATCACCTCTTTTCCATTTCTGAGTTTACTTATTCAGAATGCCCCTGCTATTTACCTGAGAAAAATGTAACCAATAAATTTAAACACCTACAATGTAATGTTATGATAATATTTATTATCCTAACTACATTAAACTTTTTCTATGACTACTAATAGTTATGTTGAGAGCAAACACACCTTTAAAAGTGAATGAAATTGCATGGCCAATATATCTTTCTTTTTTGATGGGGATAGGAATAGAAAGAGCATAATCTGTAGGCAGGTTTTTTGACATGACTTGTGATGTTGGAAAACCAATGGACGAGTGTCCTCTGGCTGTCATTTCTGGCTGGGGTTCCATGTGAAAATGAAAAGAGCAAAGAAATTTGAGGCAGCCAACTTACAGAATACAAACTGCATGATCATGTGGTTAACAATTTTTTCTTGTAATGACCCAATGGATCAGATGTAGGAAAGTCATTTTAAAGCTGACCACAAAATCAATATTGACTTATTTATGAAAGTTTTCAAAGTCAAGTTATTAGAATTAATCTAATAATTCTGAGTATTTTCTAAGATCTCACTTTTAGCAGCTCAGT